>NC_000020.11:39345022-39648052 GCF_000001405.40 Homo sapiens | reverse complement strand
GATTATTCCAGGACACTGGACAAGAGCTTGGGATACAGAAGGCTGTCATACTGGCCCTCTTCCTTTGCAATAAGGCAGAGGGTCCATTGAGCTGATTAACACTCAAAGCTGTCTGCAGATGGTAAAGCTGAAAGAGCTTTGTAACACTGGTGTTGCAGGCACTCACCGATAGACACTACCGTGGGGTCAAGAGCCCAAAGCACTCACTCCGGCCTCTGCACTTGCCCGTCTGCATGTTCCCCCTAGGAATTTGAGCTGTGGGGTGATGAAACAGGTGAGCCACACTCGTGTCGCACATCCTATGAGGGGAATCAGAGGTCCTACAAGGGGAATCAGGGAACTCTCCACCTTCACCAGCAGTCAGCTTGAGTGTCTTTGATGAAGTTTTACCAAAGATACCTCTGGCTGAGTATTTACTATGTGCTGGGCACTGTTCCCACTGCTTCATATGGACTATTCCTATTAGGCCTTCCTATCTCCTGACAAGGTAGGAATCACTCTCATCCCATTTTGCAGATGAGGGGAATGAGGCATAGAGAAGTACAGAAGCATGCAGCCCATAGACTCCTATGGCTACTTGACCTTACATTATTGGACCTCCCTTCAATTTGGTCTTGGACACACCAGGAATGTGTCTCACATTCTTCCCTTACCCTGGGGCCCCAAATACATTGGCTCATTTGATTTTGAGGAAGCAAAAGGAAAATAATTCACGCAATGGGCTCATCCAGAAGGGCACTCCTGCTTTGGGAAAGGGCAGGCAAGGACTACAGACTCTGGGATGTTGGGGAAGAGTCCTCAGTCGTGCAGAGTTTATAAACAGCCAGCGTGACACGCCCTCCCATACTCGACATCTCTCTGCAGCTGAAGATTGATTATATGCAAACAGTTTTCGTAGCAATCGGCACATGTTTTAACAAAATCCAATGCAACCCAAGTCAGGCTAATTGTTTCAGAGCACAAGCCAGGTGTTCTTGCTGACCTAGTGGCCCCACAAAGCCTCCAAAGCAGATTTGAGCTATATATGGCTTTTTGTCATACAAATCCTAGGGCTCACTTAGCAAGTACAAGAGAGGAAGATTTCAATGTTTCCAACCCAGTCAGTAAACTTCTTTAATGTAGGAAGTTACTCTTTTCCTCATTCATTAGGCTCATTCATTAGAAATAGAATGAATATCTCTGAGTTTGGTACAGTGACTGTCATCAGGGAAAAAGGAGGATGTAACTAAACAGAGTCTCTGCCCTCTGAGGACTCACAGTCGAGACAGAGGAGGCAGGCACTAATTAAAGAGTCACATGAAAATATATAAATATAGATGGTGGTAAGTGCTGATAAGTGCTATAAGGCTTTAACAGGGACTCCTGACCAGTTGGGAGGTCAGGAAAAGTTCTCAGAGGGAGGGTTTTCTGATGAGCTCTGAAGGATGATCTAGACGTTGAGCAGGGAAAGGAAGAGAAATAGCACAGCGTTTTCTAGAAATGTAACAGAAAGCACATAGAAGACAAGGAAAGCAGGCTTAGAAAGTTGGTGGGAACCCTATCACAAGGGGACCTCATTATGGTAGATTTTCTAAAGCTCTTGACAGGCTTTAAGCTGGGAATGACATAATCAAATTTGTATTTTAGAAAATATAGCCCTACCTGCTTTGTAGAGAATGGATCTGGGGTTGGAGGTAGGAGTGAAACTGAACAGAAGTAGGAGGCTATTTCAATCATTCAAGCTCAGGAGTTGGAAACCTAACCAGGCTGGGGACTGTGGATAGACAGCGGTCAATGGAGTCAAGAGGTAAATGGAATTAACATTACTAGGACTTGGTAATGAATTGAGGTGAGGAAGAAGGAAGTGTGTAATCTCTAGGGATTATAGTTTACCTTGTGTGGAGTTCTACCTGGAATAAATATCTATTAAATTATCAATAGTTCGCTTTTATGTGATTGTTTTTGAAAAACTTGGGGAGAAAGTCCCAGGACATTGGCCCTCAAAAACTAGGACCCAAGTGTAATGTCTGATGTTTTTTAGAGTTTGTACCATTTTCTGGTCCAGTGGATTGGGAGAGGAAAGGGGCATGGGAGGGGTTGGTTCAACAGGAAAATAGCCTTTCTATATCCCACAGGTCTGAGGGACAGAATGTGTCAGATTTTCTGCTGTATGGGTGACTGGTTCTCCATTGGAAGCAAAGAAGGCTGAGAACTGAGCCACTGGGCTAGATGTCAAATGTGGGGTCTAGTTGTGTCACTAACTTGTCTGTGACCTAAAGCAAGGAGATCATCTCCCAAAGCAGTATAATCATGGTCAGCACCTGGGACATAACCTCCTGACCAGCTTTGAACCTGGTGCTACAAGCAAGAGGGCCAACGTGGGTATTTCCTGCCCAGGGTCCTCAAAAATGCTTAATAGTCGAGCGCTCCCTGTGCTGAAACTGACCCAAGGAGCTCTGCGGGATTGTAAAGAACGAGCAAACTACACAAACTTCAACATTTACAAGGCTGTAGAGAGCCAGGGAAAGGTCAGCTTGTGCTCCTTCTGCCCCCAAACAGAGGAAACTGTGACCCTGGCCTCAAAGGCCTCGGGGCTGCCTTGCAAACAGAGCCCTAGGGGCTGCTGTTTGGAATAAAAGCTGGTCACAGTGTTTGAATCAAGCTTTAGAGTTCACATTTCCCTACACACTGGCAGCAATCACAGTTGTTGAAAACAATGGAAACTGGGCTGGCTTGCTGGACAAAATAAAGCCCCAGGGAAAAGGCCACGTGAGAAATACAGCCATGTTTGCACCTGCAAACATACAGCCGGCTTCCCCCACCCCTTCAGCTCCCCCAGGCCTCAGCAGGATGCTGGATGCATTCCAAGCCCAGGTCCTAGCAAAATAATAGGAAGATTTCAATCCAGGACTTCAAATGTCATCACAGCTTGGTGCTGCCACCTTGAAGATCAGGCATTTCTTAATAAGAGATAGTTGTTTAAAAATGCAGGTTTCTGGGCGTTTTAGGAATTGCCAATCCCTGAGCCAGTTCCAGACTGGGGCCTAGGAATTTGCATTTTTAACAAGTCACCATGAGTGTGTAGGTCACAGCTCTGAGAGACACTTATGAGGAGTCTAGATTTTTTTTTTTAAATCTCATAGGGACCCCTTAGAGAATCTGCTAAAAGCTATGGAAGTACTTTATGGAAATTTTTTACCAGACTTTGAACAATTTCAAAGTCCTTGTATGTCCACGAAAGAGTGTATAATCGAAGGTGCAAGGCAAAAGGAGTAAAACACAGGACCTGAAGCCGAAGTCATTGAATGGCACCACCACTGAGGATCAGAAGTGCATTGCTTTGAGCCCTGAGCTCCGCCCTTCTGGACTCTGTCATTCTCTCCCTTGACAAGACTTGAGTCAGGTTTCTCTGAGTTCTCTTTCTTACTAGGCCCTGGTCTTTGGCTCTGATCTTGCCCTAGTGACTCTGGCCAGTTAGTCCAGTTTTAGCAGACTCTTGCTTGGTCAGTTTAGTGAAAATCTCTCATCCTTGGTAATCTAATCAAATTCCTTATCCCCCACTCTGGCCTGCCTTAAGCAAGAATTTTATCAAGTCAGTCTAGCCAGAATCCCCCTATCCCTGATGTCTCTTAGTAATTTTCCATCTCCTGACCCCTCACCTTGCTCCTTGGCTATAAATCTCCACTTACGCTTGCTGGAGTCAGAGTTGAGACCAGTCTGTCTCCCCCACTGTAAGACCCCATTGCAATGGTCCCTATACTTCCCATCCTAGTCCCTGACCTTGAATAGTCTTCCTTGCCATCTTTAACAAGTGTCATGAACACTTTTTTTCTTTAGCAACATCCCACAACAGAAGGTTGAAACAGCAAGAAAAGAAGCTTAAAAAGAAAGGACCTGGCCCCCATGAGCCCAGGGTTATGAGTTTTAAAAGCCGGACACATAGGTATGCCTGCACTAAAGTAAGCAGTGTAAGGACTGGAGGTCCCAAGGTTTGAGAGGGATGCTGTGGGGTGTGTACCGTTCTGTGGGTTTAAGAGCTGCGCAAGGGAACCATTATCTAGTGTTTGAAAGCAACGGCATTATAGGTATCTGTGCTGCATCTAGGTTCTGTCCTTTATTGGCTACATGACCCTAAACATGTTCCTTTATCACCTGAAGCCCCAGTTTCTCCTCATTGGTAAAATGCAAATGATAATACCTAGCTTACAGGGGTTTGTGAACATAAAATAAGATAATGAGATTAAAGCATTTAGCATATTGCCTGGTGCATGATAAGGACTCAATAAACTGTGGTTATCAAAGTTACCATCATCATTCCTTTTCTTGAAATTCAGACTGCCCGGGCCTCTTCCCATAAAAAATAAAAATTAAAATTAAAAAAAGTCTTCTTACCCATTTTTGGTATCCAACAAAGCACTTTATACTTAATAGAACAAAAATAAGGTTTTAATAGATTTTGGAAGGTGGAGAGAGAAGGAAGAAACAAGAGAAGGAATAAAAGTGGAGAAATAGAAAATGAGTAAATGAATGTATGTATGAATGAATGAATGAATGAATGAATGAATGAATGACAAGGATTTAGGGAGCTGATTCAGGATCATTATTTTGGCCATCATGCTATAAATCCTTCACCCTCACCATTCCAGATCAGAATTAGATTTTCTAATGAGAGCCAAGTTTACTTTTCTCAGGTCTTTCACATGCCAAGTGCATGCACAGAGCTCACTGAGCCGGCTGGTTCAGAATGCCATCCACTATATTTCAAGCTAAGTTGCCTCAGCCACCATGGAGCCTGCTCGTCTCAGTTTCCTGCCATCGACAATTAAGTGGGCATTGTTAATTAAATTATCTCACCTAATTAAGAGTCAGATAATTGTGATTTTAATGAACTTGAGCTGCTTTGGGGTAAGACAAAAGCAGTCGCTGGAGCAGTAGCCTTCCTGCTATATTGCTAATCGAATTCAATTGTATCTTTTGGAGTGGATAATAACAAAAATACCAATACTCTGGACCATTCTTTTAATGCTGTGGAGTGGATTTAACGTGGGAGTGGGAGTTAGTTACCCAGAACCTATTTGGTTGGGATAGGGGGAGGTGTCCAGAGATCCAAACTCCAGGATTTAAGGATTCTTTAAAAACCAAATTCCTAGACTGGCATGGTGGCTCATGCCTATAACCCCAGCACTTTGGGAGGCTGAGGCAGGTGGATCACTTGAAGTCAGGAGTTTGAGACCAGCCTGGCCAACATGGTGAAAACCCATCTCTACTAGAAATACAAAAGGTTAGCCAGGCATGGTGGTGCATGCCTGTAGTCCCGGCTACTCAGGAAGCTGAGGCAGGAGGATCACCTGAGCCCATAAGTTGGAGGTTGCAGTGAGCCAAGATCATGCCACTTCACTCCAGCCTGGGTGACAGAGCAAGACCTATCTCAAAAACAAAACAAAACAAAACAAGATTCCTAATTTCCCACCAATGCATAGTGTCCTCCACCAAATCCAAACTGAGCCATATTATAAATGCCAGGGTAAACATATCAAGGCCAGGGTCTATGGATTCAGCTAATGTCAGATGCCCATGCCAAAAGCTCAAACAGGCTTTCCTATCAGGAACGACAGAAAAGACCAATTGGAGTTATTTGAAGTTAGAATGGAAAAATGTTTTAATGCAGGAGTAGGCAAATGTTCTGTAAAGAGCCAGAGATTAAATATTTTAGGCTTTAGAGCTGTAAGATCTACTCAGCTTTGCTGTTGTAATGCAGCCTAAAGTAAATGGATGTGGTTGTGTTCCAATAAACCTTTATTTACCAAACAGGCAGTAGACTGAATTTGGTGCTCAGAGGTCATAGTTTAAAGGAAGATAATTTTCCTATGGAACATGTGAAATAGACAAGATTCTTTTGCACATAGATATGAAATAGCAACTGATATTTAATTAATGAATAGACTGAAATGACTTGCTATTTTCTATCAATTTTAAGCACATAAATAAATGAATCTGAAGGTCTATTCCTTTGTATTTTAAATTTCAAAAATATGTCTCATGCCTGTCATCCCAGTGTTTTGGGAGATGGAGCCAAGAGGATCAATTGAGCCCAGGAGTTTAAGACCAGCCTGAGTAACAAAGGGAGATCCCATCTCTACAGAAAAAATAATAATAATAATCAGCCATGTGTGGTGGCATGCACCTGTAGTCCCAGTTACTGGGGAGGCTGAGGTGGGAGGGTCACTTGAGCCCAGAAGGTTGAGACTTCAGTGAGCTGTGATCACACCTTTGCACTCCAGCCTGGGCAACAGAGTGAGATCCTGTCTCAAAAAAAAAAATTCAAAAATGAAAACATTGCAGAAAAATTCAAACGCAGACATAGCAAGGGATTTCATAAGAGCAAACACAAATACAATTACCATTTTGGCATATTTCCTTCCAGCCAAGTTTCAGCGGACACTTTATGATGTCATCATAGTATATAATTTTTAAAAACGTCTTCCTTTTACTTAGCATATTAAAGCATTTCAGTATTAACACATGACGTTCAACAGCACTGCCTTAAGTAGCTGTGTAATAGTCTCTTTTATGAACACACTATAATTGTTTACTAAGTTATTCTTCTGTTGTTGGACATATAGATTACTTTCAGTTCTTGTATCATTTTGACATCATTGTAGCAACAGCTTTGTCTGAATTTTTGGTTTGTTTTCAGGACAGTTTCCCTGAAGTTTAATTATTGAGTCAAAGAACCCAAACATTTTATAAATACTAATGACAATGCCAAATTGTTTTCCAAAAGTATCTGCTAATGTAATCTGTAAATGGCAGTAGTCTAAGAGTGCAATCCCAAATTGGGTGAATATAGTCATAAATATGCTTGTCTTTAGTAGTCTGGAACATACTCATTATTAGATCTGGCCTCATCCAACTCAGAGAGGTCAGTAAACTTTCTGGAGGATTAATAAATTCAGGCTTTACTTAGAGCCCACCTTACATCAAATCCAGTCAATAGATGTTTTCTGAGTGCTGATTGGTTAGGACAAGCCTTATCTCTGGAGTGTCTTTCCAGTCTCAGAGAGAAACTGGAGAGGTGCAGTCAAGAAGATGACCCTGCCAGGTGGAGTGAGAAGTGATCTTCCTAATCCGGAACTGAATTTAGGAAGAGTTTGGCAGGGAGAGAAAAGGGGAAGCAAAAGTGCTAGAAGTTATCTCCTCAGACTTATTCTAGATCATATGGAACACTAAAATACAGACACCACATGTTCTGAATCAAAATTCAAACTTGAGAGTTGTAATAGCTTCCTATGGCTGTTGTAAAAAAGTACAGTAAGTCTTCAGATTATATTGTTGATAGGTTCTTGGAAACTGCAACATCAAGTTAAAAATTTTTTTTTAGATGGAATTTCGCTCTTGTTGCCCAGGCTGGCGTGCAGTGGCATGATCTCAGCTCACTGCAACCTCCTCCTCCCAGGATCAAGCGATTCTCCTGCCTCTGCCTCCCAAATAGCTGGGATTACAGGCATGTGCCACCGTGCCTGACTAATTTTGTATTTTTAGACAAGATGGGGTTTCTTCATGTTGGTCAGGCTGGTCTTGAACTCCTGACCTCAGATGATCTGCCCGCCTTGGCCTCCCAAAGCGTTTGGATTACAGGCGTGAGCCACCGTGCCCAGCCGCAAATTTTTATTTTACAATAGTCTGTGTTCATGTATTCATTCCTTTTCCAACCCACTTAATTTAGTTCAAGGTCACAGGTGGCCAGAGCCTGTCCTGGAAGCTCTCAGCACAAGGCAGAAACCTACCCTGGCAAGGGCACCATCACATCGCAGGGTACACTTGCGCACATACACTCACTCAGACTGAGATCACATAGACAACGCCAATTCACCTAACAGGCACAGTGTTGGGAAGTGGGAGGAAACCAGAGTACCTGGAGAAAAGCCACACAGATTTGGGGAGAACATGCAAAGTGGCCCCAGCTAGGAATTTATGTTTTTCTCATCATTTTAACAAAACAACATTGAACAAAACGACGTTATCTGAGGACTTGCTGTACTACAAGCTAGGTGGCTTAAAACAGCAGAAATTTATTTTCTCACAGTTCAGATGACAAGAGGTCTGAAATCAAGGTGTCAATAGGGAAGAATCTGAAGGCTTTAGGGAAGAATGATTCCTTGCCTCTTCTAGCTTCTGGTGGTTGCCTGCAGTCTTTGGCATTCCTTGGCTTGTAGCTTCACCACTCCAGTTTCTGCCTCCATCTTCACATGACCTTCTCCCCTCTATGATTGGGCCTCTATCTTTGTGTTTTCACCTGGTGTTATAAGGATATCAGCCACTGGATTTAGGGCCACCCTAATGCAATACGACCACATCTTAACTTGATTACATCTGCGAAGACCCTATTTCCAAATAAGATCACATTCCCAACTATGGGGGTTTAAGATTCAGACGTTTATTTTGGGAAGACACAATTCAACTGGGGCAACAGGAAAAACGTGTATAATCAAGACTCTCCTGGGAAACCGGGAGATCTAGCTACTGTTTCTTTGCAGTGCCAGCTTTAACCAAAGCTCAAGCTCATAACTCAAGGAGGGTCAGTCAATATGCCTGCCAGAGGGAAGCTTTGTTTAAGCATTTGCACCTTCTGCTGTGCCTTCTCTGACTTCCCCTCCAGTTTGTATGTGTTCTCTATAATGGACAGCAAAGCCCTGAATTGTCATGATACCATGTACATCTGTGTCTCCAACAGGCCAGGAAGTCCCTGAGGACAGAGGGTTGGTGTTTTTCATCTTTGCCAAGCCCAGGAGCAAGCAAATAGTAGGCACACTGTAAACATGTATTAGATCAGTAGATGAGTGGCCAAGACTGTTCATTTTGAAGCACCAGTTTCAATTCGTTCTTCTTTATCCGCCTTTGCATCTTACCAGTACAAGCCAACCCCAAACCAGAGAATTAAGTTCATTAATATTCATTATTCCAGCACCCCTTCCACCATACTTTTGTTTTCTGCAATAGCTTCTTAGCCTGCAGTCAAATGAGCTCAAGGAAAATGATGTGACTTGGCTTTGGAAATATATTCCTCTGGCTGCCAGAATAGATTTAGCAGACTCTGAGCTCAGTTCGTCACTCCTTCTACGACTGCCTCTGTGCACACAAAGGGCTTTGACAGTCCCTGAGTTATAAGGGCCATTCCAAGGCTGTGATGGATTTGATTGTTTTATGCACTGACTTAAGATCTCATTTCCTGCCACATTCACAAGTGCTTTCTGGGCTGCTGCAAGGAACCCCTGGTGTTGGTTTTGTACTCCCCTCACCTCCATCCAACTCAGAGGTCTGAGTTTTCTACTGGAGCAAAAGCTTCAAAAATATCAAATGATTTAAGAGTTGCCATAGGTAGGTGCTGCACTGCTCAGCCAACCTTCCTGTATTTTTTTCTTACTCTTATTTTTGAGGTTGAATCTCACTGAAATATTCTGCAAAAGATGTGGAATTGAGGAATAGACAACTCTATTAGGCATATAGCAAGCTGACATCCACAAACCACTGCAGATCAGTTTGCAAAAGGAAAATAACATTCTCTACTGGGGTACCTAGTTTAAAGAAGGCAAATTCTTCGTAGTGGTCCCAATCTTTGGGGAATTGTTTTTTTTTTATATATATATATAACTGTTTCAGCATCTATCCATAAATTTCATCATCATGTAGATAATCACTGTCATCAGTTTGGTAAAAGCAACACTTTCAACCAATTCAGAATTGATCATATGTATCTGCATCCAAATGATACCTCTCTTCTTATCTAAAGTGTCTGAGTCAGCTTTGCTTACTGCTGAACGCATGAGATTGAGTTCAATCCCTGACCATAGTGAATTTTCTACATATGCTTTGAGGAGACATGGTTAGTGTCCCTAACTGGAGAGGTTAGCTGCCAAAAGAAGAGAGGACAACTGTTTATCTGAGACAGAAGTTAAGAAGGCAAGGATAGGTGTCATAGAGTCATTCTCACAATGGGGTCCCCAGACCAGCAACATTGGCATCACCTGGGAATTTATTAGAAATGCAAATTCTTGTTCCACGCCAAACCTAGTGAATCAGAAACTCTGTGGGGCAGGGCTCAGCCATCTGAGTGTTAATACACCTAAGCTCGAGAATCCCCGCTAGATAAAGTTGCAAGTCCATGTGCTGAGAGGAAGGAAGGTAGCTCTTAAATCTGCTTCAACAACCTTGAGATAAGAGGATGCAAAATGTGCCATGGAGATGAAGTTTTAGAACACACAGGTGAGCTTTGAGAGAGATGTGGGGATACACTATCCCACCTAGCAGCCAGAGTAAAACAGCTTTTAAGTGTCACAAACATGATGAATCTGTCCACAGTAGGAAAAATATTGTGTAAAATAAGAGTTATGGGTCCATTCGTTTTGGGGGTTATGGTAACAACTATTTTTATTCATCAATGCAAAACATTAAAACATCACCTACAACCCCATACAAAACCTTTTCCCACCTCTTCCATCACGTCCCTCCTCTCCCCATCCCAAGTCACCCTCACACTCTGACTGTGGTGGTTGACGGGAAATAACCGAAAGAAAACAAGTCAAATAATCTCAAAGTCCAGGAGTTTGATGAGATGGAATACGCATTCATAAGGACAACCATCAGCACACATGTGTGATTGTTTTTCAGGAGAACTTACAGAACCAGGAATAGGAGCAGAGAGAGAAGTGGCTGAGCTAGTTCAGAGCTAGAAATTAACAGGGTGGGTGGGTGGAGCAGGCAGGACTCCAGGCCGGAGCAGGGAAGGAGGTGGATGAGATGCTGAGATGACCTGGTCACAGACCTAGGCAGAGTGTCATTTGAACCAGAGGAGGAGATGGATGCCCTTTGGAATCTGAGATGGATGCCCTTTGGAATCTGGTATCAGAATTCTCCAAAATTTGAAATATGTGTTATCTGAGCCTGGGGAAGCACTGGCAGAAAGGTCAGAGCTGGTCCCCCTGAGTGCATTCGCTATGACTTCCTTCAAAATGTGTTCAAGAATCATTTATCGTGTGTCTCTTTGATGCCAGGCCCTGTATCAGGAACTGGATATTTGATGAGAACATATACTGCTGTATCACTCACCAGTAGCATGGCTAGTCTAGCTCTCTTACCAAGACAGAGTTAGCATGTAGTCAACTCTTTCTTACACCCAATAGAACTTCATGATACCTTGTGACAGCTGTAGGTCTCATGAGTGCTGATTACCAGGAAAGATGCTGAAAGGGAAAAACATCTTCCCTTGGCCTGGTCTGGGTGGCTGAACAGCACAGGACGAGTCTCTCTGCAGGCTGAGGGAGCTGGGTTTGAATCCTGGCCCTATCTCCTTTAGCTGTGCAGCCTTGAGCTCCATGGCTCTCAGTTTTACCCCTGTCATCTGCAGAATGAGAATGGTGATGAAGAATAAACCCAATAAGCCTAGCAAAATGCAGAGTCTGAAATCCAGTAAGCATCTCACAAATTCTGTCATTGTTATTGCTGTAGGAATTTTCTTCTCGGTCACTTTGCAAGCCAGGGACCCCCAGCTGGTAATGCCCCACCTGGGCCTCGCTTGGTCACACTGGCATGCCCCAGCTTGCCTGTATTTAGCTTGTACCTGCACTTGGTGATTCCTGAGCTCTTGTATCGCACCCATGAAGAATGAGGATATGCTGGACATTGAAGGATGAGAAGGGAGGTGAAGAATTTTATTGAGTGACAGAATGGCTCTCAAAGGAGAGGGGATGTGGGGCAGGGGTGGGGAGTGGTTGCCCACCTCCAAAGTCAGGTGGTTCTCTCCTTTCTGTGTAGCTGGGTCTGGGGCTTTTTATGGGCTCAGAATAGGGGTGAGACAGGCCATAGGTAGTATTGGAAAAGGCAACATTCCATTAGTTAAAAGGCATCATTCATAATCATTTGGAGAAGGGCAGGTAAACAGGAACAGAAGTCCTTGCTCTGGGTTGCAGGTTTCATCCAGGACTAGCAGTCCAGTCTTTCAGCCTTCAGGCTGTTTTTTTGGCTTGAAGGCGGGGTTTCACTGGGGACCCACCCCTATCTGCTTAGGCATTTGGCTGCCTCCTCTCACTGTCATTATCCTTAATGGAGAAAAGATAATCATTCTCACAATCTCTAAGCTGCAGCTATCCTTGCTCCATGGACCCCCCCCACCCACTCCCCACCCCCTTTATTGCCCACCGCTTCACTCACCCTCCTACCCCTCCCACCACCTCCTAGTTCTCTGCTCTGCCTGGTCTACAGAAATGTCCTCCTCTTTCCAAGTCACATCCAGGACCAGGTGCCCTGGAGGGAGGCACAGCGCAAGCCTTTCTGTGCTCAGGAGTGTGACTGAGAGATTGAGTCAGGACATTTCTAGAAAAAGCTCCAACCAGCTTCAGCCACCACCCTGGAAAGAAGGTCTGGGGAAGGCTACCCACAGTCATATCCTCAGCACATCTTTACATTTCCAGGGAGAGTGCACTGTGGCGATGAGCTCAGAGGCTTAGGGATCCCTTCAGTCTTTCCGCTTTGAGACCCTGATCCAATCCAACTTCTCTTCACATTGGCTGCCCGAGCTCTTCTTTTGGCTCGTTTATTACCCTTACTAGTTGTAAGCCTTGGAACAGCTCTAAGACTATTTCTCCATTTATTCATTGGTAAAATGGAGTTTGCCTAATAGCACATCTCATAGATTCTATCATAGATCATAGATTCTAAGTTGTAAGAAATAGGTGAGTAGTGGGCCGGGCACGGTGGCTCACGCCTGTAATCCCAGCACTTTGGGAGGCCGAGATGGGTGGATCACGAGGTCAAGAGATCGAGACCATCCTGGCCAATATGGTGAAACCGTGTCTCTACTAAAAATACAAAAATTAGCCGGGCATGGTGGCAGGCACCTGTAGTCCCAGGTATTTGGGAGGCTGAGGCGGTAGAATCACTTGAACCCAAGAGATGGAGATTACAGAGAGCCAAGATTGCGCCACTGCACTGTAGCCCGGCCACAGAGCGAGACTCCGTATCAAAAAAAGAAAACAAAAGAAAGAAAGAAAAAGAAAGATAGAAAGAAAGAGAGAGAGAGAGAAAGATAGAAAGAAAGATAGAAAGAAAGAGAGAGAGAGAGAAAGAAAGAAAGAAAGAAAGAAAGAAAGAAAGAAAGAAAGAAAGAAAGAAAGAAAGAAAGAAAGAAAGTGAGTATGTATGCAAGGTTAAAATCAGTCCCCCCCGCCCCTGCCACCCCCACCACACACACACACACACAAAGCACTCGGTAGCATGAAGTTACTGATTTTGCCCATCAAGACTTGGTGGTGCACTTTTGGGCTTCCTGCTTCATGATGAACTCAGCAATACCATAAGGAATTGTTTCTAGAAACTGGTGTGGGTCTCAATTATATACAACTGTTATCCTCTAAGGTAAAGCTTCCTCGATTTCTGGGACATTACTGGTGATATCCCCCACCTTCTATCTCTGTTCATGAATGGAGATGGTTCTCATGAGAATAAGAAAAGAAGGCTTCACAGAAAAGGTGCCTTTTGAGCTGAATGCTTAGTGGGAAATTGTGAGGCAATTCCAAGTAAAGGGAACAGACTGTGTGAAGTGTTCTCAACAGTTGGAAAAGTGGATGCTTGAATGGAGGAGAGATGGGATGAGACCAAAACACTGGAACGTTGGGAAGGCTGGGCTGCACAGAGAGGACAGACTTTGGGCTATGAGAGCCAATGAATGGTGAATATACACAAGAGGGAATTAGATTTGAATAAACACCATTCTTGCACTTAGATATTGTCAGCAAATCAAAAAGCTACGTTGTATTTAAGTACATATTTTCATTGTTTTCCTCTGATCCTTGATAGCTGCCCAGAAGTTTACAGTCCAGCTGACCTAAGCCAAATAGCTTCCTGAAGATGCAAGCCCTGGGGGTCACTCCGACAGGCCCCACCATGAGCATGGGTGTCATCTCCTTCTGAGGCTTATTCTGATCCCCCAGAGCATGCATTTTCATGAAGAAATGTGTAGACTGCCAACTTCATTGTCATTTATCCCTGGACAATTTGTTAACTTCAAGAATCCTTGAATGCCAACCTGGATGTCTTTATAATTGCTGTCTCTGTCAGAGCCTGCGTGAAAAATGTCACCCGGAGAATGAAGTCAGAAAGCGAAGTTGCAGCATGTTCCTCACGAAGGTGACAACGACTGAAAGCATTACTTGCTTTCAGGACAGTTTTGAGAACGTTTCCAGCTCCTGAAAGAAAAGACGTTTGTAAAACTGGAAAAGCTAGCCTGCTGACATTGACAGTGAATTCATAATGCACATGTTAATCTACAGAGAGGAGCAGGCTCACACACCTCAGAGGAAAGCTCAGGCACCAGCTAGAAAATCCTTTAATCAAAGGCAGGAAAGTTGGAAGCCTTGTTACAAACCAAAAAACAAGTGTTTTGTTGTTGTTGTTGTTTGTTTTTATCTCTTGAATATACAGATATAAGTAAAATGAGCAACAGAGATCTCTTTCAGGATAGCAAACACCACTACCTAATTCTACATTTGGGGGCAAATCCTTTTTTGGGGGAGGTAGAGCTTCAGTTTCATTTTTTATAGAGGGAGAATTAAGCTAAGTTATTCTGAAGGCCCCACTAGTCTATGTCCTCTGCAGAGATTGCCTGCATTTATAGTTATCATCTCTTAAGAAGATCATTTTAGTGCAAACCCCCAATTCTACTTGAATAATCTCAGTGGTGGGGTCCTCACCATCTGCCAAAACAGGAGTTGACCAAGTACAGTCCATAAGCCAGACTCTGCCCTCTGCCTGTTTTTGTAAACTAAGTTTTATTAGATCCCAGCCACATTCATTTGTTTTTTATCTAGCACTTTACAGAAAAAAAGTTTGCATGTGCTAAAACATCCTCCTAACTCTCCTGACCACTGGAAATCAGACAACCCTTTCTTTACTAAAAATTCTGTCTTTGATCAGAGAATCAAACCTAGTAGAGATAAGAAAGGCACTAGCATATTATCTGTTCTTAGATGTATGGTTCTCCTTTAATACACCTTGGGAAAACAAATGTCATCCTAACAAAGTCCTTCCTTGTACTTACCAGAAATTTGCCTATGCATGACTATTGCCCCTTGGGCTCAGCTCTGCACCCTAGAGTTCCAAAGGTCAATTTCTCTTCCACAAGGAAGCACTCTGGATAATTAGCTGGTAAAGATCTCCAGAAGGAGCCATCCTGATTCCTCCAAGATTTTCTCATGTGTGTTATGGCTTAGCATTTCTTTTCTTCTCCAGTAACCTGCCTTTGGAGATTTCAGTTTCTCTGTGCCACTTGTACTGTGGATACTAACCCTGAACACAAGGATACCAGTGTCCTAGGACTTCTGGACATTTTGTTCCAAGACTGGGTCCATACAGGGGCCACTTCATACCACTGACATTAGTTCCACTCTGAACATTTTACACATGCACTGCTGATGTTAAGCCACACCCTTCCCCGCTCCTGGAGCATAACTGAGTTTTAGTTCAATATATTGAGCCTTTGCATTTAAAATACAAAATTTGATCATTTACTTCAATCTACCCAGTTAGATTTGGATGTCAACATTGCACCCACTCTACCCAAATCAATCCCAGAATTGTGTTTACATTTATGCTTATTTCTCAATACTTACTCTTTCCACACCTGCTATTCCTGCAGGGCAATTGACAGTTGTCTGAACAAACCACATTTCCTCTTACTGTGCCCCTATTCACAAAGGCCTTTCTTTTTTTACCCAGTGAATTTCTCTTACCTGTCTTTCAGGCATCATATCCTCCAGAAAACCTTCCCCAACTCTTACAGGTAAGGTCATCAGCTCCTCTTATGTGTTGCTCATCCCCTTGAGTTTACCCCTTAACAGTATTTACTGTACTTTATAAACTTATTAACAAAAGGAATTGTGTCTTCTTTTCATGTATTTCCAATGTCTAGCACGGTGTTTTCACATCATAGACACTAAGTACATTTTATAAATTAATGAACAAATGAATGAAGGAGTTGATGTGGTTGAGAAAAGCCTAAAGCCCACTCTGAAGAATTTAACAATGAAGAGTGTGGAAGGTTTTTAAGTGGGTAACAGCCATTATGTAGTATAATCAGTTGAATTTTAGAAGGACAGTTAAAGCTGCTGTGAGTGGAGGCTGTGTCTACTGAAGGGACAGAGATTAGAGGTAGTGAATTCAAAAGCAGGATGAGTGGCACCACATAGTAGCAATGGAGCTGGAGAAAGGAGAGCAGAATTAGAGCAGTAGGCTGTGTACAGGACAGGCAGGACTTGTTGATGAGTCTAATGGAGAAGGTGAGGGCAACACATTCCTCCTGAATGACTCAATTCCAGCCAGAGTTAAGTTGCAATGTTAGTATGTGACTTAAAAAATACTATTCTGCCTCTATTCATTCTGTTAACAAGTAGCTTATTCCTAACTCTGGCTGATAATTCAGAATCACCTCAGGTGCTTATAAATAATACAGATTCTGGGGCCCCACCTGAGAGTCACTAAATCAGAATCATCTTAAAGCTCCCAGGTGATTCAAATCACCTGTCAAGTTTGGGAACTCCTGGCTCAAATGCCCACTTTGCCTGAAATGTCCTTCACTTTGTTCTTCTAAGCTTAGGCAGTTGTCTTTACCCGGTTGGGCTGAAAGTAACTTCTTCTTTTACTAACCCTCTGTACCCCTTATCTGGACTGACTCATAAGATAATTGATTTCTCCCTTTTGATGTGCTTATTTTCTTTACACACATTTTATCTCCTCATCTCTAGCATTTACAAACAGAGTAAGAGTGGGCAGTTTACTTAAACTATCTGAACTCAGTATCCTCATCTGTAAAATGGAGATAATACGATCTCCTCCCTAGGGCTATCATAAGATATCAAATGGAAAAGCAAGTAGCTCATGCGTGAAACAGACCAGGTGCTGAATAGATATTTGGACTCTCCACTCTTAGCTAAATGATAAACACTTTCTAGAGCAGAAGCATGTCTTACTTAGGTAGACATCTTTTGTATCTGGATGGAGTCTAGTCCAGCAACTTATGCTTACCAGGTAATCAGGGAATATTAAACTAATGGGGAATAAATGCAGAAATAAGGGAATGAATTGATCAATTGATGTAGAATAAATGGGTGAATGAAATACTTGATCTATAGTAACAAAAATTGATTTTTGAAAAATGACTACGTCTGTCTATAAATTACCGTCTCTGATTGTCTCTATGCTTAGGACGATTTAAAAATTCAGCTGCCTACATTTCACCCTAGAGCCACAAATCAAAATACTTGGCAATTGAGGACCCAAAAATCTGAATTGTAAAAGTTTCTCTCATTGATTCTGGCCACAGCCCATCTGGGAAAATCACTGCTTCAGAGAACCAGTAAGAGGCCACATTGCTTTGTTTAATGTAAAGAGATAGATTTTCTTGTTCTACAGTAGTTATTGAAAGTTTAATTCCAATTGACTGTTCAAAACATATCCATTAAAGTCCAACATCTGTTTAATAGGTATATCTTATTACACTCTTGTACTTAGGGCCACAGTCAAGACCTGACATAATCAGAGACACAGTTTAAACAAACTAATTACATAAGGGCACACAGAGGCTGAGCTGAGCAGGGGCCTTTGAACACAACATGTGCCTTTAATCAAAACCAGGCATCAGCGAAAACAAGATACTCCAAGCTGGAGCCAGGCAGCACACTGATGCTATAGCAGATGTTTCTAGGACCAGTCCAGTCCAGCAACTCTCTCAGCAGTACTATTGCTCCCACAACACCACCTCAAAACTTGACATTTCTTAGACCAAGCTGAGCACTTTCATTGACAGATGACAAGAGAAGGAAGGGATCTGGCAGAACAAGTCCCTCTGCATGCATTTCTCTGAAGCATGGGTGTTTGGGATTATTCTGAAGCATAGTTGCTTCTAAACAGATCTCCTGCATGGCTGAATGTATGGTTCCAACTCTTCATGAAAGCCTGGTACAATAATCACGTAGGTATTTGCTTTCATCTTTCCCAGCCCCACTTTATTTTTCCTTCACTCTCACTGCCTTGGATTTACACCTTCCCATAAAACATTAGCATTGGAACCTTGTCTCATGTTCTGTATTGGAGATATCCAGACTAAGATTCCAAGATCCAGGCACTTTTCTGTGCATTTTATACACAACATAAGCATAGATTCTTTTGACTTCAGTGTTTATATTCTTAACTACTACACAAAATTCTATTTTCCAAATAGTGACAGAACTTTCTGGATAGCATCAAAAATAGGAAGAACTGTTGGTAAAATTCTCCCAGCATGCTCACCTACATAATCTAAAGCACATAGATTTGAATCAGCCTAGTTAAGCCTGGTCCATAAGGGGCATGGCTTCTGTTCCACACACTCTGCTCACTTTAGCCAGGACTGCAGTTGTCAGGTGGAACCAGTTTCAAAAGGCACTTATCCACAGGCATGTCCTCCTGTCCTGCTAAACTAAGAGTTCCTAGAGGGAAAAATACATTGTACTTATCTTTGTCTTCCTGGGGTCCATTATAGATTAGTAAGTACCCATCTTAGTCCCTTCCTCCTGCTCTAAGAAAATACCTTAGACTAGCTAATTCATAAACAATAGAAATTTATCTCTTATAGTTCTACAGGCTAGGAAGTCCAAAATCAAGGAGCCAGCAGATTTAGTGTCTGATGAAAGCTTGACCTCTGCTTCAAAAGATGTCACCTTGTTGCTGTCTCCTCACATGGTAGAAAGGGCTAACATGTAACCTCAAGCCCTTTTCTAAGGGCACTAATTTCACTCATGAGAATGGAGCCCTCAAGACCTAATTACTCCTCAAAAGCACCACCTCTTAATACTATCACCTTCTGGGTTAGGTTTGAACATACACATTTTGGAGAGGCACAAGCATTCAGACGATAACATCACTGAATAAATATGTGAGGAATGAACTGTACAGTAAATTAATATACATAATATTTTAGAAAATATTAACTTTAGTGTTTATGACTACAACTTGATAATTAGTTAAAAATGAATAAACCACAGAATAGAATTTCCTCCAAAGCAACATAGAATTTAACTGTGGGCTCATGTAAGTATACCTATAAACATTCTGATATTAACCTCCAGCCCTTCAGTTGGCAAGAGCTGCCCTCCCTAGTCAGGCAGGGCACAGGTGAACATGGGCATCATCCTGACTTGCTGATCATCCTCTGGGTAGCCCCTCTCACTGGAATGAAACTGCTGATGTCACTTACCAAAATCCTCATTAACATATGTGCCAGGTTCAGAGTCAGTTTCAAAATGCCTCTGAAGTGTTTAAGAGTAATTGGCTTTGAAGTAGAGCAAGACCTCAAAAAGTTCATCCACTACCCCAAAACCTTTTAATGTGAAAGCATTTCCTGTATAGTGCTATTAAAAGTGACCCCTAGCTGAAGCTATTCTAGGATTTTCTTCTACCATGTGCTGCCTCCACTCCTTCTTTGGTATTCAAGTTCTTCCATGATGGACTCTCCCTCAAATGGTCACCTGCCCCTTCATGTCTCCTCTTCTTCCTGGCACTATCCTGACCTCTGCAAGGCCTTTCTCCTTAGTGTTTTTGCTCCCACTTCTGCCCTGGATAGATGTGTTTGCTCTGACCTAGAATGTCCTCCATCTTCCTCATCCCATTCCAAGCCTTACGCTGGAGCAAGCTCCAGGTTTATCTCCTACAGCATTCCTTTGTTGACTTGCTCCATATATATATATAGTGATCACGTATTCCAAAGTCACACAATTTCCCCAGGGAAAATCAGAGAATAAATGAATGTAAAGCTCTAAGGGTCTTCTTTTCATTCTAAGGCTTGGTATCTGATTCCAAAGACCCTTCAGTGTTTTGTTTTGGTTGGTTAGTTGGTTTTGTTTTCAGCTCCTCTTCCAGTTAAGTATCTTTAATTCAGCAAGCACATTTGTTCATTGCTGCTGTGTACTTGGAACTGTGCTCAGTGCTATGAGATTTGTACTAGAGGAAAATTCCCAAAAAATTATGCAATGGTTCTTTACACACATGCCCTCCACCTCTCACATACAACGACACAGTAGTTGCACCAGAACCCCAGCTCCCAAAGTCCCTTTTCTTTTGTAGATGACTCACAATTTCTCTCCCTCAGTGGTAAGGTGAAATACTCTTCTCCCTTATATCTGTAATATGATGACAAGTTGACTAGTTTTCTAAGTAAACACCACATAGTATTATGTAGCAGAACATCTGGGAAGGTATGGGGAAAGCCTTGTCTAAATGTTCAAGCTTAGAACTCCAAGTATCAACTAAGATCATTGGAAGATCTATTTGAAGGAAGAAATATGAAGATATGAGATATTGGGAAAATCACCTGCCCCTCTAAAATTTAGTTTAACCACCTGTGAAATGGAAACAACAACAATAAAAGTACAACTTTCCTTCAACTGCTTCACAAGTTTGTTGTGAGGAAAATAATAAGACAATGTGTGGCAAAAGTTCTAAGCAGATGAAAATTATTATATCACACCCAGAGTTCAGAAAGATAATTAGGCACCCACATTTTACCACAGGTTCAACTGTGATTAATGCATTTACTTTGGAAACTCTAAGAATTAATAACCATTTGCCATACATTCATTATGATCACATTAATCATTATAATTGATTGGTTAATTAGCTAATTATGGTTATAATGTAGATGTCATATGCATTTCCATGGGAATTTTTGGTAATTCAACATTAATTAACACCTGACCTTATCTTGATTCTAAACAGATCAAGAGAGAAACTGTCTAGCATTATTTTGATCAAATGGGGACTTCACAGGCAAATATAGTGAAGCAGGCATTATGATTTTCTGAATATTGTGCTTTAGCTCCGGAGCAGTAAAAATTTTGAAAAATCAAAAGCTTGGAGCCTTTTTCAGCAAGTACTTTAAAATTCTTCTCATTCCCTCTTTGTGCAAGACCCATACAGGAAACACAGGTCCATCTCTATTGTCCTTGCTCCTTAGAGCAAGATTTTTCTCAAAGAGGGATGGGGAGCATCTGACAGAAACAGGAAACAGTTATTGAAAACTAACTACCTGCCTACTGCCTTTCTAGGGATCACAGAAACACAAGAGGAATGACCCAGCCTCTGTCCCCAAGAACCTCACAATTCTCTGGAAGCTTCAAAAGTTGCTTTAAAAATGTAAACATTAGAGAATGCATGCTTTCAAGGATTTTTTTTAAATAAATGCTTAATTTTATTATTTGTTTATTTCTTTGATTTGTTATTGTCTGTAGTATTGGAAATATTTACAAAGTAATTTAAGGAAAATCAGGAGTTATTTTTAAATTAGAAAAAATAAGTCAATTGTTTGCTATGATGACTTGGGCAAAATACTTTATTTTGGAAACCCTCAAAATATGGAGGTTGGCTAAATTTAAATTAATTGAAAATTTGTAAGTATAGTAAATAAAGCAATTATACACAAGTTTTATGAATCCATAGATTGATGTTTGATACTTCTGGGTATATATTGTCCTAAAAGTGAAATATATTTAAAACATAAAATGTTAAATTAATAAAAATTTTCATATTCTGGTTTTCCTAGATGGTAAAATCAGATTAGACGTCACTGAAATTCAAGTCGCATAACATGACAAAATCCTTCAAATACAATGCCATGGAAGATTAATGGCTAAATCTCTAACTACCACTATTGCAAAGGTAAGTTTTAAAAATAATTTGAATGTTTCCATTAGTACAAATTTTAATTTCCTCCTAAGGCAGAAAGTTCAAATATAATTATGCATAATGCATTAACGGAAGAGTTCTGTGATTTTATTAAGTGATTAAGTGATTTGAGCCAATATTTCATTTTATTTTATTGTTTTCTAAAGAAAAGGTGAAAAAACTCTCCTAATACATTTCACACAGTCATAGTTAAATTAGAACTTGTTAGTAGGATTATATGGGGTGGTAGAAGGACATAGAATGAATTCACCCATGAAAGCTGACCAATATTATAGGCAAGAGGGAAGGAGAATCGTTTCCTTGAGAAGGAATTTGTATTTGCTCCAGTCTTCAGAGAAGCAAGTACCAATATAGGACTAGAAATGCAACAGCTTTATCAGTAGTAAAGGAGAGTGGGTTAGGGAAGGTGGAAAGAGCTTTCAGACTGTAATGCTGGTCTGATACCTATGAAAGATTGTAGGAAGAAGGGAGGCTTAGGTCACAAGGATCTCATACTGCTGAACAATTCTAGGAGAATTCCACTTAAATTCATAGATTACAAGAACAAGAATCCATTCCAACACCCTCTTCACCATGAGAAGTTGGTCTCTTCATAATGCTGTGTGGATGCCGTGTTGCATGGAATTCCATGCCTTTGGATCAGCCATTACATACTCTGCCCCTGCAGAGTGGTGCTGGCTCAAGCTCTGCAGGCAGGAAAGGCAAACTCATATTCAGAGTAGGTGTCTGTCCCCACAAGGACTATTGGCTGACCTTTCCAAGGTGCAAGAAGCCACTTGAGGTGGACTTGCTACCAAATGACTGGTTGGACTCTCCAAGAAATAGTGCCATATTAGGTGCTTATTGTTGATTACTATTGCGAACATGC
This sequence comes from Homo sapiens, assembly GCF_000001405.40. NCBI lineage: Eukaryota > Metazoa > Chordata > Mammalia > Primates > Hominidae > Homo > Homo sapiens. The sequence goes on along the minus strand of NC_000020.11, from coordinate 39,625,440 downwards.
TAACTATCCAGGGACAGCAGCATTTGAATTGGCTGGAAAAAGTGAAAGCCCATGCCATTGGGCCCATAGTAGCCTCCATCTCTGCACTATGGCCACTCTGCCCATGTGCTCATTGTATCAGTCCTGGGGTGGCTCACGATGAAAGCTACCTAATGTCACTGAGTCATTCTGTCTACTTGGTTGTTCAGTGCCTCTTTCACAGTAACATTTTCTAGTGAGATGAGGAATGAAACAAATGTTATTCCCTTTCCTGCTATTCCCACATGTCTATCCATGTACTTCTACCTCTGACTTTCTTGCCCCAATCTTCCAGTCTTTTTCCTTCTAGGCTGCTGACCACATGGCCAAGCCATCGACCACAGCCTCAGAATCAAGATATAGTCTCACCTTGGGATACTTCTCTTTCCACACAAAGTAAACTATTGGATAATCATGTTATGGGCTAAATTGTGTTCCCACAAAATTCATATGTTGAAGTCCCAGCCAAAAGTTCCTCAGAATGCTGTCATATTTGGAGATAAGGTCTTTAACAAGGTAATTAAGTTACAATAGAGTATTTAGGGTGAACTCAAATCCAAAATGACTGATGTCTTTATAAGAAGAAGACATTTAGACGTGTAGAGAGATAACAGGAATGTGCACATGGAGGAAAAACCATGTGAGGACACAGAAGGGGGGGGTCTGTAAGCCAAGAGGAGATGTCTCAGAAAAAAAATAAACCTGTCAATACCACACCTTGATCTTGGACTTCTGGCCTCCAAAACTGTGAGGAAATAAATTTATGTTGTTTAAGCCACCTAGTCTGAGGCGTTTTGCAATGAGAGCCCTAGGAATTAATGCCAACTGCTTCAATCTCCACCTACTGGGAAGATTTTTTCCCTTTCTACCATCTGTGTAGAATCATTCCCTTGACATTTTTACAACATGTAAATCATGGCACTGCAAGAGTGTTCCTTCCACTAAGACACTATTTCCCAGGTCACCACTTGAGATCTTCAGCAATTGTGCTGCCAACTTATGCCAGAGACTATGTCTGTCCCCACATACCATCTCTGATAATATCCTCTTTGCCAGCAGTATGGTAGTCCCCAGTGAGTGAGACTGCAGCAAAGAGGTATGACAAGGTGCCACATTCGTGTCCTATCATTGAGAGGACACTAATGGCACCATATCCAAATGACATTTACTGCTAAGTCCTGGTAAGCCTCAGGGCAGGGTCTTGATTCTTGTGAGACACCAAAGCAGCAGGGAGACACATGAGGATGACTTCTTTGAAATGCCTCTTCCTTTGTTCTTTCGTCATCTAGGATTAGATGTTTGGCAGGAAGAGAGAGAATGAATGAGAATGAATCATTGAACTCCCTCTTAGCTCAGGGAAACGTTTTATTGGATTTGTTTCACTCTGATGTGGATTAAGCCCATGGGGCAGAACAGGCCAGGGAGTGAATGTGTGGGCTGGGGAGGGGATATAGGGTCTCCCCATGGTAGCTGCAGCCATGTTTATAATTTATTATTAACAATCTCTTCTGTGCCATTGTCTGCTGACCCTTCCAGGGGGTCAGGTCCTGGTGCCAAGACTGTGGTTCATCCAGGCAGATCAGACAGAACATTTTATTTACTTGCTTCTTTCCTTAAAGCTATCATGACTCAACCTGGCCCAAGGCAGAAAAAGTTTATTTGACCTTGATTGAAACAGTGAACTTTGGGAGAACTCAGAGTTAGACTACTGGCCACATGTGCTTTCCTCATCATCTGATCAGTTGGCAAGAACTTGGTAGAAAAGCCAATTCATATATTTGATGCCATAGCCTTGTTCTAAGAACCTAAATAGACATTTTTTTAAAATGCTGATCATCTAAGTGTTTCAGATGTAGTGTTATGCTCCCTGAGTTTCTTAATCTTTCTTTGGCTGAGGATCTCCTAGGTGTCCAATGCTGTATCAAGTGCTATAGATAAAACCATGAAAACAGCCGTCAAGACCTCTACTCTTGGTGATGGGAAGGTAAGGAGTGGAGATCAGCACTATCAAACTAAAACTAAAGTACAATAATTTCAAATCATGTTATGTGCTATGAGGAAAGTGAAAGAATGAGAAATGACTCATGTTCTCAAATTTAAGCTTTCAAATCATTACCTTAGGCAAATGCTAATATTTCCATGTTAGCATTTGCCTAAAGTAATGAGGGAAAGGATGTTCGAAAAGGTTAACTTGCCCAAGTTCCAGTTGCTCCCAACATGACATCAAAACTTTTGAACATAAACTAATATTTGAGCTAATATGCTATATTAGTCAATTTTCACACTTCCATGAAGAAATACCCAAGACTGTTAATTTATAAAGAAAAGAGGTTTAATTGAGTCACAGTTCTGCATGGCTGGGGAGGTCTCAGGAAACTTATAATCATGGTGGAAGGCAAAGAAAAAGCAGGCCTCTTCTTCACAGGGTAGCAGGACTGAGTGAGTGCAAGCAGGGGAAATGCAGACACTTATAAAATCATCAGATCTCATGAGACTCACTCACTATCACGAGAACAGCATGATGGGGGAAACCACCCCCATAATTCAATTACTGTCCATGACACATGGGCATTATGGGAAGTACAATTCAAGATAAGATTTAAGTAGAGACACAGCAAAACCATATCATCTGCTAACCTAACTTATGCCAAAATTGAGTAAAAACATTTTAGCCAAGCCCCCAAAATACTTTGTGAGTCCATTCTTCCTGATCCTTCCCTTGCATGCATGTTACAGCCAAATCACTTTCTTATGTTTATTGTTGTTGTTGTTTTTGAGAGAGCGTCTCACTCTGTCACCCGGGCTGGAGTGCAATGGCACAACCACAGCTCACTGGAACCTCCACCTCCTGCCTCAGCCTCCCGATTAGCTGGGACCACAGGCATGTGCCACCATGCCCAGCTGATTTTTTGTATACTTTTTTGTATTTTTGTACAGACAGGCTTTTGCCATGTTGCCCAGGCTGTTCTCGAACTCCTTACCTCAAGTGATCTACCCGCCTTGGCCTCCCTAAGTGCTGGGATTACAGGCATAAGCCACAGCGCCTGGCCTCTTTTGTTTGTTTTGTCTGAGGGGGAGGGCTGGCTTCTTTCATCCAGTACAATTACTTTGGCATTCATGGTTGTTGTCACATGTATCAAGTTTATTCCTTGTTATTAATGAGTAGTATGCCATTATATTAATTTATCACTTTGTTTATTTGTCTCTTGATGGGCTTTTAGATTATTTCTTATTTTTGGTGGTTACAAGTTAAGCTTATGTCAACATTTGTGTACACACCTTTGTAAAGACTTAAGATTTTATTTCCCATGGGAAAATGTTTAGGAGTGAAACGGCTGGATCATATGATAACATATTTTTAACTTTTTAAGAAATTGCCAAACCATTTTCTAAAGGGGTTGTACCAATTTACACCACTACTAGTGGTGTATGAGAGTTCCAGTACCTCTGTGTTCTCACCAACTCTTGATAGGGTAATTTTCAGGTTAGCCATTTAATAAAAGTGTAGTGGTACTGTGGTTTTAATTTGCAATTTTCTCTTTTTTTTTTTTTTTTTTTTTTTGGCAGGGGGACAGAGTCTCGCACTGTCACCCAGGCTGGAATGCAGTGGTATGATCTCGGCTGACTGCAACCTCTGCCTCCCAGATTCAAGCAATTATCCTGTCTCAGCCTCCCGAGTAGCTGGGATTACAGGCGCCTGCCACCACGCCCGGCTAATTTTTTGTAGTTTTAGTAGAGAGAGGTTTTCACTATGTTGGCCAGGCTGATCTTGAACGCCTGAACTCATGATCCACCCACCTCAGCCTCCCAAAGTGCTGGGGTTACAGGCGTGAACCACCCCGCCCAGCCAAGTTTGCAAATAATATAACTGATAATGAAATTTATCTAGAATATATAATAAAGAAATAATAATGAGGAAGAGAAGAAGAAGGAGGAGGAAGAGGGAAAGGAAAATAAAAGGAGGGGAAAAACAAACAGCTTAGTAAAAAAGAGAGCCATATTTGAACAGACCCTTTATTAAAGAAGATATATGGATGGGAAGTAAGCTCATGAAAAGGTGCTTAACATCCTTAGTCATTTGCAAACTTATTTTTTCCAGTCTGTGGCTTATTTGTTGATTCTATATTAACAGTGTTTTTTGGAGAGAAGTTTTTTTTTATTTTCATAAAGTCTAATTTGTCAATATGCTCTATACATCATGTACTTGATGTCATATCTATGAAATATTTGACTAATCCAGGGTCATGCAGATATTCCTTTATTTTTTCCATAAGCTTAACAGTTTTATATTAAATAAAATTTATTTTTATATATTGACTTGTTTCCTGAAACTTTGCTGAACTTGTTTATGAGTTCTAGTATTTTTGTGGGTTCCTTAGGATTAAGTAATCTGCAAATAATGATAGTTTTGATTCTCCCTCTCCAATTTGGATGCATTTTCTCTTTCTCGCCTAGTTGTCAAGACAAGAACCTCTAAGCTAATGCTGAAAAAAGGGGGAGAGCAAACGTCTTTGCCTTGCTCCAGCTCTCAGCAAAAAACATTCAGTCTTGTACCATTAAATATGATGTCACCTGTAGATTTTGAATAGATGTTGTTTATTAGGTCTTGGAATTTCTCTTCTATTTCCAGTTTGCTAAGAGTTTTTAACAAGGATGACCATTGCATTTTGTCAAATATTTTTTATGTCTATTGAGATGATCATATGACTTTTCTCTGTCTTAGTTTGTTAATATAGCGAATTGCAGAGGTTGGCTTTCAAATTTTAAACCAATGTTACATTTCTGGGATAAACTCCTCTTGGACTTCTGTGTGTGTGTGTATATATATATATATATATGTCTGTGTGTGTGTGTGTGTGTGTGTGTAAAATTGGATATAGTATAGCCAACTATTTATATTGGATATACTATATCTATTAAATAAATATGTATATAGTTAGATATAGTATATCCAATATAAATTTAATGTGTGTATATATCTCCCTCCAACTATTTATATATAGAGAGAGAGAGAGAGTTCAATTCAGTTAGATAAAATTTTGTTGATAATTTTAAAATCTATATTTATGAGGGAGATTGGTGTGTAGTTTTTCTTGTAATGTCTTTGTCTAGTTTTGATATCAGAATAATGCTGGCCTCATAGAATCAGTTGAGAAACACGCCTTCCTCTTCACATGTCTGGAGTAGGCTACTTGAAGTTGTCTCACAGCTCACTGATAATTTTAGAATTTAATTATTTTCTCTCTGTATGTTTCACTTTGGATAGTTTCTATTGCTATGTGTAAATGCTCGCTAAAATTTTCTTCTGCAATATCTAATCTACTATTAATCTCATCCAGTATAATTTCAATTCCTAAATTATAGTTGTTATCTATAGAACTCCAATTTGGTTCACTTTTTTAAAATCTTCCATGCCTCTACTTATCTTTGAAAACATATGGAATACAATTATCATAACTGTTTTAATGTTTACGCTTATTTTAACATGTATCAGTTCTGGTACAGTTTCAGTTGATTGATTTTCTCCTAATCATGGATCTTATTTTGCACTTTGCATTTGTGGTAATCTCTGATTTAATGTATAGCGTTGTCACTTTTACCTTGTTGGGTATAAATATTCTTTAGTTTTGTTCTGAGATACAGTTAAGTTACTTGGAAACAATTTGGTCCGTTTGGGTCTTGCTTCTAAGAAGTGTTAGGTAGAATCAAAGCAGTAGTCATTATAGGGCTAATTATTCCCCACTACTGAGGCAAGACCCTTTTGGGTACTTTACCTAATGCCCCATGAATCATGAGGTTTTCCAGTCTTACTGGTTGGAGCAGGCATTATTCCCAACACTGTGTGAGCACAGGACACTCCTAACTCTAAGTCCTCTTCACAAGCACATGTAGTAATCCCTGTTAGCTGAAAGCTTGACAGAAGCCCTCTGCAGATATTCAATGTTCTCTCACTCTCTGCAGCTTTTGCCTCCCCAGTACTCTGTTCTGCCAATACCAGCTGCCTTCATCTGCATGGATCTCTCAGATCTGTTTCCTTGGCTTCAGGGGCCTGTCAGGCTCCACTTGGATTCCCTTTCTCTGCACTATAGCCTGGTAATTTTAAAAAATATTTTCATAAATATTCTTTATCTTTGTTCTGGAATGTAGTTAAATTTCTTGAAAACAATTTAGTCCTATTGGGTTTTGATTCTATTGTTAGTTACGATTAGAGTAGTACTTACTATAGGGCTGATTATTCACTAGACAGGAAGCTAGAATTGTAAGCCTGGTCTTGTTTGTTACCACCAGGGATTAGGCTTTTGTTATTGCTTTTCCATGTCTTTTAAACCATTACTTCATATATTTTGTTTGGGTTTTATGGGGGTTGTTTTAGTAGAAAGAATAAATGCAGCCCTTAATACATCTAAGCCCAAAACAGAGATTCTCTCTCCTCTTTCTCTTCAAACAAAAACAAGATAAAGCAGAAACCCAAAGCTTTGCACAGGCAAGTAAATATGGCTAGAATTCAATAACTTTGCTTTGTTTGCTTGGTATTTGTTTTGTGGCTAATTTATTTATAACAGTCAATTTTGCTTTCCCATTAACGGAAGTACCAAAAAGTCCCATTGTTAAATAAATTTGTTTAAGTTTAAAAAGTAAATCAATTTACCAAAAAAAAAAAAAAAAAAAAGTAAGTAAACAGGAGGACAAATACTAAGCAGAGAAAGCAAATAACTTTTGCTAGGGGAGTGAGGGAATGACTGAAGTTAGGAGAATGCTGGTCTTTTGGCCCAAGCTTTCCAACCTGAACCCCAGCCTGGTCTACTCTTTTTCAGGTGGATTCCTCCTTCCTAGTCTTTGAGTGGCCTTTTTCATTACCTTTGTCCCCAGCTTAAGCTGATTTCTCTAATCGCAATTGTCATAGTCTAGTGATATGTCATCCCAGGCATCTGCCTCCTTCGCTTTCCTATAAACCTGGGCCATCTAGTTCAGTAGCCACTAGCTACAGGTGGATATTGAGTCCCTGAAATGTGGCTAGTCTGACTTCAGATATGTCATAAGTGAAAAATACCCACTGGATTTAGAAGACAGGGTGAAAAATACACACTGGATTTTGAAGACAGGATGAAAAGGAATTTAAAGTATCTCATCAATAATGTTTTTATTGAGTACATGTTGAAAGAAGAATGTAAGATATATTTGATGAAATAAATTATACCATTAAAATTAATTTGAACCTTTTCTTTACCTTTTTTTAATAAGGTGACTACCAGAAATTTTGAAATTATAACCAGGCATGGTGGTTCACAACTGTAATCCTATCACTTTGGGAGACTGAGGTAGGAGGATCACTTGAAGCCAGGAGTTTTAGACCAGCTTGAGCAACAAAGTGAGACCCCATCTCTAACAAAAACAGTATACATACTGGCCAGGCGCAGTGGCTCACGCCTGTAATCCCAGCACTTTAGGAGGCCAAGGCAGGCAGATCACTTGAGGCCAGGAGTTTGAGACCAGCCTGGCCAACATGGTGAAGCCCTGCCTCTACTAAAAATACAAAAACTAGCTGGGCATGGTGGTTCATGGGTGTGGTCCCAGCTACTTGGGAGGGTGAGACATGAGAATCGCCTGAACCTTGGAGGCAGTGGTTGCAGTGAGCTGAGATCACACCACTGCACTCCAGCCTCAGCAACAGAGAGAGACTCTGTCTCAAAAATAAAGAAATAAAATAAAATAAATAAAAATAAAGAATAAAAAAATATCCAGATGTGGTGACATATGCCTATAGCCCCAGTACTTTGGGAGACCAAGGTGGAAGGATTGCTTGAAGCCAGGAGTTTGAGACCAGCCTGGACAACAAAAGAAACCCCCATATCTATCTATCTCTCTCTCTCTCTCTCTCTCTCTCTCTCTCTCTCTCTCTCTCTCTCTCTATATATATATATATATATATATATATATATATATATATATATATACACACACACACATACATATATTGCCAGGAAGGTGGCACACGCCTGTAGTCTCAGCTACTTGGGAGCTTAAGGTGGAGGATGACTTGAGCCCAAGAGTTTGAGGCTATGAAGGTGCCACTGCACCGCAGCCTGTGCAACAGACCAAAACCAAATTTTTGGTTAAATTTAATTTAACCAAAAAACTAATTTTTTTTAAAAAAGGAAAGTTGAAATTTTATATGCAGCTTGCCTTTGTGATTTACATTGTATTTCTATTAGGCAGTACTGCTATAGATGCATCATCTGTCTATGCATCCTAGCTCCCAGAATAAAGAATGACAGATGCTTATCAAATGCCTGTAGGATATTAGCATTGAATGAATACTTGAGTGAGTGACTTTAACTGGATTGGGAATTCAAAGACTGAATGTTGAAGACTGGGAGGCAGCCTCTGTTACTTTGTCCAGTAACAGGAATACTAATAAAACATATCTCATAGAGATAGGGAAGATAAAATAAGACAATTTATTGAGAACTCTTAACACTGGGCCTGGCTCAATGGATGTACTCAAGAGAAGTTAGCCATTAAGGGAAAATTGTCTTCACTTAGTATCACGCCATGTGGACAAAGCCATGGCAGCTGTGTACAAGGATTAAGAGAAAAGGCTGTTTTTAGTGAGTTTTCTCTTATTTATTATGCAAATACACTTCAGACACTTTACATGGCTTATGTATAAGGGCTCCAGCACTATGGCTTATAACACCCTTCACCCCAAGCCCATGGACCTTAGTTATTGGTGTTCTGATAGCTTGCTACTTATAAGCCAAGGGGCGTGTGTGTGTGTGTGTGTGTGTATCAGTAAAACACTTTCTTCCAGGTCTTATCTTATTGCTAAGAATAATGTACTTGTAAATTGCTTTATAAATTATTTATTACGAGGGGCTTCATCACTGAACAAGTGCTACAACATACAGTGAAAATGGGGGGCAGGAGGATGGCAGTGAAGGAGGGAGAGAAGAAGGCATTGGAATCACTTATAAATAATATATTCTTTGGTCAAAGAAAGTTATCGCCTTTTATGAAGTGTTTGGAAGTCGTCTTGCATACTAAGTGGGCATCCTTTTGCTGACTCCTGAGTGATCAGCTATAGCCTCCTTTGCTGCTCCATCTCTGAACTTGGTGATTAGGATGCCATTTATTTATTTCAGCCAATGCCACAATTGCCACATCTCATCACCTGGAAATAAACAGCAAACAGGGCTGACCGGTACCGCTGAGGAAACGCAAAGATGTGTTGGCAAGTCCTCGAAGCGAAATCTGTGTCCCTGCGTTGGGCTCTGCATTTGGTATTCATCATGTAAGTGCTGTGCCTAATGAAGGCATTTGGTATTCATGTGGGTGTCACATGTATTTCCAGGGACGCTGGGCTCTAATTTAGCACAGGTTAATGGACACCTCTATTAAAGGGTTATCGAAAGTTTGACATTCAAATAACCCAGTTTTAAAATCAGAGAAACCTAGACGTTAAATCTGAAGGAGAGAAACTGTGAGAGAAGTCAAGTATATAAATGCCAACTTTAGACATTTGAGAGCAACCAATGGTTGATCCAAGTGCCTCTTCCCCTTTCACCTACCCTGACCCCTCCTGGGCCTAGGCTTTGGCATATTCCCTGACAGCTGCAGGCCGAAATCTTGCAGACTGGGGAGGTCAGGGAGAGAAGGAAGGGCACGCTTGTATTAAATGAATGGTGTCCCTCACCTCCTAAAATCTCCCCCCATGCCCCTGGCCCTTCAGCACTAACCTTTTCAGGCATCTAAGGCACATTTTATTATTCCCACATAAAAGGATATTGAAGGCTCATGGAACTTAAATGATTCGTAAACAGTCACACTTCACTAGTAAACAGTAGGAAAGGATTAGAACAGTCACTATATTTCTATTTATTTTCTCTGTGTATTAATTTAACAAATATTTATTAAGCACTTACTTTGTGCCAAATTCACATACTATCTGGTTGATGTTACTAAAGAAAACAGACTCTTTCTACACCTATGTTGAAGAAAGGTCCAGCAGCTTTTTATAAAAATAAGTTTATACCTACCCTATGACCCACATTCCACTCCTAGGTATTTACATAAGATAAAAGAATATACTAATATGTAATATAATGCTCATGGCCTCTTTATTCATGGTAGCCAAAAAACAAGATAAATGAATGTAACAGAATGTCACAGAATGCTCATAATCTCTTTATCTATAATAGCCAAAAATAGAAAATAGCCTAGGGATGCATCAACAGAGGAACAAATAAACAAACTGTGGTATATCCATACAATGGAACACTACTCAGCAATAAAAGGAATGATCTATTGATATATGCTGAGACTTGGAAGAATCTCAAAAATACTATGTTGAGTGAAAGAAGTTTTACAAAAAAGGAATGCATGTTCTATAATTCCATTTATATACAATTTTAGAAAAGGAAAAACAAATCGATGTTGAAAAACATCAAAACAGTAGTTGCCTCTGGGGTCAGTGGAGTTGGAGTTTCACTAAGAAAGGGCATAAGAAAACGCATTGGAGTGACAATAATGTTTTCCATCTTGATAGGGGTTTGGGTTAGACAGGTGTATGTGTTTTCAAAACTCACCAAATTGTACACTTAACGCTTGTGCATTTTACTACATGTCCATTTTAACCCAAGAAAGAAGAATCATAAATGAATATTGATCCCTGGTTAATAATGATATACATGCTGAAGTGCTTAGGGGTGAAGTGTACTTATGTCTTCAACTCAGTTTGAAATGCATTAGGAAATAAGATAAAAGAATGAATGGATGAACAGACAGAAAGAGGGATGGATAGATGAATAAATGTGCAATAAAGATAATACAGCAAAGTGTTAGTTGTTTAATACAGGGAATATGTACATAAGAGTTTGCCTTACAATCCTTTCAACTGTTCTATATGTTTACCATTTACCATTATAACATGTAGAGAAAAACAGTTTTTAAAAAACAAAAAAGACTGTTTCCCTGTGTTGATGTTCTAAGTCTAGCAGCAAAGATAAACATTATAGAAGGTGAACACACAGGTCAATATATAATTGCATATTTTGGTGAATGTTATGAGCAGCAAAGACAGGGAATAGTGTGAAAGATGTATTGGGGAAGGCTGTTTAGATGAGTGATCAAGGAAAGTTTCTTTTGGGAAGTAACGTTTTGAAAAACTAGATGACCTTGAAAAGAGGGAAATCGTGAAAAGTGTGTGCATCCAGATGGAAAGAGAAAGCATGCCCCGAGGAGAGGACAGCATGTGTGAAGACCTCAAGATATGACAGATTCTGGCTTATGCAAAGAAATGGAAGGAGACCAATGCAGATGGGGTATGGCCAACACAGAAAATGACAAGTGAGAGGTGAGAGTGGAAAAGTAAGTAGGACCTAGCTCATTTAATAGTTTTATAGGCTCTGATGAAACCTAATTGTTCTGATCAATTATGGGTTAATTAGAGCGCACCTAGGGTACTGTGCTCCAAGCTGAATGATAAAACAACAATAATGATCACTCATAATTACTGAGTGCCTACTATGTGCCAGGCACTGTGTCAAGCATATTATAACTGTTCTCATTTAAATTTCACATCCCTCAAGCCCCATACTATTTTAAGTAAATGTATACCCATGCGTGTTTCTTGCTTCACACATGAGGAAACTGGGGTTTGGGTGAGATAAGGATGCTTGCCTAAGACTGCACAGCCAGCTAGTCCAAGGTGGAGCTGGGACATGGGTCTGACGCAATAGAGGTCAGTAGCCACGATATCTGAAGGATCCTTGGGAAAACTGGGAAGGCTTAACCTGCAAGTAGAGACACCTCCCTGAAGCCACAACTGTCACAAGGAAGGGATATTTTATTTGTACCGTGTAGTCACAAGGATCTGAATTATCATCAATGAGAGAATATTCTTAAAAAGCAAATTTGAGGCCAATGCTGGAAAACAAACACAAAAGTTGTAATGAACAGATTTATCCAGAGATGGAAAAACCACATTATGGGTTAAGATGGTTGGTAGGTGTCCTTCCCTTGGAACTGCTGGAGCCTATCTAGGTCAGATGGTCATAGGACAGAGGTTAGACCTGATGCCTTTTAAGTGCCTCTCAGCCCTGAAATTGTGGGACAGGCTCTGTATGGGGCTGTGGCTTCTCCAGCCGGTTGGCAGCAGCTGCTTTCCTGGAGCTGTATTAATAACATCTTCATTGACACTGCATGCACAAACAACATTTTCTATTTAAACAATATTCATTGCTGGCCTCCTGAGAATCACTGGTGAGACTTGAGTGCTGGCTAAATAGAAAAAGGCTGAACCGGCTGTACAAGCACAATTACCCTTCACAAGGGGGAATAAGTGAGACTCCCAGGTGGGAACAGTGTCTGGGATTTTGCTGGTCTAAGATGCTGTTCTAACAGGGCTAAAGACAGGTGACCTAAAAGTGCCTGATGCCTATGGACAGATCTCTATACGCTCATATATAATACTGTGGTTCTTCCATCTTCCTAGAGAAATGCCATTTAAACAGTACAAACAATTACAATTTGCTCCATTTTCTGTAGATAGAAAACTGAAGGTTAGGAGGAGTAAGTTCATGTTCCAAGTTGATAGATTGTAAGGGATGGAGTTAAGTTTAAAATCCAGGTATGTCAGACCCTACATCTTTTTCTACTGCACTGCACTGTCTCTAATTAGGAAAATTAATAGTCCACTCTAAAATACAGCCATGGTGACAACTCAGGGTTCTCTGTTGAGGCTCACATTTTCCATGTTATTTCAAAGATACATGAAACTAAAGGATTAACTTCACACCAAAGTTTTCAGTCTGTACTGCTTTCACCTTAAGCCAGATCTCTACTAAAACATCAGGCCAATGTCTTATCTTCTGTATCTTCTTTTCTTGCATTTATTGTTATTATTGTATTTCCAACAAAGGACGAAACTTGTCCCTTTAAGAGTCAAGACCCTACAGTTTCTTGTAGAACCCCTGGCAACCTGAGATCTGCCCAAGGTCCTCTGGCATCTGATTAAATATGAATGTGGAGGTCACGTGCTTACTCAATTGTAATTCTTTCCTTGGAAACCCCCATTACTAAGACATGATTGAAGTGGGCTGGAAACAGGACCAGCCCATTACTTATCAATTCTTAATAGACTGGTAGAATATAATAATGATAGGATGGGTAGACACGATCCTGTCTGTACCTAAAATCCAATCTGAATGAAAGCCAACAAGTTGAAACGATACTCTAGGAGACACCAGACACTCTAGGAGACATGTGGAAGTCCATTTGTACTAAGCCCAGACAGATACAAATGGGGAACCCCCTGGCCACATCTGCTCAGCTGCCTATGCTCACAGTCTATGACCCAGAGTTCCAGCCTTAAATAGGCTCAGTTACCCAACTCTTCTGTAGGCAGTGTACCTAAAACTTTTCTGTCTATCTCTATCTGTCTTTACAGCTCCTATTATTTCATTATTTATCTGAAAATTAAGCTTCAAACCACGTTGCCACTTACCATGGGAGGATACTAAGGTTATATTCTCAAAAGAACTATCGATGAGACAACCTGGAGGCTAGTTTGAGCAATCAGTTTCATCTTAAGTGCCATCTTTAGTGGATTGGTACTAGCTGTTTGGAAGACTGTGCTGAAGACCCTAAAGCTATGCCCAAGCCCAAGGGGAAAGAAGCAGTAATTGGTTAGTGATGTTTTTATAGACACAGGGAGAAGGAATGAGAGCAAGTGTGTGTAACATTTGTCACATCTGGGAGAAGTTCTCTGTTTTTCTAATAAGGACCAGAATTCCCCATCCATGCAATTTGATCAACTGCCTGTGGCAAAGCTATGAAGAAGGCAAAGTCTCTGTCTCGTGAGACAATAAAGTCCTGGGACTATTCCAAGAAAGAGAAAGGAGGAGGAAGAGTCCTTAGTAGGAAGCAGACTAAGGGCAGGACTTGGAAGAATTAACCCTGAGATGCAGGCTCATGAAGACGCATATGGCTTCTGGCCACACTTCGATGCCATCATATGGTCTCTCTAATGTCCTCTCATCCCTGATCAGTCCTGAGACATGGATAGTTGAGTCTGTTCTGAACACCTGGTTCCTAGATTTGGCACCTGTCCTGATGTCTTTCTATGCACATTCCTAACAAAATTCTGTCATAACTTTCCACGCCCTGATCAGAATACAACTTGTCTAAGAACCTAGAAAATGTTCTCCAGTGCCTCTTTGTCCTCCAATCTTGGCACAGTGGGTAATATCACTTCATGTTTATCTATTTCAATCCCTTCACTCTGCAAAAGGGAGGCCTGAGATGTAGAAAAGACAAGAGTTTTTTTTCATATTAATCACAGATTTTTTTAATTGAAGAATTTTTTTCTTTATTTCTTCTAAAAAAATGGGATACATGTGCAGAATGTGCAGGTTTGTTACAAAGATATACACGTACCATGGTGGTTTGCTGCACCTACTGACCTGTCCTCTAAGTTCCCTCTTCCAACCCCCTTCCCCACAACAGGCCCTGGTGTGTGTTGTTCCCCTCTCTGTGCCCATGAGTTCTCAATGTTCAGCCCCCACTTATGAGTGAGAACATGCGGTGTTTGGTTTTCTGTTCCTGTTTTAGTTTGCTGAGGATGATGGTTTCCAGCTTTATCCATGTCCCTGCAAAGGACATGATCTCATTCCTTTTTATGGCTGCATAGTATTCCATGGTGTATACGTACCACATTTTCTTTATCCAGTCTATCATTGATGAGCATTTGGTTTGTTTCCATGTCTTTGCTATTGTAAATAGCATTGCAATAAACATATGTGTGCATGTGTCATTATAGAAGAATGATATATATTCTTTTGGGTATATGCCCAGTAATGGGATTGCTGGGTCAAATGGTATTTCTGGTTCTAGGTTATTGAGGAATTGCCCTACTGTCTTCTACAATGGTTGAACTAATTTACATTCCCACCAACAGCGTAAAAGTGTTACTGTTTCTCCACAGCCTTGCCAGCATCTGTTGTTTCCTGACTTTGTAATAATCGCCATTCTGACTGGTGTGAGATGGGTATCTCATTGTGGTTTTGATTTGCATTTCTCTGATGATCAGTGATGTTGAACTTTTTTCATATATTTGTTGGCCACATAAATGTTGTCTTTTGAGAAGTGTCTGTTCATATCCTTTGCCCAATTTTTGATGGGGTTTTTTGTTTTTTTCTTATAAATAAGTTTAAGTTCCTTGCAGATTCTGGGTATTAGACCTTTGTCAGATGGGCAGATTGCAAAAACTTTCTCCCATTCTGTAGGATGCCTACTCACTCTGATGATAGTTTCTTTTGCTGTGCAGAAGCTCTTTAGTTTAATTAGATCCCATTTGTCAATTTTGGCTTTTGTTGCAATTTCTTTTGTCATTTTTGTCATGAAGTCCTTGCTCATGCCTATGTCCTCGATGATATTGCCCAGGTTTTCTTCTAGGGTTTTTATGATTTTGGGTTTTACATTTAAGGCTTTAATCCATCTTGAGTTAATTTTTGTATAAGGTGTAAGGAAGGGATCCAGTTTGTTTTCTCCATATGGCAAGCCAGTTTTCCCAGCACCATTTACTGAATAGGAGATCCTTTCCCCATTGCGTGTTTTGTCAGGTTTGTCGAAGATCAGATGGTTGTAGACGTGTGGTGTTATTTCTGAGGTCTCTCTTCTGCTCCATTGCTCTATATGTCTGTTTTGGTACTAGTACCATGCTGTTTTGGTTACTGTAGCCTTGTAGTATAGTTTGAAGTGAGGTAGTATGATGCCTCCAGCTTTGTTCTTTTTGCTTAGGATTATCTTGGCTATACGGGATCTTCTTTGGTTCCATACGAAATTTAAAATTGTTTTTTCTAATTCTGTTGAGAATGTCAAAGGTAGTTGATGGGAATTGCATTGGATCTATAAATTACTTTGGGCAGTATGGTCATTTTCACGATATTGTTTCTTCCTATTTATGAGGATGGAATGTTTTCCATTTGTTCCTATGCCCTCTCTTATTTCCTTGAGCAGTGGTTTGTAGTTCTCCTTGAAGAGGTCCTTCACATCCCTTGTTTGTTGTATTGCTAGGTATTTTATTCTTTTTGTAGCAATTGTGAATGGGAGTTCATTCATGATTTGGCTCTCTGCTTTTCTATTGTTGGTGTAAAGGAATGTTTGTGATTTTTGCACACTGATTTTGTATCCCGAGACTTTGCTGAAGTTGCTTATCAGTTCAAGGAGTTTTGGGCTGAGATGATGGGGTTTCTAAATATAAAATCACGTCATCTGCAAACAGAGACAACTTGACTTCCTCTCTTCCTATTTGAATACCCTTTATTTCTTTCTCTTGCCTGATTATCTTAGCCAGAACTTCCAATACTATGTTGAATAGGAGTGGCAAGAGGGAGCATCCTTGTCTTGTACCGGTTTTCAAAGGGAATGCTTCCAGCTTTTGCCCATTCGATATGATATTGGCTGTGGGCTTGTCATAAATAGCTGTTACTATTTTGAGATATGGTCCATCAGTACCTAGTTTACTGAGAATTTTTACATGAAGGATGTTGAATTTTATCAAAGGCCTTTTCTGCACCTATTGAGGTAATCATGTGGTTTTTAAGAGAAGAGACTTTTATAGAGACCACCCAGACATAGGGCAATAGGAGAGCTGTAATGCTGACCTCCTGACTCCTAGTCCAAGGCTCTTCCCAGTGTGATTTATGTTACTTCTCTGCTTCCAGGATCAGCTCCAGAGAGAAATGCCATTATTGCAAGGTAACAGCTGGTGTTTGTGACATACTGTACATATTTTCACTCTCATAACCATAGTGGGATCCCCTAGGAAAAGACCTAACATATATACCTTAGAGATGCTCTAGCACATCTGGGGGACCACTGGGAAAAACCATCATGCTTTAAGTTTCATGCAGTCCAAGAACTCACAAGGGGCCCAAGCCAGAACTTTGCAGCTGAGAACTTGTATCTATAAGCTACCAGAAATAAAAGCTGCCTCTTAATCCCTCAGCCAGCTCATCTTAAAGTATATGAATAACACTGACAGAAGGACACTCAAAGTACATAACTATGTGTGTTTATTCATTTGATGCTTTGTCCCTAGGTAAAATATGAAGGCATGTGAATTATTTCATAATTCCCTGTTTAATTTTCCATGGTCTCTGCCTGAGCAAGAATCAAGACTGTCTTCTTGAACACATACTCCTCATTCCCACTCCCAAGTATCTAGAGTAGAGCGAGGCATGTGGCTGGTGTCTACAGATGATGTGTGGGTGAGAGAGCGTGGGTGTGATTCTCTAGGAAGATGTGTAGGTTAGATAGATGGAGGGGAAGAGACCTGAGGCTGGATGCTATCTAGGAGTGGTTCAGAAAGAGATCATGTGAAGCCCATGGCATTACACTGACTCTAGACAACGAAGACGTATGATTTTTAAAGGCCATAGACGGTGGTGGGAAAAAGAATGGATCTGGGAGCCAGTTGGCCTGTGTTCCAATTTCACCTTTAACAAAGGCTCCTGCCTCCTCATCTGTGTGTAGGTATAGAGACAATAACAGTACGTGTCTAATAAGTCATTGCTAAGTTAGTGTATGAAGTCTTTGGAACAGTTCTTGAATTCTCTAGGCAGGCTGTTAGAGGATATTTAACAAGACTCAATACAAAAGGAAAGTGAAGAAAAAGCTGATGATATAGCAGTAGAAATTTACCTATTGGCTCCTCAGCATCTATTCTTTGTTTTTTGTGTAACAGCCCAAATTTTAGTTTGGAGATTTGCCCCTCCACCACTCAGTTTTCAAGTTTTTGGAGGAACAGGGAGTGAGCACATGACCCAAGTTGTCTTTTTTCCAGGCAACAGTTAATATTAGGTACATGTCTGAAGTATCTCCAATCATGGAAATTCTCCAGACCTTGTGACTATGACTGCCTAAGACTCTTTTCCATTGGAGATAAAGCTGGAAGGAGTTGATAGCAGCCACTTTACAAGAGGAGGTGAGTCTCTCTGGGAATGGAAACAATGGAGAAGACACAGTTACTCAAGTCGAGAGGCAAAAAAAAAATCTTGATGACATCATTTGACCCCCTGCAAAGAGCCACATCTGAAGGCCAGTTACTCATAGAGTTTTTAGTTACATGAGCCAATAAATTCCCTTTTTGCTTAAGCCAGTTTGGATTGGGTTTTGTGTGACTTACAACTGAAAAAGTCTTCTGTTACAGATACCCATGAGTTTATGAGGAATGTTTGAGAGTTTGGCTTTACAACTTTTAAGAGTGACTGCCAAACCTAACACCTTGGAGGAGTTAATAGCTCATCGAGCCTTTGGACACTCTCTTCAACCTCCAAAACAGTCCTTTTCTTCCCATGGAAAAGTAGAGATGATAAAATCTACCTTAGGTGTTGCTAAAAGAATTAAATGGCATCATGTATAGAAAATGCCTGACACAGTGGCCTCCACAATTTCGGGTCTCAGTGAATGTCCAGCAGGGAGTCATAAGTGGGGGATGTTTACTTAAGAGCTCATGTGAAAATACATTTGTAGTTTGGACTGTAATTATTTCAAGAAGATGGTTAAGTGACAGGATAACAAAAGAGTGTGCTGAAACTAGAGTGGACTTGATGAAGGGTGCAGGCAAAGGAGACAGGATGCAAATTGTTTTCCTTCTAAAAGAGCAGCAGAGTAATACCCAAATATGCTGGATTCATCAAGTTTTATATTCTAAAGCAGCAATTCTCAGTTTTCCCAGGGATAAGAATTGTGTGGTATATTGTTTCATAATACAGGTTTCTAGGCCCCCTGAAATGTTGTCAGTTGGAATATCTAGGGAATGAACCTGAGAATCTGTATTTTACAACCATTATCCAATGTAAGTTTGAGAAAAACATTTGTAATATTCAAAATGCCTCACACATATGATGTTACTTTTCTTCCCACTATATTTTTAATTAGCTGGAGTTGGTGTCACCATTTTAGAAATCAGGGAAACAAAAGAGCTTGAGCAACTGTGTCAGTGTCAGAAAATATTTTAGAGGCAAAATTCCCAGAGCTGGAAACACATAAGTTTCAACTTTTGAATTTTGTCCAGAATCTCCAGAAAGAAGTAGTGGAAAATACATTCTGTCCAAAGTTGCTCATCGCTGTGATATTTAATTAGAAAAACTGGAAAATGCCCTTGGGCTGGGCACTGATGCACTACCCACATTGCTCTGAGGGACCTGTAAGACAGCCCTCAGCTATCTACCTCTTTGGAAATTTCCTGGCCTGAAGAAAACTGCCTTGCCTGAGGTTATAGCCCATATCCAGTGACTAATCAATGTGATGGTGTTAAGGCCCTGTCTGCTTGCCCAAACTTGACACAATTTCGCAAGACCCTCCCTGCTTCAAAGCTCTTCCTGGGCTGAGCTAACACCTTCATAATAACTGCATGAGAGATCAACTTCCCTCTTGCCCTGTGCTGTCTGTACCTGACTTCCACAGGTATTGATCCTCAAGAGCACGCTGTAATAGATCTCCCTGCAAGTGTCTGTTTTGGAGCCCACTTCCTTTGGAACCCAATCTGGGATAATCATCCATTTCTAGAAATGGGGGACTAGTGAAATGTATTATTGTCCAGCCGCTGGATGAAATACTTTGTTGCTATTCAAACATTATCTATAAAGACTGAAGAAAATATAAATTAAATCTAAATGATAAAAGATAATTGATGAAAGCAGAATATAAAATTCCTTGCAGGCCATAATTAATATTATGTAAAATTTATCCACAGTGCTAGAGCTAAAAGGAATGTACAAAAACTAGAATGTTGTTTGCGATGGAGAGGAAAGGTGGATTTTTTGAGATGTTTTTTGAAGTGTTTAAAATTATAATTATGACATCATTCATCATTTCCATAGCAGACAGAAAAGTACACTGAATGATAAATCAGAGATTAATCCAATAAATAAAAGTCTAAAAATGTCAATAGCGTTCTATCTTATGGAAAATACTTCTTGAGAGAGAAGAATTAGAACAAATTCTTATTGCTATATTCCTCCTTCCTGTTGCTATGTTTCTGTCCAATGGTTGAAAGATCAGAGGTGGGAGCTGGCTTAGGGAGACAAACAGGAAAGCTCAGCCCATGATTGTCTGCCAGTGGGGTATACAGGAAAAGGATGCATTCACCTTGCTCATCTTTAGGCCCCAGCAACATTTACTCTTTGCACATTTGCTCACAAAGTTGCTCCAAGGCACCCATCAGAGCATCAGTAATTGCCCTCATTCTAAAAAGCAATGAGACCTAGACTTTAAGTAGTTATCGCCCTCCGTTTCCTGCCCCAGGGATAATTCTGAGTCTTGTTCTACACAGCCTTGCAGAGAGTTCCAGGGAGACTGAGCCCTAGTTGTTCACAGAGGTAACCTGTTCATGAACTCATATTGAATCGTTTTCTTCCCTTTATCTCACTTCTATGCTCCCTTATAGGTGCTCCCCAAATCCCAGATGATCTACTTCACTGAAACGCATGTTACAGCATCTCCTTCTGGGGGAAGCTCACCTAAGCCAAACACCAACCCCTTCCTTCATGAAATCCTGATAATGTTAGTAACACGATGCTCATTTGCGGTAGCAAGCATTCACTTAAGGTTTACAGTGAAAGCAAGGAGATGATATAGTTGCAGGAAACAATACGTCAAAGGTTGGTTCTTACTGACCCAGCAGCATTCCTTAGCTACCCCTGACTCAGGGACTTCTCAATGGCCCACTTTCTCTCCTGAGACTCTCACCTCCTGGCCTCTTCTTGGGCTTTCTCCACTTGCTCAATCTTTCTCACATCTCCTCTTTTCCCTCTTCCTGCCCTCATTAACTCTTTTCTCCTCGTTGACCTGTAGAAATATAAAAAATTATCCCCACCCATGTAGGCTTTGCCCAGGGAACCTAACTAAAATAAACATACTCCTATTACAGCCATCATCCTTGAGTTTCCTAAAATAAAAGCAGCATCTGTCCTTAAATATAATGCAATAACCTTTGTTTTAAACAAAATTTTTTTCTTCCTGTTTGACATCTTTAGCATTGGCATTTATCAGGCTTCCAAAAATTGTCTATGAATTCAGTTGCTGCTCAATCCCTGTCTCCAGGGATAGCCATTCTCTTTCCCTAAAGGTATCTTCTGCATGAGGTGCATGAGGACCACCTCTCACTCAGCTCCTTCCCCAAGAAGACTCCTTGGAGTGTCACCCCCTCCACCACAATGCCCTCCCAGGTGGCATCCCCTAGAGTCTCCCCAAGGGAGTTGAGCTTAGCCAGAGAGAGGCTTAAGAAAGGTTAAGAGACTCACTCACTGGTGTGGCCGGTCCTAAAAAAAAAATTAAACACAGAATTACTCTATGATCCAGCAATTCCACTTCTTGACATCAAAAGAACTGAAAGCAGGGAAACAATGGGACACAATGGATATTTGTACAATTAAGTTCATAGCAGCGTTATTCAGAATAGTGAAAAGGTGGATGGAACCCACGTGCCCATGGACGAATGAATGGATAAATAAAATGTGGTACATATATAGGATGGAATATCATTCAGCCTTTAAAAGAACAAAATTCGGACACGTGCTACAACATGGTTGAACTTTGAGGACATTATGCTAAGTGAAATAAGCCAGCCAGAAGAGGACAAACATTGTATGATTCTTAGAGGAAATACCTAAAGTAGCCAAATTCAGAGACAGAAAGTGGAAGGGTGGTTGCTGGGAGTTGGGGGGTAGGGAGGAGTTGGGAGTTAGTTAATGCTTCATGAGTATGGAGTTTCGGTTTGGGAGGATTAAAAAGTTCTGGAGACAGATGGTGGTGACGGTTGCACAACAATGTCAATGTGCTTAATGCCACTGAACTGTACATTTAAAAGATGGTGCAAATGGTAAATCTTATGTTATGTACATTTGACCGCAGTTTAAAAAATAAAAATGAAAAAAATAAAAAAAGAGGGAGGCACGCTCTCCTTCTCTGCTTCTGCACCTCACTTAGCTGGCAACCAAAAATAGACCGCAGCATTAGCATCAGCCTCGCGCGTGTCTTCTTGTTAATTGTCTTGTTTTAGATGCAGATGTTTTTCACTTGCAGACAGTGTTTTTGGGGGAATAGGAATACAAAATGTGCTGGTTTGGCATTTCTGAACCCAGTAAAACTTTGATTAGTTTGAATGGCACTGCTCCTCTAGAGAGAAACATCAAATCCAGGAAAGCTGCAGCCCTTTTGTTTTCTGCAAGCTTTAACAGAACAAGACCTCCTTTAAGCTGGAATGCCTGTAGAATCAAGCATATCCTTTGTTCCCTGAGATGCTATTTTTTAATGCTTATTGGGGATGTGTGTGTGTGTGTGTGTGTGTGTGTGTGTGTGTGTGTATTTTTTTTTCTTTTTCCTCTCTAAAAATTTATTTTTGCCTACCTAAGGTGAAAAATCAGACATGATCAGTGAGCTAGTTTTTGTGGAGTCTTGGAAGGGATGAGGAGTGGGCCAGCCTTACAGTCTCCTAACTGAAATACAAAGGAAGAGGAAACACATTCCCGGGCTTGTGGTCTACCAACTTAAGGCTCTGGCCTCTTGCTTCCACTCTTGATCACTGCCCAGCTGGCTGCCCATCAAAGGATGTGTTGACCAATCAGGGCCCTCCCCAAAAAAAGAATTTAATTCGAGGATATCACCTCAGGAAAGGGCTGGGTTTCTAAAGAAAAGAGCCCTGAATTTGACTCTCTGAGCTCTATCATTTACTAGCTGTGTGATTTTATTAATCCACTAAGCTCCAGTGGCATCATCTGTAAAATGGGAGTAATAATAATATCTACTCCACAAGGTAGTTGTGAAGACTAAATTGGATAATGATGAAAAAGTGCCTACCACACACTAGGGCACACAGGAAGAGCTCAATCATGTTTAGCTCTTATGATATAAAGTCCATTTAACATTAGTAGCCCCTGATTTTGAAAAGGAAGCAAAAAGCCTAAAACTTGATCTCTGAAGAAAGATTCCACGAGCATTAACAATTTGAAAAAGCCAAATATGCCCTCAAATAACATGATTCACACCAAAGGCTACTAGAGAGATATACAATGGAATATAAGCAGGCATATCTTATTTTCAAGAGGCTTATCTCATCCCTGATGTTTGGCAATAGTGATTTTCCACACACAGGCAAGAATTTTATAGACTCCCCTTAATAGCAATGCGCCAGGATCAGTAACAGTGACAATATATTGTTTCATGACTCCAAATTCAACTCTCCGTATAAGTACTGGAGCAAAATGCCAGCTAAGTGTGGAATTTACTGATTTAGCTGTGGAGGAAGAAATTCTTCAGATCAGATCAATACAGCCAGTAAAAACAAACTGCAGAATCCCCATTTTCTGCCGGAGGTCTATAAGTGAGGGCATTAGATGAGGCACCTGAATTATTCCTGAGCACTTCATCCTGAGTGGCTGGAATGGTACTTTAAAACCATTACAGGGAAAGACTATGATTTCAGGTCGCCGTGATTAAATTAAATGCCCTGTGTAAAAAGTTATAGTTAACATTTTTTGGTCAAAAAATTATATACCGCACAATAATAGTTTGAATCACTCAGGGTAGTGGCACAAGCCTAAACTCCAAGTTAATTTTTTCCATGATTTTAGGAGCCACATCTCCTGCAAAAAGAAGATAAAAACTTAGAATATCAGTTTTTTTGCGCAATTAGCAGCCATATTTGAAAACATAATTATGCATGACTACTTTTAAAACTATTTTACCATTATCATCTTTGTTATCGCCATTATCATGATATTTTTACTAATAGCAATACTTCAGTACAATAGCAGTTTTCCCTTTATCTGCCTAAGGAATCTACAAGTTGGAAGATTGGCTATGTGCAATTATTAAAAAGACTGGCAGTATCACAAAAGTATCACAATGGTACTGATACATACTATCGATAAGGTGTAAATTAGTGGCTATTTTGAAAGACAGGTTAGCCTTGTCTATTATGATATAAAACCCATATTTGCTTCAACCCAAGAGTACAACTGCTAAGTAACTTTACGAGAAAAATACAGACTTGTCCAAAAATGAAAATATCATTCAGTGAAGCATTGTGTGTGCAAGTGAAAATGTGGGTATAATCTGAAAACCGTTCATTCAGGGACTGGCTAAACTGTATTTATTCATAATGTTAAAAATTTTGCAAGAATTAAGACAAAATAAATGTATACAAATGGACATTAAACGATTCTACAATCAGCAGTGAACTAGTATATGTTTAACAACCGGCTCTCCAGGACAGACACTGGTTGGCAGGGTTTGCTGCCTTCTGCCTTCTGTGGTGTAAATACTCCCACCATGGCCAATCACAGGCTACCCATGTGATGATACTGAAAGTGGAGTTGGGAAGAGATCCACACAGTCGGCTCTCACAAGCTGGTACTAGTCAGCCCCAACATACATTGTCAATATATTGTTAAGTGAGTAAAGAATGTAGCAAGGCATATGTCCAATGTAATACAGAAGTAAACCACACATCTATATGCATTTTTATATATATTTATGTATGAAAAAATTGATAAGTGAATCACTTCTGGGGCAAGAAGTGGAGGGGATATTAAGTGGTGAATTTTGCTGTGTATCATTTGAAGAGTTTTAAACTGAAAGCCTATCAGCTGTGTGATTAAACTAAATTTAAAAGAATAATGACAATTACATATACCATGATATTTACATGCAAGGTTTATTTGGTGACTGCTCTTAGGAATACCACCACAGCTGAGTGAAGACAGTAGGATCTTCACTCAGATCTCAGCTACAACACTGATATTTTAATAAAGTGGCCTGAGATAGGCTTGAAGTTAGATATATTTACAGAGAGAGAGAGAGAGGATAGATGATAGATACCTAGATTGATAGATGATAGATAGATAGATAGATAGATAGATAGATAGATAGATAGATAGATATGATGATAGATAGATAGATAGAGATAATGGATGGATAGATAGATAGATAGATAGATAGATAGATAGATAGATAGATAGATAGATAGATAGATGATAAATAGATAGGATAGATATGACAGATGGATGATAGATAGAGATAATAGAGATGATAGATATGATAGATCAGATAGACAGATAGATGATGGATAGATGTGACAGAGATAGATAGATACATAGATAGAGAAGACGATTGATAGATATGATAGATAAATATGATAGATATGATAGATAGATAGATAGATAGATATGATAGATAGAGAGATAGAGACAGTTAGAGGGGCATGGAAAGGAAGAAAGTGAGAGAGAAGTGTGGGAGTCCATGAGTGATGTGCCAGGTGTGTTCAGGTTGGATCTGGAGTTTGGTTAAGGGTGTAAGATAAGAGAGTGAAGAAGAAGAGGAAGCTACAGGTTGGGAAGGGAAGCAATTCTAATTGGAAAAAAAAGGCAAAAGCAAGGTCTGGAGCCTCCTTATGAATCACCTCATAAGAGAGGAGAAGGAAAGAAGGAAAGACAGGGTAGGGAACAGCAGCAGATCATGATACACCTGGCCAAGTGAGTACAGTGGATGCTGTGCTGCAGCACTCAGATCCTTCTTCAGGACAAGGACCAAGGCAGTCCTTCACCCAGCTTCCAGGTGTGAGGCTCCCGACTGCTCACATACCTTCATCCTTCTGTGGAAATTGCCATTGACTAAAGGAACCTGCCCAACTCAACACTAAGCCCCTTCCCCAGAGTCAACCTTTATTAACCTCCATTAATAGCCAAAGCAGCAGGTACAAAGGCTTGGTCCCTTGCTCCAATTCAGGAAGTCTCTGGGGTTCATCACAGCATCCCTGTGTGTTTGGCTGAAGTGCTCTTGCAATGACAGCACCGTTCAGCTCCTCCATCTGCCCAATCCTGCTGCTGTCTTCTGTGCTGATATTCCTGTGAGCACTCACCAGTAAATCTCCTTGCATGTAAATCTCAGATCCTCCTGAAGGGTTAACTGCTTTGAATTTAGAACTCCAGGTTAGGAATGAGCAAGATTCAGAGGAGTATTTACAGCCACAGAAAGATACCCTGCAAGCATTGATGAACTTGAGGTGAAACAAGACCTTTGGATAGACTTTGTAAACCATGCCTGGAAACCTCTTACAGGTCCACACTCCCACTCCTTCTGTCAATATGTTTCTGTCGAAGGCAGCTGCTTTCCTTCTCTTAATAGCCTCCAATAAGGACCAGTGTTACCCATTTCTGAGTTTTACTTGCAGAAATCTGGACTGGACAGTTTAGCTTTAAAGCCCTTAAACTACATTAGGAAACTAAGTCCATCATTAGGGTTAAAGAATTATTGGAAATTATTGAGATTTCATAATCTCCTGCTTGGCCCTGTTCACCTGCAGGAGCTTCTATTCACAATAGCCCTCACTGGTCTCTGCACCACGTGCCTAGCTTAGCTCAGGATCATATAGATTGTCACTGGTTGTGCCAGGTCTGCTCTTTCAGTTCAGTATGCTTTCTAGGTCCAAAATAGTAGTAAGGGATATAGTTAGCAAAATACTTAAAATGTATATTACAGGACTGGGTAATGAATTGGATGGGGTAAGGAATAAAGGTGTTGAAAATGACTTCCTGGGTTTCTGGCCTGCACTCCTGGCTGGAGGATGGCAACCAGTGTGAGAAGGGGATTCTGTAAGGGAACCAGATTTGAAGCTGAGGCAAAAGATGGTGACATTATTTTTCTAGAAGTTGAGTATTTGGTGCCCTTAAGACATTCAAAAGAGAATGTCAACTGGGCAGTTTCGTATATAGAGAACATGTATCATTCTTTTTTTTCCTCAAATAAATATATTTCTATCTTCCTGATAGTCGGAAATTAAGGTCATATGAGATGAGTTCACCTAAGAAGGGAAAGAGTCTCAAGCTGAGCCTTGAGCAACTATGACATTTAATGGCAGTATTCAGGAGACTCATGAAAAGGAGACGGAGAGAAAGCTTCCAGAGAGATAGAAAAACCAAGGGAATGTGCTGCCACAGAAGCCAGTGGAAGAGTATTTCAAGAAAGAGAGAGGGAGCGTGCTCTGGAATTGAATGCCATGAAGGGTTCAAGGAAGACAATGACAGATAAAGGTCTATTGGATTTAGCGACTTGGAAGGTCATCGTGACTTTTTCAGTGAGTGATGAGAACAGAAACCAGATTAGTGTGAACTGAGAAGTGGATGGGAGGTGAAAAAAAAATGGAGCCAGTAAGCACATACAACCCTCTAGAGAAACGTGACTATGATGGAAGTGGTAGAGGTAGGACAGAAGCTGAGAGAGGAAGAGGTCTAATGAGGTGGGACTTTTGTTGTTGTTTTCTTGTTTTTAATAGGAGAGACTTGAGCATTTTTAGAATTCAATAGAGAATTTTCTGGTTAGAGGTGGAGATTGAATTTACAAGAAAGACAAGGAATGAAAAGGTGAAAGGTCTCAGGGTGGGAAGGGCTGGGACCTGAAGCTCAGGTGCGGCAGCTGCCCTGCTGTGGAAGGCAGGAAGGCAGGGGAGGGGTGGCATCGGCAGACCTGTTGGCTTGTTCTCTAACTGAATGGTGAGGGGAGCTTCCATTTGCAAGTAGGGAGCTGAGGTCATTTGCTGACAGTAAGGGGCAAGAAGCAGGATGCATGGTTTTGGGAAAGTAAAAAAGATTTGAAGTAGCCCTTGGGAAGAATGGGAGTATGGGCCAACCCACTGTAAAACTGCAGGGGAGAGTTAGGTCCAGTCTGAGTTATGGAACACGGATTTACATGAAAACCAATTTTCCATGATCCATAAACTTTTCCAATTCTGGGACCATGTAGAGGCACAAAGAAAGGAAACAGGTGGGTTAATTAGGCAGAAGAATCCAGCATACTTCCACCTTCCATTCACAGTGGGTGGGACTGGGGGCATCATTTAGGATGCCTAGGCCTTGGTTTCAACATCTGCAAAAGGGGGTTGGTAGGACACATCCTGCCACACTTTTGAACTTTGAGGGAACCAAAAACGACAGCAGAGGGGAAAGAACTTGGAGTGGCGTAAATGTACTGTGTGTATCTAAAGCATCAGGCCCAGGTCATGGCTCATGCCTCTGAGGTCCTAATAAATCTCAGTGGAAGATAGGAAGGGCCAGGCGGTAATGGAAACAGCTAAATGGGCATGACCCTGTCTGCACTCAGGGCAGGGGAAATTCTCGATAAGTGGTGTTCCGAGAAGTGTCTGACCTCACTCAAAGGCACCAGAGAAGGTGACTCCTCAAAAATACGGGGAGGAGCACTGGTCCTAGGCTCTCTAACAGGACAGAGGAAGTCAGTGAACCCTCAGCCAAGTCTTAGCGCAGGTTTAAGAGTGAAGTCTGAGAGTCTACACCAGGGAGGAAAGTCACTCTCAGAATTCTTGCTGCCACTCCCCGTGAGCTAAGGTGGGCTCCTAGCTTCTGCCCAGGTTCCCTCTACACTGAGGGAACCTAGTTATGCTATTAAAAATATCTAATCCCAGTATGCAACATGCACCACAATTATTACACTGATTAATACCTCCCACGAAATGCCTAGAATCTTCTTTCCTAACCCAGTCTATCCTGGAAGAGTGTTCAGGCAACAGCCAAATAGGAAAGGGTGAAGGGTGATTTATAACTAAATGATCAGTTCCCACCCACCCACACACACGTGTGCACACACACAAACACATATACACACATGTGCATGCATACGTATACATACACACACACATGCACACACATACACACATGCATACACGCACATACACACGCATACACACACACATACCCTTGGTCCCTTTCTGTTCTCTAAAATACTGTGATCTTTTCTATCTTGGGCCTTTAAATTTTCTGTAATGTCCGTCCAGAATGTTCTTCCTCTGTGTCTTCTTGGAACTAGTCTATTCTCATCCTTTAGGCCCCAGCTGAAATGCAGACATTTCACACATTGTGGGAGTGTACATGCAGTTTGAGGCTAAACCCCAGTTTTGA
This sequence comes from Homo sapiens, assembly GCF_000001405.40. Classification (NCBI taxonomy): domain Eukaryota; kingdom Metazoa; phylum Chordata; class Mammalia; order Primates; family Hominidae; genus Homo; species Homo sapiens. Next base: position 39,596,449 of record NC_000020.11, on the reverse strand, counting down.
CATGTCTCTACTAGGGAGTTAGGACATCATCCTGCAGGCAATGGGGAACATTGGACAGATTTTTCAGCCGAAGAAAGACTTGTTTGAATCAGATCTTCAGATAAACCATTTTTATAGAGTTTTGTAGGGTGATTTGAAAAAGAACAATACTGAAATCCAGGAAACCAATTACGAGTCCATGGGAAAAGCTGAGATATGACAAAGATCAAGAATAGGGTTGAAGAAAACTGATGGAAACAAAATTTATGAATAAATGAATGAATGCATGTAAACACACACATGCATTTGTATACAGGCTTTGAACACAGAACATCCAACATCCTCCAATCTAAGCACAGAGAGAACAGATGTACAACAAACTTTTATGTGACAATGCATGAAGTGACCTGCACCTTGCAGGTTTCATTTGGGTTTTGGGGTCTTAGATCCACTAAGATATGGGTGGGAGCAGTGCAAGAAGAAACACCATCATTCCGTTCCTTTAATCTGCAGATGAAGTCAGGTTTGCATCTGAAAATCAGCTCATTATTGATCTTAACCTTGTTAATATTCATGAAGCGCTATCAAGAGGGAGGAGATTTTAACACGGTGGCCCCCACACTCTAAATCAATTCTCATTGATTTCAATCGGCTTCTTCCATCCAAGCATTGCTGTTGCCCCTCCCATGAAAACCTGCTCCCAAGGTCCTTTGAAACATGTGTGTGGTGTAAGGAGCTGGTCGGCCCTGCCTGCCATTGTCTGGGCTTTGGGTGCACTCAGAGCGCAGAGAGGTGCAGTTTGGGCAGTATCTGCACCTCTTCGGGGCTATGTGGATCTGGCTGCCTCCTAAATCCATTCATCCGCAAAGCCCTTCCCTCAAATCCCAGCCAACAGAAAGAAAAGCAGAGCTTTTGCCACCTTCAGGCACATGTTCATTTCATGATAAAGTTTATTTGTCCATAAACTTAAATGCTGCCTCTCTTTACAGGCCTCCTACCAGCTTATATGGCAACCCACTCTGTCCTCAGACACAGTTAACATGAGTATGGAGCAGGAGCCCAGGAGCCCACAACCAAACCCACAGGGATTCTGGCTCCGAGCTCCATCTTCCCCCTGACCTGCCCGAGATCCAGTCCTAGAGGCTGAGTCTTTCCTCACAACAAAGGTTTCCTTTGAGGGTCTGAAAACCTAATTCAGGTGACTTCCTTTTATTTTTATTATATTTTTTCTCTTCCTTTAGTTTGAGATATTTTCATTTACTCTTTTTTAATTTTGTTAATGAAAGTATTTGCCTTGTGTATCAGGAGAAGGTCGAATGATGTGCTGTAGGGTAGCATTAGCTGCTGATCATACCCCAAGGAAGGAGAGTGACAGTTGATCATGGTAAAGGTTGTGAGCACTTGTCCACAATGAGGATCTTATTTTCCTTTTGGTGTATGCTACTGAACACCCCAGAGGTCCCAGGGAAAGGTAGGAGTTGCAATTTGGCTCTGTCTCAGTCTGTTCAGTGTGGCTACTCATATCAGCCAAAGGTAGGAGTGGGCAACTTCAACACCACTCCTTAGTTGCCTGGACATTTTCTTCATCACCTCTGCTCTCAGCTTAATTCAGAATGTAGCAGTCATCCACTCCTTTCTTTTTCCCCAAACACACACACACACACACACACCACTATAGAAACCACATTTATGATCTTCCCATTCTTTTATCCAATACATTTACTTACTGAGGACACGCCATGCGGCAGGCACTGTTCTAGGGGCTGATAATCCAGTGAGGAACAAGAGAGAAAGACACTCTGCACTTGTTGTGGGCAGACTAAGGTGACTCCTAATGAACCTCACCTCCTGGCATTCACGCCCTGTGCCATCCCTTCCCCTTGGTGTGGACGGGACCTGTGACTTGCTTTTAACCCACAGAATACTGCAAGGTTAGTGGGATGTCACTCTCATGACTTGATACATAGGATTGTCAGGCCCATCTTGCTTAGAGATTCTCATCCATGTGAGCTGCCCTATGGAGAAAGCCAGAAGCTGAGAAACTAAGGGCAGCTGTTGGCCAACAGCCAGCAAGAAACCGAATTCTGCCAACAACTACATAAATGGATTCTTCTCCAGTCCAGCCTCAGATGAAATCTCAGCCCTGACTGACCTTGATTGCAACCTGGACCCAGCTGAACTCAGCCCAGACTCTGGACTCACAGAACTGTAAGATAATATTTGTCTATTGTTCTAAGATGCTAAGTTGCTATAGCTTGATACATAACAATACAAAACACAATGTTTGTGTAGCTTACTTTGTTGTAGGGGTATTACCATTTAGTGGTCAAAATATCAAATATCAAGCCCACCTAGAATTTTGTTGTAGGGGTATTACCATTTAGTGGTCAAAATATCAAATATCAAGCCCACCTAGAATCAACTGTAATTTAAGCTCCATTTAGTTAGAAAGTTTGGTTTGTACTAGGCACCAACTTTATATTTTCTAATCCTCCTCAAAGCCCTGTGAGGTAGATACTATTATTATTCCCATTTCACAGATGAGAAGACTGAGCTGCAAGGAACTTAAATAGCTTTCCTGATGTTGTGCAGTCTGACAGTGGTTGAGCTTTACTTCAAACTGAGTTTGTCTATCTCCAAAGATGTTCTTAAGCACTGAGTGCCTCAGAGTGCTAAAACCTCTCTGCAGAGTGTGTGCCCCTAATAACAGATTAGGTAGAGCTTTGCCTATGTGTCTGGCTGTTCTGGCCTTGATGATCCAGGTACAGATGAGGAAACTGAGGCTCACAGATTTCAAGTATTTTCTTATAGGTCATCTACACTTAGTAGGACCAGAATTTGAACCTGAGCTAGTTAACTTCAAACTCATGCTACTTCTCTTTCTTTCTCTGCTTTTTTGCTTTGCATTAAAGTATAGCCTAAGCCTGCCTCTCATTTTTATTTGTCATTCCAATTTAGCAAACTGCTCTGAATTGTTCATTTGTTCATCCAACATTTACTGAGTATTTGCTTTGTGCCAAATCCATTTGAAACCTCAGAAATACAAAGAAGAATAAGATAGCAGCCTTGGCCATGCATGTCTCACTGCAGATTATCAGATTGTAAATAGTTTGTGGCCAAGGGCACATCTATGCTGTTTGCTTTGTGTCTCTACTACTAAACATGCACAGTGCCTGGAAGTTGGTAGATGCTCTTAAAAACAAAACAAAACAAAACAAACGGTGTCTCTGCATGCTGTTGAGGGAGGGCCCCCCTTGCCCTTGCTCTTGGTAGCTGCTTTTTTAACTCCATGAGGTGATCCCTAAATACACCACTCATTTTCACACCTCCATATTTTTGTCTGTGATCCTCTTTCCACCTGGAAAGCCCTTTTGCTCCTACTACCTGCTAACACTACCAAGTCCTAGAATGTTACCTTCATTCTGCAGCTACTCCATCCTTTGCCAGTACAATTAATTATATCTTGGTCACGTTTCCCCCAGAGACTTTACACATTTTATCACAGTATTTAACATATCCTATATAGTTATTTGTTGTTGTTTTTTGTTTTAAATTTCTTTCCTCCACCAGTCTGGGACCTTTGTAAATCCAGCTCCCAAATCCTCACACAGTAGCAGTTCAACAAATGCAGAATGAACTGAATCTAGCTCATTCATTCAAATATTTATTAATCACATTCTGTGTGCCAGGAATGTTTCTAGCTTTGGAGATTTAGCCGTGAATAAAATAGGCAAAAAGTCACAGCCTTTGTGGCGCTTACATTTGTATTGATTCCACTTGAAATGTCTGCTTCTGTTGGATCCCTCCGGCCAGATTTTAATTAATTTCCTTTGCACTGTCTTTCAATTTGATGCCAAGCCCTGGCTACGTGACTTGGGATTTATCTCGGGAAGCTAGTTTGTGCAAACATCTCTCCAAGCCCTGGGAAATCCTGGAGAAGCTTGAAAAGTGAGAAGACTATGTTGTTAACAGACACACCAGCACAAATCTGTCAAAATGAAGTTGTCTTCTCAGAAGCGGCCCCTGCGGGAAGCCACTCTCCTTCTCAGTGAGGCTGCCAATGTTTCAACTATTTTTGGACTCCTATTTTGGAGTTGTAGGTGGAATTTGTGGCACATTTGTGAACAGACCCAGTTGGTGGAAATGTCCCCTTGCAGGGCATCATTTGCCACTAGATAATGCCTGGAAGTGTTTTCTAGACAAGGCGGGTGAATACACCTAACAATATGACCATGTAGAAGAAGAAATGAAAGAATCATAGGTGCATGCATGGAATTTTATCATGCAGTGACCCCATCTCTGAGCAGATGTCCTGTATTTATGTGCTGTATGGGACACACCGAGACTTATGCCCTGATGGGTAACTTCACTCCCCTAGGTTGGTATGAGGATGGTAGGGGGAGGATGAGAAAGGTATTAAAAGCCTCCCCCTATCTAAGAGAAGTATAAGATGGAGTTCATTGGGAACCCATTGGGTTTAACAGCCATACTTTTAATAACTTGGGAAGACAGCAGCAATGTGGCTTCTTCCGGGGAGATGGCTAGAACTTCAGTGAAGGTCTGTTTACCATCATGCCTTCATATTCTCCCAAGACCAGCATATGAAGAGTTCAAACTTTTCCAAAAACTCCAGAAATAGATCAGAATAGGTCAATAATTAAGTTATTTCTTGGGGTAGAAATTTTCCCTACCACTACTTGCACATAGTGCTAAAATTAAAAAATTAAAAGCAAACACATAAATATTAAAATGTATTGTCCAAGTGGTAGAGTTATGGTTTCTTTACATTTTTTTGTGCTTATCTGTGACTTCCAAATTATTTTTTATTATCAGAAAAATCTCATTAAAATAATACTCTGGTGAACACATTGTCCAATGGACTTAATATCAGAAGCCTTGTATTAGATTTTATATTACGCCCCTATCTTGACCTTGAATATTTGTTCCTCTATCACTTATTTTTTATATGACCTTGAACAAGTTATTTAATACCATTTTCCTAATTCATTTTTCTCATCTGTAAATTGGGAATAATAATCGCATCTATAATTATATTATAATAACCAAGGGATTATTATAGGATTAAATTAGGTAATGCCTGAAATACATTTAACATACTATCTATTGGCCAATTCTTAATGAATGTCACTTATTATTATTATTCTTTAATAATGTTAAAAATAACATTATTAAAATTACGATCTGAAGGACCTATAAATTGTGCAACCACCATCGATTTAATTACAATAACTTAACAGGATTATCTGATGTAGGGGAATAAAAAGTCTCAGACACTATTGAAGTATTTTCAAAAAAAGGTTTCAAGCTATCAGGTTTTGAGAATTATCCATGCTGATATGTGTAGATTTGGTCCATTCAGTTTATTCAAACTAAATTCAATAACTTATTTTTCTATATAGTATTTTGTTATGTAACTATACCACCGTTTATGTGTTTACCCCTCACTGGTTGTCATGGAATGTGTGTCCAATTTCCCTTATGCGCAAGTAGCACTGCCATGAGTGTGTTTGTGCACATGTAGGAGAGATTATTGAGGGTAAATACCCAGCAATTGAAGTGCTAGGTCATAAAGTGTGTACATCTTCAATTTCATTTGTTGTTGCTACATTGATCTTCAAGTGAATCACACCAACTTACAGTCACTCCAGCAGTATGTGAGAGTATGCCTTTCTCCACCTATTCAGCAAAAATCAGCATCACAAAATGGGTGGGGAATGCTGTTGTATTTTAACTTGTGTATCTATGACTTATTAATATGGTTGAACACTTTTTCCTATATACAGCTTGGCTATTTGGTTTCCATATTCGGTTTTTCCCTTGTTTGTATGAATCTTTAGTTCACTTTTTCTGGTGAAATGTTTGTCTTTATATTATTGATTTATAGTAGTGCTTTATATATTCCAGATAGTAACCTTTTGGCAGTTATTTGTACAGATGGGTGTTGTTATATGAGAGACTATCTCATTAGCCAAATTTATCCATCTTATCCCTTATAATTTTTGCTTTTTGTTTATGGTTTAAAAAAACCTATCTACCCCAAGGTCATAAATATGTTATCCTAATTTCCTTCTAAAAGTTCTATTATTTTACTGCTTATTCCTTCTAGATTTGATGCTTACATATGGTCTAAAGCAGGGATCAGATGTTCTTTTTTTCTTTGAGGATCACCGTTCTTCCCACAACATTTATTGACTAGAACTATCCCTCTCATCACCTATGTTCAAGCCACTGCCATCTTTTATAAGTTTCCATGTGTGTTTAAGAGCTTTTCCTACACTGCCTAGTTTGTTGCTGTGATTTACTTGTCTATCTGTGGACCAAATTTACACTGCTTCAATTATCATATCTTTGAAATAAATCTTGCTGTATGAAAGAACAAGACTCCTTTGCTCCTTCTTCACAAGTATCTTAGCTATCCCTGAGCCTTAATTTTTGCATGAATATTTTAGGACCAATTTTATCAAGTTCCACCAAAACAAATAAAAAAAAAATACCTGTCTGGATTTTTATTAAATTTGCTTTGCTTTAAATTAAATTCATTTTTCATCAGAAGATGAAATGCAGCATTAGGAAAAGGAAGCAGAGGAGGCCCTATGGCACCTTTGAGTTTTAGGACCTTTGAGCCAGGAGGTGTTTTTGGCTTGCTGTGTTTCCCGGCCACATAATATATTCTTAGAGATCCCAGGGAAGGGATGGCTTATCAAAGACAAGCTTTAGATATTCCAAGATTCACAGCTAAATTACCATCAAAGACCTTCACAATCTCATTATCATATTCCCAACCTGGATCCCAGGCCTGATGTATACCCTTGGGTGTATGAACACTGTGGCAGCTTGCTGCTGGCCTCCAGTTGCATGGGCCAGCACCTCCCAGAGGCCCATCCCTGGGCTTTACTCCCCAGTATGACATCCCCCAGCCAAGGTGCTCAATCCTGAGTGTCCCTGGTCCTCACCTGGTTTATGTCCTTACCTGCCCCTCCTTCCATGAATGTCCCGATTGCTCTCTCTGAAGTATCAGGCCCTCCAGTCCCTTTGTCACACTGTGGCCAGACTGCCTACCTGACAATACGGTCATGACATCTCAGAGATGCTGGTCATGACATCTCAGGGGTGTGTTGTCTTACATAGCAGCTATCAGCCATCTGGGCCATTTACATTTATATTTCAATAAATTAGAATTTAAAAAAAATAAAAATTCAGCTCCCCTGTCATATCAGCCACGTTTCAAGGACTCAATTCTTGATATCCCTGTGCAGCTTACCATGTTAGAAGCATTTCTGCCATGCAGGAGGTTCTATTGGACACTGCTGTCATAGAGTTTCATGACATTGTCTAGCTCCCCACGGAGTAATGGCCCAGAATCCTATGGGACACTTGGTGCTTCTGACATCACAGCCCCTGCCTATCCATTTCTCTCCCCATTCTCCCAACCCCAATCTGTTAAAACCAGGACATTCTCATTCTTCCTCAAATACCTTTGACTTCCCAACCCTGAGCATTGGCTCAGATGTTTCCTATAGCCAAGAATGTCTTGCCTTCTGCAGCTTCTCTCTACCCAAATCATTTTCTTCCTTCAAGGCTCCACTGAAACATCACTGCACCTCTAACATCTCCTTCTCTCCTTCTGAGAGCATCCACAAGTCACCATCTGCTTCTCTACTGCACTCAGACATTGTGTCTTCTTGTTAATACATCCTCTTCTTAAACTAAATTCACCTAAGGTGGAGTCTCTACCCCTAGAGCTTTCTATTCCTAAAGCCTAGCTCAGTGCCTGGCACCTAGAAAGTGTCAGAGCATAATTATGGAGCCTAGCTAAATACAAACGTCCCATACCCACCCCACCCTGTGTTAATCTGATGCCTCCCAGCACCCTCTCCCTGTTACTTAACCTCAGTCTGCCCTCCCCTTTTCCACTCACTCCCCCACATTTATTACCTTCTCATCAGACGTGCAAACGGTATGCTTGGCTCCCTATGTAGTTTAAAGTGTTTGTGTAAATGGCAGAGAGATCCTGTTAATTATAAAGACTTCCTCACATTCATTGCAGCCAGTTCCGGTCTCCCCTGATTGTAAAGGAGATAGGACCAGTCACTTGGAGACAGGAAGAAGTTTATTGACAGGGATAACAACAGCCTGAAGAGACAGAACAATATACACACATGGTTTGTGCAGCACATGATCCCCTCCCCTAGGAGAGGCATAGAAGGACAAGGAAAGGTGAAGACAGAGAGAGAACGGGAAGAAGAGCAGAGAAACATGAAGCAGAGCAGAGTGAAACACAGACAGAAAACAGAGACAGAGCAAAGGTAGAGGGAGAGAGACTCATTGATAGAATCAGAGGAGGACTGAAAGACACAGCAGCAGAGACAATGAGTAGACGATAAAAATGCTCAAGCTGCTGCCACCCTCACACTACGCAGCAGGCTTGTTCTTGTTCACTACAGAGCACAGTTGGCATTACAAACTGAGAATGTTGGCACGCAGAAGTAGAATAGCCATCAAAAGAACAATTGAAAAACAAACTCAAATACAGTCACTGGAATCACGAACGCCAGCATGATTAACCTTGAATGTCATTCACCTTTGTCCAGTTCTGCCTTGCTGAAGATATCCAGAAAGAAAAGCTTGGAAATGCAGAATGAGCTCTGCCCTGGGAGTTGTGGTCTCTGGAGAGCCCTAGCTGGAATTCTGAGCAAAAATCTGAGTTTTTGCTGTGGACATCACCAACTAAGGCCTCGGTGGAACAGGCAAAGTATGACTAAAACTCTTTTCCCTAAACTTGTACTATGTGGGGTTTTCAAAGTTTGGAATGTGTCAGATATAATGATGCTTGGTCACTGAAGATAGTGACCAAGTCTTTCTAGTGACAGGAAGAGGCTGCTATTGAACCACATGAAAACCTCACCTTATCTCATTCCAGATACCTCAAAAGTTTATCCCCAAGTCTCATCCTTTAGCTTGGTCGTCAATCTGGGCAACTTGCTTTCTCATTCATTCATTCACACATATTTGTCAAATATCTCCTATGGTTCAGCTTCATGTCAGATGCTACAATGGTGAAAAAAACAAGTGTCCCTTGCAGCTATGGAGTTCAGCAAATAGTGTGGACAAGCAGACACTAAACAAAGAATCATACACATAGGTACCACACTAGAAGCATAGATACATGCAACAACCTAAAAGAGCATGGTGTCCCAAAAGCCTTGAAAACAGGGACTCAAAAAGGTATTTGTACATGAATGTTTATAGCTGCACTATTCACAATGGCCAAAAGGCAGAAACAATCCAAGTGTCCATCAGTTGATGAATGGATAAACAAAATGAGTTATGTATATATATATACACACATATATACACATATATATGTATATATATATATACATATATATACACACACACACACACACACACACACACACACACAAGGAAATACTATTCAGCCTCGTAAAGGACTGAAGTACTTATACGTTACTACATCATGGATGAACCTCAAAGACATAATGCTAGGCAAAAGAAGCCTGACATAAAAGGTCACATTATAGAATTCCATTTATATGAATATCTAGAATAAGTAAATCCACAGAGACTAGACACAGAGTGGTGATCGCTCTGGGCTGAGGGGAGTGAGCAGTGGGGAGTAACTGCTTAGTGGGTGCAATGTTTCCTTCTGGGGTGATGAAAATGTTTTGGGAGTAGACAGAGGTGATTGTTGCATAATATTGTGAATGTACCAAATGCTGCTGAATTGCTCACTTTAAAAGGTTTTGGCTATGGGAATTTGCTTCAGTTGAAAAACAGATGTTTGTTCTAAAACACTGGAATGTTACAGGGTGACCTAATTTAAACTAGGTAAATGACATTGTATATAAAACTTGAAGGAAGTGAAGCTAGTAAGGGGAACAGTGGAGGGCAGTAGGCTCCAGACAGCGTGAATAATGCCCATGAAAGCAATAAGGTGAGAAAGAGCTTGGCACATTTGAGAATGGGAAGGAAGCAGGGTGCCTGGAATACAGAGACCAAAGGAAACTGTGGCTTGGGATGAGACTGGGCAGGTAGGCAGGAGCAGATCTTTATAGGCATTCTGGGGTGTGTGTGTGGTGTGTGTGTGTGTATGTGTGCGCGCGCGTGTGTCTTTTAGCATTGTTGGACATTGCAAAAAGAAGTGACATAATCTAATTTACATTTTTTTTTATTTTTCTTTGCTGGCTGCTTTGAGAAGAATGGGTTGGAAGAAAACAGAAGCAGTGGTATCAGAACATTGGTTAGGGTTTTTATGTTTTTAGGTCTAACGTTTAAGTCTTTAATCCATCTTGAATTGATTTTTGTATAAGGTGTAAGGAAGGGATCCAGTTTCAGCTTTCTACATATGGCTAGCCAGTTTTCCCAGCACCATTTATTAAATAGGGAATCCTTTCCCCATTGCTTGTTTTTCTCAGGTTTGTCAAAGATCAGATAGTTGTAGATATGCGGCGTTATTTCTGAGGGCTCTGTTCTGTTCCATTGATCTATATCTCTGCTTTGGTACCAGTACCATGCTGTTTTGGTTACTGTAGCCTTGTAGTATAGTTTGAAGTCAGGTAGTGTGATGCCTCCAGCTTTGTTCTTTTGGCTTAGGATGGACTTGGTGATGCGGGCTCTTTTTCAGTTCCGTATGAACTTTAAAGTAGTTTTTTCCAATTCTGTGAAGAAAGTGATTGGTAGCTTGATGGGGATGGCATTGAATCTATAAATTACCTTGGGCAGTATGGCCATTTTCACGATATTGAGTCTTCCTACCCATGAGCATGGAATGTTCTTCCATTTGTTTGTATCCACTTTTATTTCATTGAGCAGTGGTTTGTAGTTCTCCTTGAAGAGGTCCTTCACATCCCTTGTAAGGTGGATTCCTAGGTATTTTATTCTCTTTGAAGCAATTGTGAATGGGAGTTCACTCATGATTCGGCTCTCTGCTTGTCTGTTATTGGTGTATAAGAATGCTTGTGATTTCTGTATATTGATCTTGTATCCTGAGACTTAGCTGAAGTTGCTTATCAGCTTAAGGAGATTTTGGGCTGAGACGATGGGGTTTTCTAGATATACAATCATGTCATCTGCAAACAGGGACAATTTGACTTCCTCTTTTCCTAATTGAATACCCTTTATTTCCTTCTCCTGCCTGATTGCCCTGGCCAGAACTTACAACACTATGTTGAATAGGAGTGGTGAGAGAGGGCATCCCAGTCTTGTGCCCGCTTTCAAAGGGAATGCTTCTAGTTTTTGCCCATTCAGTATGATATTGGCTGTGGGTTTGTCATAGATAGCTCTTATTATTTTGAGATACATCCCATCAATACCTAATTTATTGAGAGTTTTTAGCATGAAGAGTTGTTGAATTTTGTCAAAGGCCTTTTCTGCATCTATTGAGATAATCATGAGGTTTTTGTCTTTGGTTCTGTTTATGTGCTGGATTACATTTATGGATTTGCGTATATTGAACCAGCCTTGCATCCCAGGGATGAAGCCCACTTGATCATGGTGGATAAGCTTTTTGATGTTCTGCTGGATTCTAGGCATTACCATTCAGGACATAGGCATGGGCAAGGACTTCATGTCTAAAACACCAAAAGCAATGGCAACAAAAGCCAAAATTGACAAATGGGATCTAATTAAACTAAAGAGCTTCTGCACAGCAAAAGAAACTACCATCAGAGTGAACAGGCAACCCACAAAATGAGAGAAAATTTTCACAACCTACTCATCTGACAAAGGGCTAATATCCAGAATCTACAATGAACTCCAACAAATTTACAAGAAAAAACAAACAACCCCATCAAAAAGTGGGCGAAGGACATGAACAGACACTTCTCAAAAGAAGACATTTATGCAGCCAAAAATACATGAAAAAATGCTCACCATCACTGGCCATCAGAGAAATGCAAATCAAAACCACAATGAGATATCATCTCACACCAGTTAGAATGGCAATCATTAAAAAGTCAGGAAACAACAGATACTGGAGAGGATTTGGAGAAATAGGAACACTTTTACACTGTTTGTGGGACTGTAGACTAGTTCAACCATTGTGGAAGTCAGTGTGGCGATTCCTCAGGGATCTAGAACTAGAAATACCATTTGACCCAGCCATCCCATTACTGGGTATATACCCAAAGGACTACAAATCATGCTGCTATAAAGACACATGCACACGTATGTTTATTGCAGCACTATTCACAATAGCAAAGACTTGGAACCAACCCTAATGTCCAACAATGATAGACTGGATTAAGAAAATGTGGCACATATACACCATGGAATACTATGCAGCCATAAAAAATGATGAGTTCATGTCCTTTGTAGGGACATGGATGAAATTGGAAATCATCATTCTCAGTAAACTATCGCAAGAACAAAAAACCAAACACCGCATATTCTCACTCATAGGTGGGAATTGAACAATGAGAACATATGGACACAGGAAGGGGAACATCACACTCTGGGGACTGTTGTGGGGTGTGGGGAGGGGTGAGGGATAGCATTGGGAGATATACCTAATGCTAGATGACGAGTTAGTGGGTGCAACGCACCAGCATGGCACATGTATACATATGTAACTAACCGGCACATTGTGCACATGTACCCTAAAACTTAAAGTATAATAATAAAAAAAAATAAAAAATAAAAAATAAAAAAATAAAAAAAAAGAACATTGGTTAGAATCTTCCCCCTCTCCCTCCCATCCCCTGGCCCCTCCTCCCCTTCTTTGTCACCTATTCTCCTTCCCCCTTCCCCTTTCCTCTTCCCTTTCTTCTTCTTCTCCTTCTCCTGCTTCCTTTCTTCTTTTTTCTTTTCTCTCTCTTTTCATAAGAAAACTCTGGAGCTCAGGAAGTTAGAGACTTAGGGGAAAAAAGACAACTTGTCCAGGCCTTAAATCTAAATTCGAGGATCCAAGAAAGAAACATGTTAAACAGAAATCACAAAGTCAGTGCAGAAATCACCCCACCCTTCAAAATTCCACTGGAGGCCATAACCAATGCAACAAAGCATGAAAACAAGAGAGGTGGAAAAATGGAAACCAAGAGTCAAAAGTGTCATTATTTGTAGGTAATATAGTTGCACATATAGAAAATTCATAAAAATCCATAAACCACATTTATCACTAAAATAATTCACCAAATCTGTTTAATACAAACCAAAAATTCAATACTCCTCTTGTATATCAGCAAAATCAAATAGAAAATAAGTTAGAAAAACTACAGCATTTACAATTACAACCAACAATTAGATATCTAGTAGGAACCTAACAAAGATGTGGAAAATATTCATGGAGAAAATTATAAACAGTTATTAGAACATAAAAAAAAAACTGAACAAATGGAATATGTCCCAGGAGTACTCAATATCATGAAAACATCTCCACCTTAATTGTTAATTCCAATCAAAAGCCAAAAACTTAGTTTTTATGAGTCTTGATAAATCAATTCTTAAATTGCCACGACAATTTGGAAGAAAAAGAATGGATATCCTATTTACTCTTATGTGATTATTATAAAGTGTATGCCTGTATCAAAATATCTATCCCATATACCCCATAAATACATACACCTAGCATGTACCCATAAAAATTAAAAATTAAAAAAAAATTTGCAGAAGTTTTACAAATAGCAGGCTAAAACATCCTTTCTTATTGACCAACAAAAATAAAATACTGAAATTGAAAAGAAAAAAATGAAGGATGCCTAGGTTTATCAAATATCAGAATTTATTCTAATGCTTTATTAATATTTAATGTAGTCTTAGTACAGTGATGAATGAATTGATTAATGAAACAAAATGGATAGCATAACTGTAGTCTCATACATATAAGGGAACTTTGTATATAGCATAAGGGGCATTAAAAATTATTAAATCATTGTGAAAAGGATGGAAAATGTCATAAATGGGACCAAGTCAGCAATAGTGTGGTTATCCAAATGAGAAAAAAGAATTCTGAATTCCTGTCTCTCATCATCCACCAAAACCAATTCCTGTATAAAGCAAACTTGCTACAACTTTTAAGAAAATATAAGACTTGCTTGGGTTTTGGAGCCCTTACATATCTGAAAAAGACCTCTCTCTCTCTCTCTTACTTCTCTTTGTTTTTATTCTTGTTTTTATATATGAACAGAATCTGGCCTGAGTTTAGAATTCCTAGATTCCAGCTTCTTACTCTCAGTTCCATAGACATTGCTTCATTTTTTCCTAACATCTCTTGTGGTATAAAAGGAGTCTTGAGTTAGATGGATGTCCCATTCTTCCTGTTTAGCAACCCCCTCTTCCTTTTATGTTTGACATATTCTTTCTTTTTCCTTAAGATTAAAAAGAAATTGACAATATGTATCTAGGTGTTCCTTTGTATTCATGAATGCTCTATGGCACATGGTGGTGTTTCCATGGAATCAGTTTTTTTACTCAGGAAAGTTTCTTCTGTTATATCTCTGATTTCTGCTTCCTTCCTTTTCTTTTGGGATCTTTTCCAGAGACAAATTAGGTCTCTTCTATCTAAGTTCTAGTTTCCCATTCCTAGCGTCTTCTTTCTCATCACCTGACTTTTTCCTCTCTACTCCAGGCAAGCCTGATTGATTTGTACTCCACATCACTTATTTGACTCTTGCAGTATCCTCTCTTCATTTTAAGGTTCCTAAAATAGGTACTGAACTCAGTCCTTGCATTCCTCTCCCTTATATTGTTTAGCTTTCTATTGAAAACTGCCTATGGTTTGCCTATCTCTCTTCTGTTTAAATATTTTTATCCCATTTCTCATCACTGGTTTCACAGAGCCCCTAATTTCTCAAATAGTATTAAAGGCACAAGAAGACATTCTTGACATTGTCTCTTTTTTGTATTATGTCTTTTGCATATTGCATGCATTTTCTCAATATTTCATATTTTGAGATTTTTCATAGAGCTGGTGTTGGTGTTGTTTTAGTTGTTCATCTTTAAGTGATGAGATATGTAAGCAGAGCTGGTGTTTTTCCATAAACATTTTGAGTAAATTGTCTTTCCTTCCCCTTCTGGTTCCCCTTGGTTGTTCTTGGCTTCTCAGATCTCAAACTGGAGGGCTTCTTTGGTGTAAATTTACAACACTCTCATTGTTATTGAGCAGCCAGAGGGGAGTTGGGAGGAAGTCTGGGCTCTGAGTAGCATTCACAGGAATATTTATCTCTGCAGCAATTCTTTCCATGCATGGTGAAGCTATTGCTCTCAGCTCAATGTTTTGTATTCACTTGGTATTTGGCACAACCTGTACTCCAATATAAACTTTGGCTATGCCCAGGCTCCTTCCTGGTTCTCTTGCTTGATACATGGAGGAAATGCCTCTGTAACCCTGAAAGGGTTTTCTTTGATGTAACAGCAACTTGAATACTATGTCTCCCTAAAGCCTCTGGTTTCAGACGCTTCTGATCTTGTTAGTGCTGGTCACAGAATCAGGGCATCAACCACAGGAGCTCTCCTCACATTCTACCCCAAATTGGGAAGACTTAATGATTTCCCTCAGGCTAAGCTCTAAGTTCTTTCTTTTTGTACAGGTCCTCACCATTTTTGCCCCTTTCTTCTTCAAGTGGCTGCCTTTCTAATCCTGGACACTCAAAGTCTTGCTGTTACAAATGATGCTGATTCTTGAAGGTCAAATGAAGCCCAAATTATGAGGTCACCATCTACCACATGGCCTACCCATGTACCCAATTCTTACCCCTCCAGATAAGTGCCTGAGCCCCTGTATCTTCTTCAGGGTAATAATGCCTTTTCTGAGGAAAGAGTTTTAAGTTGAACTCTTTCTATATTCCTGTTTGTTGCCTTGTGCACTATATCTACCAAAACTTTCTCTAAGCCATCCATAATTTGATTGGTCCATTCCCTTGTTCTAAGGTCATCTCTGCCTATGCTGTACCTTTGTTAATTCTTTAATAGACATTTGGCTAGGGATGGAGTGGAGAGTTTAAGAGGAGAAAGATGTCTGTGCTCATACTGATGTTTAATCCAAGCATCTGGGAGTTGTATTTACTTGATACATCTTGCTATACTTTTTCTTGTGCCATATCTGTCTTGAGGTACAAGTATTTGCAGGTGAAGACTTATTTGTGCAAAATATATGGCTCAAGTCAACAATATTCAGTGGTTTTCAATGAACAAATTTAAGATTGTCCCATAACCCCCGTATACAGACTTACTGAACAAACACAAAACTTACCAAACTTAGGGGGGAAAATCCCACTTGGACTCTATGTAGGTTTTTTTTCTTTCTTAGATAACATATAAATCAAGTGTTTCAGGAATTAAAAGTAAGCAGAGAAACATACTAGTGATGGATTTAAAATTATTTAAACACTTAAAATGTATGCCAATTTTACCTGCCAAAAATGCAGGTAACAACCTATTGGAAGTCTTTATTCTCCTCCCATATTGCTTCTTTCTTGGCAAGTAGAGACATCAGAAACAGAGTTAAACTCATCTACATTGTTTTTACAGTTTAAAATCTTTCTACAATAAGCAAGCATATATAACTTTAATAAATATAAAATGGGGAAATCTGGAAATGAGGCATCCTATTATTTGCCTAACAGGGTGACAAAATTCCTGATAAAATAAAAAGGAGATATATTTAGCTATTTCAAAGCTAAATATTAGCCTGATTTTATCCTCTCTCCTTTCCTGTTATGTTCTGGACACATGGAATAAGAAATTTGGAACTCAGGGGAAGTCTTTTCTTTGGTCAATTTGACCAGGATTCTAGAGAAACTGAAGTCAGTCTTAACAGAGAAGTAATGAGTTAATGTATGAAATCTGTACAAAGAATCAGAATGATTGCCACAGTGGCAGAACCACACTGGATCCTCTATGCATTGTTTACCAAGGGATGTGCCATTTGTTGTCTGTATTGGTTTCCATCTTTCTTTTGGCTCTCACCTCCTGTTAGATATGTTGAATACAGAAGCATACATGTTTATTCTAGGGAAGAAGAGTACATTACAGAATGAGGACAGTGAGAACTATGTAATGGAGTTGTCTTTCACGTGACTGATAAAATATGACTTTTTATGCATATACAAGGATGAGGGCTAGTAATGAAAGACTAGCACTTTTAATTTCTCTAACATAGAGCCATGAAATTAGGGTATCTCCAAGAAGCATGCATGTTATGAAATTCTATCCTGATGTCCTGTAATTAAAAAAAAAATTCTGCCTTCTTTTTGACCAAAATGGATGATTGTCAGAATGGTGGTTTAGTCCCTACTGAAACATTAGAGCTCTTCATTGTTGCTTTATTTAAAACCCTCCTTCCCTTAGAAAGTGTCTGCTACTGTGCTGTTAGGCAAAATGTGGTCATCTCTTTCATCCTTCTAGGCTGGGCTGTGGAAAGTCAGTGCTCACAAGGAGCAGGCCCTGTCCACCTCTCGTCATGCAAACAGCTTTAGCGACAATTATTTATTTACAACAGCTAATACAATTGGTAGTAACGACTTCATAGCCAACCTTTAAGTGCAGGCAAGATGAAAAATTTACTAAATTGGAGAATAAAAATGCATAAGAAAATGTACAGAATCAATATTTCATGGGCTTTGCTTTACCTTGCTGTTCACAAATCTATTCCCAAGCTCGTATTAAAATTTAAAGCAACGTCATGCGACAAGTTCAAGCCCTGGGTTATTTCACGTTAGTTTAGCTTTAGAGAAGTTTTGTGGTGGCTTGTTTTATAAAGTCATGAGGATCAGAGGAGGGGGAACATTTAGGAAACCATTTAGCCAGGTGACTCTGTTTTTACCTTTTCAAACAGGAAAACAAAATTGTGTCTGACACACATAGAAAGGTTGGTTCAGTTGTTCTGCCTCTGAGCTAACTAGGCCTTAGCAGTCTTCCTGTCCAAGCTTGCACCAGATTAAAAAGATTGTTTTTAAAATCTTTGAAAGTCAAACTATTATTCTGTAAGAAATCAAACATTTATTGAACAGCTACAATGTGCTAAACACCAAGTAATATAGACAGATAAAACTCAACTGTACTGGAGAAGGGCCATAATTTCTAAATTCTCCATGTTTCTATGAATGTATGAAATGACACCATAGGGGCAAATAGCTAGAGGAACAGAAACACAATTGATGCAATATTGATACTTGAGACAGAACATTTCTTTATGGTGTAAGTTTTGAGTAAATGCAGATGGAAAGACAGCAATTAAAGCTCCCTTCTCAATGCTTGAATGGTATCTTAGAGATATTGAAAGCATAGACAGTTAATAAAATCTACAAAACATTATAGCTACCATAGCCATACCCATCGCTTTCTCTAGTGTTTCTGTTTGTTCGTTTTATTTTGTTTTGGCCAGTACACAAGGAATTTGGAATTTATACAGCACCCATCATTTCAATTACCATTATTCTAAAGACCCCAAATTATTTTAATTGATTATTTTATTGAGACATGGGCGTGGATTGCACATGGACTCCAATTGAAACAAATTCTGTCACTAGAGAGACAGCATTGAAGACTGCCTAGAAACAGCTTCTCAACAAAGCTTTGTTCTTCACAGAGTGCTTTTTAAGTATGTGAAGATTTGCGAAGGATTTGTACCAATGTCAAGGGATTCTTTTACATATGGATACCTTACATCTTACAGAGAAACCCAGGTTTGTCCAATGGCAGATGAATATCACTAAGCAAGGGCACGAGGTGGCCAATATCCTTTCTGCTTTTGTCTTGAACTATTTCTAATCCCTCATGGGTCAAAAAGTATTAATTTTATTGTTTCTGTTACCCCTCTATTTTAATTGTCTTCTAATCATGCCTGAAAATGGATGTTTTAAGCAAAGCCTAGAAATTTGCTCAAAGACTTAGAGTGAAAGTACTATAATCCCAATGCAATTTTTGGTTGCTAATCACACGTGCTTCAATTTAAAGCTCAGGCCAAGGTCATCATTAAAAGGTGAATGGTGGCATTGGTAAGGCTACAATTAAAGCAGAAGTACCTTTTGAAGTATTTTTTCTTGCATATATTCAAATTGTTGCACAAGTGGATTTATATTCATAGGGGGTAGGGAAAAGACATTCAAGGGATTTCCTTACCCAAGTCCTTGATTTTCTTAGCAAAATTGGACACAAATGTGTCTCCTGCAAGTGCAAAAGGTGAAGAGAAGATATTCTGGAGCCTTTGGGACCCAGTACATCGGCAGCAACTGAGGAATTGCTAGAAATGTTAACTTGCCTGCCCAGCCCAGAGCTATAAATCAGAATCTGCTTTATTTTTTCTTTATCTACTTAACTGAGGAATAATCTATATATAATAAACCACATCCATTTAAAGTGTAAAATCTGATGAAGTTTGATAGTCATCTATACCCATTAAACCACCATGGCCATCAAAACACGGAAAAGCTCAATCGCTCCCAAAGATCCCTCGCTCCTCTTCACATTCACTCCTTCCCTCTGCCCCAGCCCCAGGAAATGACTAATTTGTTTTGTGTCACTAGAGATTAGCTTACATTTTCTATAAATGGAATCATATAGTATGCTGTCTTTGGGTCTGGCTTCTTTGACTCAGAATAATGCTTCTGAGATTCACCCGTGTTGTTGGGTATGTCAGTAGCTCCTTTCCGTTGCTGAGTAATGGTTCACTGTGTGTGAGTGCTACCTTCTGTTTCTGCATTCACCAGTTTATAGCTGTTTGCATTGTTTCTAGATTTTAACTACTATGAATAAAGCTGCTGCAGATATTCTTTTTTCTTTTTTATTTTTTGAGATGAAGTCTTGCTCTGTTGCCCAGGCTGGAGAGCAGTTGTGCAATCTCAGCTCACTGTAACTTCCGCCTCCTGGATTCCAGTGATTCTCCTGCCTCAGCCTCCAGAGTAGCTGGGACTACAGGTGCCCACCACCATGCCTGGCTAATTTTTGTATTTTTAGTAGAGACGGGGTTTCACTATGTTGGTCAGGCTGGTCTCGAACCCCTGACCTCAAATAATGCGCCCTCTTTGGCCACCCAAAGTGCTAGGATTACAGGCATGAGCCACCGCGCCCAGCCTGAATATTCATAATTGGGTTTTTGTGAGGACATATTTCATTTCTTTTGGGTACACATCTGGGAGTGGGATGGCTGGATCTCATGCTATATATATGTTTAACTATTTAAGAAACTGCCAAACAGTTTTCCAAATACATTCTATATTCCCACTAGTAATATACATGAGGTCAAGTTGAACCACATTCTCAATAATACTTGGTGTTATTGGTGACTTGCTAGTCATTTTCATCTTAGTTATTCCAGTGGTATATGGTGGTACCTGTTTGAGATTTCAGTTTGCATTTTCCCGATGTCTAATGATATTGAGAGAATCTGCATTTTAACAAGATCCCCACATTCTTTATATACACAGTAAAGTTTGCAATGCATCGGTAAAAAGAACTTAAGCAGATGGAGAAGTCTCCACCATCCATCTGCTTAAGTGGATGGTGGAGTTGGTGTAACAGCCAGGAACCATGGTTAAGCTCAGTGATGGGTAATGACCATGCATTTGTAGTAACTCCAAATCCACATGCTTGGGTTCTTTCTATAGCAGCATAACAACAGTCCTGGCATGTGTCAGGCATCTGTAATTTATCATTTCTTAGCCTAGCATTTGCCTTCTTATTTTAGAAGACAGAGACAGTTCAAATAAAAAGAAAAGGAAAACTTCTCAGAAATCTATCTTTGTATACATAATATTTTTAGCTATAGTTTTGACACTTTACTGATTTCTTATTACTGCTGTAACAAATTACCATACAGCAATTTATCTTATATTTCTAGAGGTAAGAAGTCTAAAAATGGGTCTTATGTGGCTAAAGTCAAGGTGTTAGCAGGGTTGCATTCCTTCTGGAGGCTCCAGGGGAAGACCTGTTCTTGGCCTTTTCCAACTTCTAGAGGCTGCCCACATCCCTTGGCTTGTGGCCCCTTTCAGCAATGACAGCACTAGATCTCTGTTTCCTTGTCTGAATCTCCTACTTCCCTCTTTCACTTATAAGGACCCCTGTGATTACACTGGGCCACAGGATAACCTCCCCAACTGTAGATCCTTAAATTCACCATCTATGCCAAGACTCTTTTGCCATGTAAGGTAACATATTCAAAGCTTCCTGATATAAGACATGGACATCTTTGGGGGACCATTATTCTGCTTAACACAGATTCATTTCCATGCAGGCATTTTTTTGAATAATATGACAGGGTTTAAATATATGTTAAGTAAGAATTATTTGCAAATCCTTCCTCCCCTTTTTTTTGGGAGAAAAGCCATTATAATGGGTGGAGAAAAAGCTTGAAGAAGCTGGAGGGAAGGTCAATTAATCCACATGATGATGATGATGATGATAGTGCTGAACATTTATTCAGTTCTTAAGCCAAACAATGTTCTAGGTAATTCATATAAACTCACTTACTTAATCATGAAAAGCACCCCAAGAGACTGTGTGTTAGTGTTATCATCCCCATTATACAGGTTGGAACTGAGGCACAGAGAGATTAAGAAATTCACCCAAGATTATCCAGCTAGGCAATTTCAGAGGCAGGCTTCAAACCCAGGCTTTGTGGCTCAAATGTTCATTTTCTCATGTCCTGACTTACACATAGAGATAACCAAAAGAAGAAAAAAATAGAGGTGAGGAAGATGGAGGAGGTTAGACAGAGAATGGATAGTAGCATGAACAAAAAAACTCAGGAATGAGAATATTTTGGAGGCAAAAAGAGAGAGAGGAGAGCAAAAATTTGGCCAGCTACTGGAGGGTTTGGACTTTAGGAGAAGGCTATTGAGAAGGGAATTTTAGGAACTTTTCCCATGATTAGCAAAACTCCCGCCTTGGTATCCAAAAGGAACCATCACAGTAAAGACCAGTATTGCCTGTTGATGCATATGAAGTTAGTTAGATCTTTGTCTCCTTTTGATTTCTGTCTGGTATTTTCCTGAGGCCAGCCTGGAGGTGAGAGAAAGGAGGCTGAGTTTAACTCAGGGATCTATACTAGTTATTTTCTCTGCTGCTTTTGATTGGTTTCCTGCTTTCCTCCCCCTTTTTAATGCTACATCATGAGCATTTTCCTGTAATAAAAATATTTTTCAGAAATGTGACTTGGATGGCTGCCTAGCATTTGTCATTTGAATGCTCCATAACTGTTTGTGTAAGCGACAGTAATTGTGTAGGGCCAGGATGAATGGCCTCATTGAAGAGCGGAGCTGTCCTTGGGAAATGAGGTGGTGTTTGTACCCCTGTGCCCAGTTGCAAGAGTCCTTCTCAGCCTTGCAGCATGTATTTGGAACAAGGTATTTCCTGAACAAGGTGTTTGAGAAGTAGCTGTTGCCATGTAACAATGACCTAGTGTTCCCTTCATTCTCTGGAAGAAAAAAATAATGGATTTTTTTTGTCACTTGAGGTCATTATATGAATGTTGCATGCAGTGGCGACATCATTGGAACAGGCACACCAACACTCTGCGTGGAAATTTTACATGCTTCAGGTTGTACTGAACTAACTTTCATTAGGAAGGAACTGAATCATGACTTAACTAACTTTCCTAAGGAAGGAAGAGCTATCAAACGGATAGTCTACAAATCAGATACACTCTCAGAAACAAAGTGACTTCATCATCCTTAATATTTTTATTACCATTATTATTCACTCTAATAATAAGTGCACTTACTGAATGTGTGCTATTTGGTAAGCATTGTATTGCATGCTTTAAGCAAATTCTCTCTTTTAATCTTCAAAATAAACAAGCTCATAGGACAAGTATGAGCCATGTTGGGCCTCAAGCTCAGGTCTATTTGATCCCAAATTTCATACCCTTGACCTCCACTCCATGGTCTGAACTGAATGACATCCATACATAACTCATGATGTAACTGAGTTACGTTACCAGAGCTGACTGCTCAGGAGCACTGTGTTACTCCTGTCTGGCAGGTATTCTCCACCTCTTTCCACTGCAGTCCCACCCAAACCCTCACTTTCAGGGGCTGCTTCTTTGCCGTCTGCATCTCCCACTGAGGACCAGAGCCCTCCTTAGAGTGAAACAGTAGTTCATTAAGCCTGCCACCTGAATATTGACTGCTAATCTCTCCAATCCCACAGTGCACTGTTAGATATCAAAGCCTGGATAAGCAAACCTAAGGATCACTCTATTCTCCCAGAGTGGCAGAGAAAACCTTGAAGGGCTAGATCCCAGGCCAAGCCTCCTTAACCTTCCCCATTTTGTATGATGGAGTCCACTGTCCTGGCCCCTGCTGCCTTTAGGTTTTTGTGTACCATGCCAATCACAAACACACACCCCATTAATTCATGTGTGAGTCTGCTAATATGCTCTCTGCCTTGGTGTCTAGAAATGGTTTCAGTGAGGGGGTGAGGTGAGGCAGGCATTGAGAAGGTGAAACATTAGGCGTTCATTATAGGTAATGCTTTAGTAGTGCTCACTTTATTTTCAAGTAAAAATCCTATTACTCATATATTCTCTAGCTGCATGCATTCTGATATTTTTTATATTCAGAATTGACTATAAATTTAGTACTTTATTGCTAAATAAGGTAGCTAATGTTAATTAGGAAGGTTTTAGTCTATTTTATCTGTATCCTAAATAGGATGAGAAAAAAAGTCTAGTATCATTGCACTGGAAGTCGAGAGTGCCAAGATCCTAGAAAAAAGTGGTAATCACTTTTTACTTATTATAATTCATTAAGCTTGTAGGAAATATTTAGATACTTAATTGGCATTTAACAAGATAGCTATAGAGAGTAAATGAGACATTAAATTCTCTTCTTAAATGCCCATTAGGTTTGCTTTAGAAATTAATTGATATCTAATTCATTTGCTATCAACTATTTTATCCTTCGCCAGCTGAGAAGTTCAACATATTAATGATAAATAGAGGGAGGATAAGGGGGAACTTATAGTTGCTAAGCTCCGTGTCAGCCTAATTTAAAAAGCAAAGGTCCTCAGGGCACCTTAATCCTACTAAAGGGACATTGTCACTGGGTTTGGAGGGAGAGGGCTTCTGACCACTTGCACACTAGGAACTGTCCAAGTCCTCAGCTTCAAAGTCCCATACAAAGATGGTGAACAAACAGCCACATAGGGTAACCAGGAAGCCTTTCAAGGAGGAAGAGGTAACATATCTGCACATGCTTAAACTAAACTAAGTATGTGTAAATGGCATCCAGGTGTGATTACAAATAAAATGTAGTAGGCAAGTTGACTGCCTGTAAATACCTGATGGTCAGTCCTCAGAAACATGGAAGCAATATGTTTTGCATTACTATAGACCAGGGTTCCCCAATCCCCAGGCTGCAAGCTGGTGCTGTCTGTGGCCCATTAGGAACTGAACCTCCAAGCAAGAAGTGAGCAGCAGATGAGCAAGCATTATCACCTGCACTCTGCCTCCTGTCAGATCAGTGGTGGCATTAGATTCTTACAGGATTGCAAACCCTACTGTGAACTGCACATGCCAGGGATCTAGGTTGAGTGCTCCTTATGAGAATCTAACTAATGCTTGATGATCTCAGGTAGAACCATTTTATCCTGAAACCATCCTACCACCCGACCCCGACCTGTGGAAAAACTGTCTTCCATGAAACTGGTCCCTGGTGCCAAAAAGCTTGGGGACCACTGCTCTATACAGTAGCAGTGAACTAAAATTATAGTGAGGGGACAGAAAGATGAGCTTCCCAGATCCCTCTGCAAAGAAGGACTCATTGCCCCCGCCCTTGGAAGTGGCTCCTTTAGCATTTGCCTCAACTGCACAAAGCTGCATATCTGGGGCACATTCTTCCTATGCCAGCCCACAGCCAGTAAATAATTATAGGAGGTATAGTTTCAGCCCCCCATGGGAAAAGTTTGATGGGCCATATGTGTTGGGAGCCAAAAAGGCCAAAGGGATTGTGACCAACTCCACATTCCACTGGAGGCTATATGATCAAACAGCAAACTGTTTATCATAAATGCAGGATGTGAGCAAACTCACGACTGCACCTGCTGCCAGGAGGTTTGCTGAGGGCCATTACTCCCTGGCGCCAGGCTTCTTGAAGTTATCTACTGGGAAATCTAGTGCCTGTTGTTCAGAGGATGCAGTCTCGCAAGCCTGCTGTGAACCAAATGGCTGACTGACAATTACCCAAAAATCACCCCCCACCTTTCTCATTATCTCTTTTACCTAATAAATTCAGAGGGCTGAAAAAGCTCAGGGCCTTTGTCCACTATAGGCAAGAAGCCCCCGACCCCTTCTTCCAAATATACTCTCTTGTCTTTTATTCCCACGTTGGCCCCCTTTGTTCAGTCCACCAGGGATCGTGGTTGGCTACACATATGTGCTCTGAAGAGAGACAGAGAGAGAGAGAGAGAGAAACATGAGAGAGATGAAAACATGACACCTCCAAAGAATCACAATAATTCTGCAGTAACAGACTGCAAAGAAAAATAAATGTACAAAATGCCTGAAAAGGAATTCAAAATAATATTAAGGAAACTCAACGAGATATAAGAGAATACAGAGAAACACTTCAATGAAATCAGTAAAACAATTCATGATCTGAATGAAAAATTCAACAAAAAGATAGACAGCATTAAAAGAACCAAACAAAAATCTTGGAGGTAAGAATTCAATGAAAGAAATAAAAAAATACAACTGAGCACTTCAAAAACGGACTAGGTCAAGCAAAAGAAAGAATTTCTGAACTTGGAGACAGGTGTTTCAAAATACCCCAGTCAAGAGGTGTTTCAAAATATCCCAGTCAAATGGTGGTAAAACAATTTAAAAAAATAAGAAAGCCTGCAGAACTTATGGGATACCATTAAGTGAACAAATATTTGTATTATAGGATTACTAGAGAAAGAAGAGATAGAGAAAGTTAAAGAAAAATTATTTCTCAAAATATAGCTGAAAACCTCCAAAGTCTAGGGAGAGATATCTACATTCAGATCCAGGAAGCTCCAAGGTTTCTATATTATATTATATATAATATATATGTATTATATATATTACATATATGTATGTGTGTGTATATATATATATACACACACACACATGACATATATATATATATGTCAAAGGATTAAGAATTGTTTTTTGGATAGTATTAGTACATTAGTTACAATTCTCTAGAGAAACAGAACTAATAGGAAATGGGAAACCAATAGAAAATATGTATACGTGTGTGTGTATATATATATATATATATATATATATACACACACACACACAAGCATATAGAAAATATATATACTACATATATATTAATATATACTATATATACTATATATAGTATATATTAATATATACTATATATACTATATATTTATATATACTATATATACTATATATTTATATATACTATATATACTATATATTTATATACCATATATATCATATATATTAACATATATAGTATATATGTTTTCTATATATACACACACACATATATACACACACCTATATATATATATTTTCTATTGGTTTCCAATTTCCTATTAGTTCTGTTTCTTTGGAGAACTATAACTAAGGTACTATCCAAAAAATATTTCTTAAATCCTTTGACCTTTTTCCTACAACCTCTTGTCCTCAGGAAAACAGGAATGTCACCTTTCACTGGGCCCCTAAATTCATAATCTATTCTACTCATCTGGCATTTTGCATTGACTAACATATAATAGGTTTTAGGTTTTACAAATTGTAGTTACTTTATTTATGCAGCTGAATTGAAAGTTCTCTGGGGCAAGAATTGCCTAATATACATGAATACCAGCTTTCAGCCCCATAGCAAAGCAGTCGACTCCTTCAGGGGTTCAGTGAAAGTCAGGAGAAGGCTGGAGTGAGTTACTTCACTACATGTGAAAGAGGTGCCCAGGAGCTCATTTTCCCTTCTTGTATCAACTCCTGAAAGTCTCTTACAAAACGTACTCAAAAGTCCTTAGTGATGGTATCTAAAAATCATATGAAACCAATTACTCTCAACGTTCTACCAATAAAGTCTTGTCTATGTGCCAACAAAGCAGATGGAGTTTCAGTCAATTCAGCCAACTGTAGTAAGACAATCAATGAATTGACAGGTCATCTCAGTGGTCCATCTTCTGTCTTTTTATGCCATCTCGCATAGTCCTATGCTGCAGCACTTTGTACATATTGCCTTTAGAAACTCCACTGTGAGCAATAAAAAGAGAATATTTTACTCATCATTGGTTCTCAAACATTAATAAATAGAAGAATGACCCAGAGATCTTGTTTAACTTATAGAATTATACCGCTTTTCAACATCCCCTCCCCTAACTTCATCACAGGATTTTGGTTCACTGAGTAAGGAGTAGGTCCATAGGATCTGCTTATTTAACAAGTTCCCTCTAGAATATTCCAGTATAGCTAATCTGCAGAGCACACTGAGAAACACTAAGATAGAGAATGTGGGCTTTTCAACTAGATTTATTAACAAACTCAATAAACCTGAGTTAAAACAGTTGTAAGAGTAAGTCACTGACTTTCCCCTCCAGTGGAAAAATTATTTTCAACTGCTCTAATCCCCTGGACTCAAAGCTAGCTAGTCTTTGCTTGTTGGTTCAAAGCCTTCCTGAAATATAGTCAGCTAGCAAATTGTTGTTGCTAGCTACAACATGAGAAATTCATCTCTGCCTTCAGACACAAGAAAAGAAGCACTCAGGCCCTATTCTATGAATCCAGCTCTTTGAAACTTTAGTAAATAATTTAATTCTTATCAAAAATAAACAAAAATCATAAAGGACCTATGAAGGAAGACTAAAAAACAGAAGGAAATGTTTAGGCTTTTCCTCACCTGAGGATGTAAAAGGACAGCCTACTTATACAGATTTGGTTTTGTGATGCTTTTGTGAATGCTAATCAAAGTGTAGCTTGTCAATATTATGTAAGAAAGAAGCCAGAAGCTCCCAGAACCATGACCCAATAATTTTCTGATTGTTGAAACCAGAAAGATAACTCCCCATGACAATCTCAACCAACATATTGCCAAACTCAACTCTGCAGCTTAAGCAAAGCTCAGCTCATTAAAATTCTCCCTTATGATTTAAGTTTCAAAATAGGCTCTTGAGATGTAATGAGATTTCTATCACATGGTGAAACAGAAAGTTTGAGAATGATTCCCTTGAGGCAAGCGGGCCAAGTAAGCAGCAGGAAGCCAACCAGAAGGCATCTCACATTTCTGCTGCTCTGCTCATTGTCAGTGCATCAGGCCCTGTGTTATCTCCCTTTTTATCACAATCTAATAATGGCTTAAAAGTACTGATTTGAGCAAAGGTCCCAAACCTATAGGAAGCCTCTCTATGACAAATCTGGTGACTAGATTTAGGTGGTTGATAAATTTGAATTTAAAAGAGAAAAGGGAAAGGAGGCTGCTCTTGCTGATATGAAAGGAGCATAAATGTTTCCCACCGTGGGTTCAACTTAAGCAAAAGTATAGTTGCTTGAAACATTCCATAACAAAATGAAAAGAACATCTGTAGTCACCATTAGGCGCATAAGCCAGGAAACCATAATAAGTATATGACACAAAGCAATAAGTTTTAACACATATAAATGGGCATAACTGTGTTCCAGTAAAACTTTATTTACATAACCAGGCTGGATTTGACCCTTGGGCCACAGTTTTTAATCCCTGGTCTAGACTAATAACAATATAATTTGTAATAATTATTTATGCTGGAGGAAACAGAAAAAAGAGAGAGAGGGGGGAAGAAATCAGCAACTATTATGTTCCAGGCAGGTCCCAGTCTAGACTGAGGTAAGACAGGTGACTAGGATGCAAGATTTATGAAGATATTCACTCTCAGAACCCTGAACTTGTAGAATTCTGGTGCCAGGGTCTCAAATATGTTTAAATCTGTTGCCTGATCTCATCCTCATAACAACCATGTGAAATAATTATCATTCATACCACTACTATGCCTTCTATAGATGAGGAATTTGAGTTTCAGAAAGGTTAAGGTGATTTGCTCAAGGTCACCCAGCTCATGAGTGGCCAACTTAGAATTTGAACCTAGATCTTCAGGACTTCAACACCCATGTGCTTTGCAACAACCATTTGTAGGAAATACATAGGAAAGGGGAATTTTGCATAAAGAGCACAATGTGAATAAAGACACAAGGTCATAAAAGTTCTTAGTATGTTTAGCTTTAAAAAAGTTTATTAAGGAATGAATGAGCAATTGTCTGAATGGTTTATGAATGTTAATAACCTGCATAGAGACTATGAAGTTGATGAAGAAGAGTTCTGAATATGAAGGTGAATCTTTTGACTATAGGGAGCAACAGGGATCACCATTAGAAGGCCGCGTGATATGGGTCAAACTCTGAGTGTTTCTAGTGTGGCTCATGTTCCAACCCAAATCATCTGGACCCTAATGGTACTCAAGACCCAAGCCACAGCTATACAAATTCCTGGCTATGTCTCCATTCATGGTCCCATGGCCTACACATTTTTTTAGGACTCATTCCTTCCTCTATTTATCAATTGATTAGTTTTTGCGTTCAGTGTCCACTGAGACTGTTCTTTGGTTCAGGCTTGATGCAAGGTGTAGGTGACACAGAAACAAGGACACATAGCTCCTCCCCTCAAAGAGCTCACAGTGTAGCAAAAATTGCTCTGAAATAAGCAAATATTGCCAGAAGAAATAACCCACCTCACCCCATGAGCCATGAGTCAAATGAGGGAAAAGAATGCCATCTTCCCCAAGAATGTAATCAGATATCAATAAAGAGAAATCAATCTCGAAAGCCTTGCTAGACCATTGGATAGTAAAGGTATAATTAATAGTAGGTTGCATAGCCACTTATTTCTATGGGCCTGAGGAGGCACAGGTTTTTTTAATGGAGTATTATAACTGCATACAATACAATATACAGATGTTAAGCGTATAGTTCTGTGAGGTTTTTCAAATGAATACACCTGTGTAAGAAAAGGGGCTGTAATTTTAAAGGGTTGAGAAGTAAAAATGGAGGCAAGAAGAGATTTTGCTTGGCATAATAATGTACAGTGTTGAAGCCACAAAATCAAAGGAACTTGTGAATATAATAGACTAAGCCCCTGTTGGAAGAAATAATAAGAGGACTTTTTAAAGAACTGGAATATCTATTTTTAAATTTTAAGCCATTTGCCTTTTCTCATTGTACAACTCTTCCATTTTACCAAATCTTCAGAAATACCTTCTATCTGTGCAAGGCATTGTTGCGGTGAATTTTGGTGCATATGAGCAGCTTTGTCTGTGTGGCTATGTATAGGCGTGTATGTAAATAAAAGAAAGGAATTGAGTCCCACATTTAGGCCACCATCCAGGTAGGAGATAGAGGGACAATCTCCAAGTGTAGACATGAGAACAAGAAACCAGGGAACTTTCCTTTGGAGCATTTATCACACTACAATGTCCCATTTCTTTGAATAAGCATTGCTTCAGTTGCCCTCTGACCCAGTGTCCAGGTTGGATTCTCTGAAAGCAGATGCTAAGATGAAGGTTGGAGTGCAAGATATTTATCAGGGCATAGGAATTAACACCTGTGGAAGGCACGGGCAGAAAGGAAGATTGGGCTGAGAAAGAAGTCAAATTGTGATTCAGGCCCCCAGAAGCCTCTCTTGGGCAGAGAGCTCCAGAACAATATTATTTGCCTTCTGCCTCACTCATGCTGGAGGTAAGCTGCCCCAGGAAATATGTGGCCTTAGGTGAGGCTGTTCTGTGCAGCTGAGTTAGACCTTAAGCCAGGTGTTGTCTGCTCACCATGCTTCTCTGTTTCCTTGGGAGAATCTCAATGGTGCATCAACGTGTCTACCATGCCCACTACAGAGGATAAGTCAAAAAATCATAAAAGACTGCCTGGTTTTGGTCACCACTATAACTACAGTCCCTAGCAGAGCATGGCATATTTATCAGGTGTTCAAAATCATTGTAGTTTAGCTAATTAATTACTCAAAGCATAAATTAATTATTATCATCAGAGTGGTGGCTTCTGTCACCAGAATAAAGAAGAAGGGGTACCAGATGCACAAAAACTACAGGTACCACAAAGATTCAGAGAAAGCCACAAGAAAAAGATGGCCAGAGAAGGAAGACACGAGCATAGGAGAATAGTGACCAGCAGTTGTGTGAGTCTAAACGGCCTTCAACACTTGATAAACACATACTCACATATATCATATACACAGAGACACAAATATACATACACAAGCACACAGAGATTAAAAGGTAAACAAATACAGATGTGTTATGACTGCAGGAGTGTATTCATTTCCTATGGCTGCCATATCAAATTAACATAAACATGGTGCTTAAAATAACAATTTATTCTCTAACAGTTCTGGAGGTCAAGAGTCCAAAATCGAAGTCTTGGTAGAGCTATACTCCATCTAAGGTCTCTAGGGGAGAAGAATCCTTCCTTGCCTTTTTAAGCTTCTGGTGGTCCCAGGCCTTCCTTAACTTGTGGCAGCATCACTCTGATCTCTGTCTCCATCTCCACTTAAACTTCTCTACCTTTCTCTTATAAGTACACCTGTCGTTGGATTTAGGACCAACCCTAAAACGAGGATGATGTTACCTTGAGATATTTAACTTAATTACATCTGCAAAGACCTTTTTTCTAAATAAAGTCACATTCACAGGTTCCAGGGATTAGGACTTGGACATAACTTTTTGGGATCCACTATCCAACCCACTACATGTGAGGCAAATACATGAAGCAGATTGGGCATAAAACAATAGGAGAGGTGGGGGCTGTGGTGTCCCATGCAGAGTGATTCACGTTCACCTGTGTGGTCAAACAAAACAAACCTAGAGCTCACATATGGTCCATGGGTGCCCAGTGTAGAGCTTAAGAACAATCCTGGATATTTCTTTTCATAGGTGACACCTTAATCGTTACATCATAGTGAAAGCTTGAGATGCCAACTACAATTGCTATGGGAGCTAAAGATGCTTACTTTTCTTCACGCTTGATGTTCAGGTCAAAACTAACTTCATCTGGTCCATGGTAGAAACTTGGAGAGAGATTTTATCACTTATGCAGAGTAACAAATGAGTAAGTGGTTAAAGACCATTCCAATTGTGCACAAACCGTAAATTTCACTCAAACAAACAAACAAAACCCAAAGGAGTGGCCTGAACAAGAACTACCTTTGTCACTGCACCATCAGAACTCAATCTCAGGGCTGCTTTTCTTGGGTGAGTTCTGATGGCCAGATCCTGGACCCTCAATACTGGCCTCAATGTAAGAAGGAGTAATTTGAGAACTTTTGTTTGACAACCAAAAAATAGTGAGCTCCTGGACCCATAGGCCTCTCTCTATGTATCTCTCAGTCTCACATCTCCTTATGTCCTTCTCCCTAAGCCTCTGTTTAGTAACAAGCGGTTGGTATCCATGTTGCTTCTAGGGAAGCCCTAAGAAGATAAGCCAATTCATACAGTCTAGAGAAAAGGGAGTAGGTTAACAATTAAAAAACAGAAGAAGGTTTAATGGTTCTGCAAAAATTAGGAAAGGAGGTCACACTTTGGAGTGAAAATGTTTACAAAGACATGAATCAAGACTCAAAAGTCCAAGGAGAAAAGAGGTTACTTAGCAGTGGATAAGGGTCCCTTCATGAGCTAAGGACCCAAACCCCAGATTATTCATCTGGTAGCAGGTGAAGTGTCACAATCCCACCATTGTGGACTGCAAGGTCTGTAATAAGCCAGTAGCAGCTTTCTCTACGGCAAATTCACAGCAAGCATACAGTGTGATAAAACATCAGTGACAATCCAGTGCAATCAGGTGGGAAATACCCCCTGAGTTATAACACCTCCTCATCACTCATTCCCAGCTTCCTCCTGTGTCACACTCCTCACGCAGAGAACTCAGTGCTATGTGACCTTCTGCTGAGCTATGCACAGGTAAACCTTTGAAAGTCTTTCTCTCAGAGCCCGGGGGCACTGAGAGGGTTAATCTTGTCATGTCAAGATTCCCCTCAGATGCCAGACCAACTCAGCATCAATTTGACACAGATTTCTTTGGGGGAATCTGGGTTAATCTTTCTGGGCGGGCTGTCCATTTGATAGACAGGAAACATTTCTTGAGTCATCCTGTAAACCTCCTCCATGACCGTCCCCCAGCCCTGTCTTTGAATTAAATATTTAAAAGGACAATTAAATTAAAAAAAACAATCTGATGTTTACAGGCCCTCATAGGTAATTTATAAATGCTGCATTCCAGGTCCCATTTTGCTTAAAGAACTTAATTTTGAGAGAGACATCTTTGAGATGCAGGAGCTTTCCCAGATGCCCAGGAGAGATGAATTGAAAAATGCAAAAGGCTTGGCTGACATCAATGGCTGGGGCAGTGATGGCTACCCAGTTTCCCAAGGATTTTTTTGATCCTCTTTGCATACGTGTTTGCAGACTATCTTATGCAAGCAATACTTCAACTTTTGTGTCTGCTTTTATATCTGTGTGTTAAATAAGCTCAGAGAGGCATGAATACTTGAGGTTCAAAAAGATGCCAGACTAACTGCAATGTGATATCCCTAACTGGGTCCTGGAACAACAACAATAACAATAAAATGTACAATACAAGGAAAGATGGTGAAATACAAAGCCTGGAGTTTAACTACTAGTAACGTACCAATGTGAATCTCATAGTTTTAGCAGAGTACTATGGTTATGCAAGACGTTAACATTTGGAGAAATGGGGTAAATGATATACAAGACCTCTCTATGTCCTTTGTCTTTGCTACTTTTTTGTAAATCTAAAATTATTCCAGGCTGGGCACAGTGGCTCATGCTTGTAATTCCAGCACTTTGGGAGGCTGAGGTGGGTAGATCACCTGAGGTCAGGTGTTCGAGCCCAGTCTGGCCAACATGGTGAAACCCCGTATCTACTAAAAATCCAAAACATTAGCCAAGCATGGTGGCATGCGCCTGTAATCCCAGCTACTTGGGAGGCTGAGGCAGGAGCATTGCTTGAACCTGGGAGGCAGAGGTTGCAGTGAGCCGAGATCAAGTCATTGCACTCCAGCCTGGGCAACAGAGTGAGACTCTGTCTAAAAGAAAATAATAAATAAAATAAAGTAATTCAAAAATAAAAGGTGTATTAAAAAATACTAAAGTCCATTGGTCTAGTGTTTCCCACCTATTCTTTGGTATGAAGACCTGGAAAGCAAATATTTGCATTTGGCCAAACTCTCACAGCTACCACCCAGTGTAAGGAGAGCAGATTGCAAACCCTGACCCCTTTTATTCTCTTTGCCCCAGCCTTTTATATGCTCCACAGTTTGTAATTACTTTATTAATCTGTTTATTAATATTTGTCTGTTTCTTCCAATAGAATGTGATTTTCTGAGAGCAGCAAACTTACAGCTACTTTATTTCATCTCTAGGCCTCTGCTTCCTAGCAGGGTGCCTGGTATATAGTGTGCAGTAACAAAGTCTTGTTAAGCCTATGAATAGAAGTTTCTACTTTTCATTTCCCTTCCCTCCTCTGAAGATCCCCTACTTCTGAAATCAGTGGCTCTGGCAGTTTTTGAAACAGACACCAGGCAATGTTGAGCATAGTGGAGAGAATGTGACATATCTTTCTAGAGAAAGTGAGCTCCATGGGGCTCAGAGAATTCCTTCCTCCTGCCTGCAACGCAGTTGATGCCTCTTAAATATCTTTGGATTGAATGCCAGTGAAATGTTGAACAAAGAAAACCAGGTGGATGGGCCTTGAAGACTTCAGGAGAACTGAGGGAAGAAACTGGGTGGGGAGAAGGAAAAACAGCATTGGGAGTCCAGGAAAAAGAAAAATCTGAAACTTGGGCATCAGATCTCCAAAAGTAAGGAGAGGAGGAAAGCTAAATGCAGGAGTATGGAGGATTCAAACCAGTGGTCAGGAAAGACTGCCTAGAACACCTGCTGATTGCCTTGCCCTAGACAGTGGAACCAGCCAGGTCACCAGCTTGTTCTCCTTCAGTTTATCCTGTCTCTGCTGCATTCTCTGTATAACTTCTTCTTCCCTATTTCCCATAACTGTTGCCTAAGAGAAGAAAACATCAAGTATCCCATCAAGTTCTGGCCTTCCCTCCCTGTGGTTGCCATCAACCTAACCCTCCTTCAATTCTTCCACTAATAATAATAAAGTAATTATAATAGCAATAGCTTACCAGAGATCAATTATGTAAAGAATTTACATGTATTATCCATCTTGTTTAATTTTCACCACGTCATGAGGAAACAAAATTATTATTATCCTTATTTTTACAAAGAATGAAATTGATATTCAGAAAAAAAATATATAACTTGTCTGAGGTCCTACAGCAAGGAAGTTGAAGAGGGGAAGATTTGTGCCCAGGTCTTTGTGATTCCAAGGCCTTTCCTATTCAAATGACTTTGCTGGCAATGACCAAAGAATCAACCAGCTTCTCCAAAAAGATGCTGCATGAATCTATATCCTCCACCTTCACATATCTCTTATCCACTGTCTTACTGCTGCTGACTTAATTCAGTGGTCATGATCTCTTGTGTGAATCATAACACCCTTGTCTCCACCAATCCATCCTCCATATTCCACCAGAATCATCTTTCTAAACAAGAGCTCCAGTTCTGTTATTTCACTCTCTAGATTCTTTAATGGATCTCAAGTATCTGCAAAAAGGAGCAAAATGTTAAAATACTTTGGCCTTCCAGTTCTGTTCCTCCCTGTGCAATATTTAACATATTACTTAACCACTGTGAAATCCAGTTTCCCCAAACCCAAAAATGGAAGTTATAAGCACTACCTCCTTACAGGGAGTAAATAACATAAGATATGAAAATTGCCTGCCACAGTGACTGTCCCACAGCAACAACTAAATACACTTACTGTGTTTCTTTATATAGGGTCGTTACCCAAGAAATCTCTAGAACTCAGGAGAAAAGAGGCACATGAAAAGAAACAGAGGCTGAGACCTGAAGGTCAGCTCCAAATGGAAAGAACTGATTCTCTAGAAGTTCAGAGCATCTTCCAAGAAATAATCTTTTTTTTTTTGGCTTGTCTTTTCCAGAACAATGGGGTATATGCAGCTTAATGTATAGGAAACTTTGATGAAGGAAAGGAAAAAGTTTCCTTAGAAAAGGGATCCAGGCACTGTCTGTGGCTGGGAGTTCTCTCTTGAGATGTGGGAACAGACAGAAAACATACCTCAGCACTTTAACATATGCAGCCAGGCCATGGATTCAGGCCTGATGCTTTAAGAGAACGTCATGATTACCATGCCTTGGAAATACCTCACAGTTTGCTTTTCTTGGCTAGATTTTTTTGGGTGATAACGCTGCCTAAAGTATAAGTAATCCAATGGTTAAACAGCTAATGAGTAGAAAACATGGATCAATCAGAAACTAAAGTTTCACAAATCAATATTAAGGCACAAAAAGATCCAGGATGAACAAAAAATCAAAATTTAACCAAAGACAAGATTAGTACCACTGTCATGCCTAGCCATACTGGAGACTGAGGCAGGGAAGGGAAGACGTGAAAGACAAGACAAACCATAATGACTTCATTTCTGAAAATAAAGAGAACTCTGCAGGAAAAAAAAAAAAAAGGCAAAATGCTGGTGTCTGTATAGTATTTTCTCTACTTTTGCATATTTTGTTTCCTAATACAAGCAACAAAAATTACAAAGAAAAGAAAAAGAAACTCTAAATCTAGAGCCTACAACTCTATTAGGTTGGTGCAAATGTAGTTGTGGCTTTTGCCATTACTTTTAATGGCAAAAACCACAATTGTGTTTGCACCAACCTAATATCTATCAAGTCATATTCCCTTGAGTCAACGTTTCAGAAAAAAATGTTGCAAAATTTGTGCATTCCCCACTACAAAGCTGCACAGGCAAGATTTTTATCACATCCTTTGGAATTTCTGATTTCCTATCCTTATCAAAAACTCTGATAGTTACGTATATTTTAGTTGATAAAAAATGAAGAATAAAATTACTATTTCATAATCAGCATAGCTTGTTTTGTTACACAGAATCTTGCAAAACATGGTAGAGGGGAGATGGCTATTATAACAAAATGGACCTATCAATTATGCAGTGTTAAACAATTTTGAGTCCTTCCAAATTCCTAGATTTCATTGTTTATGCTGGGAGTTGGAAGATTAATATAACATAGTCATGGTCCTCCAAGAACCATATGGTCTCATTAGGAAGAAAACTAATTGCACAAATAGTATCTGTGTTATACAGTCAAGTGCAGGATACTATTGGGATATAGAGAAAGGATACCTGGCGAGGTTAGTGTGGAAGAAGATTTGGAAAAGGGACCTTTCTAAAATAAAGTGATGTCTAAACCAAGTAGTGAGGGACAAGCAAAATTTACCCTTCCAAAGGAAGGCTGTACCAACAGAGGAATAACATGAACAAAGAAAGGAGGAAGATACATGAAAGTAAATGACAATGGTTCAAAGATTGGCAACAGCTGTCCAAAAATTTTTCGAAGTAATATTTATCAGTAGCAGGCCTCCACTGATTACTTCACTCATTCAACAAGTATTCACTGAGGACTTAATGTATGCCAAGCCTAGCAGTAGGGATCCAAAATATATAGCTCAAATGTCATATCTCAAAAAATTCACATTTCAGGACATAAAAAGAATGTGACACTGCGCAATGAGTTTTCTGTGACCTTACCTATACTATATTCTGAGCCAAGAGCTTATGTAGAAGAAATGCTTTGAAAACATTTCTTTATCTTGCCACCTAATATGTGTCCATTCTGTTTAATTATTCTTCAATCAATATTATTATTCATATCCCCTACCCTACCCCAATCACTGTTTTTTTTTTTTAAGACCGAGTCTCACTCTGTCACGCAGGCTGGAGTGCAGTGGCATGATCTCAGCTCACTAGAACCTCTGCCTTCCAGGTTCAAGTGATCCTCGTGTGTCAGCCTTCCAAGTAGCGGGGATTACAGACGTGTGCCACCAGGCCTGGCTAATTTTTGTATTTTTAGTAGAAACGGGGTTTCAACATGTTGGCCAGGCTGGTCTCGAACTCCCAACCTCAGGTGATCTGCCTGCCTCGGCCATCCAAAGTGCTGGGATTACAGGCATGAGCACCTCGCCCAGAACCTAATCACGGTTTTAATTAAGATTTTTTAATCTGTTCAGAAAAATGTAAATTGTATTCATTCTTTTAAACATCAATGTGCACTTCGGGAGGCCGAGGCAGGCAGATCACATGAGGTCACTAGTTCAAGACCAGCCTGGCCAACATGGCGAAACCCCATCTCTACTAAAAATACAAAAATTAGCTGGGGGTGGTAGTGGGCACCTGTAATCCCAGCTACTCGAAAGGCCGAGGCAGGAGAATCGCTGGAACCCAGGAGGCAGAGGTTGCAGTGAGCCGAGATCGCGCCAGAGCACTCCAGCCTGGGCAACAGAGTGAGACTTGGTTTCAGAAAAGAAAAAAAAAAAAAAAATTCAATGTGTGGCTGCCCTATGATATAAATCTCAATCGTAGTTTTCCAAGTTCGTGTTTGACTCTTCTTAATTAGGCTTATGCACAATCTAAAAATTATATTGTTTCTTGGATTTGGTTTTTCAGAATTTTTTTTTCATTTCTCTTCTTATGCTATTCTTGTGCTTATTTTACTAATCTTTAACTTCTTAAGTTAAATTCTTTATTTTCATCCTTTGTTATTCAATACTAATGCTATGATTGTGTTGCCTAGCACTATATCCTATGAGAATTGATATGCACTTAGTCTATTATTTTCTAAATGTTAGCTTTTAATTATTCATACAATTAATTGAGGAAGGATATTTTCTATCTTGCAGCAATTTCCAAGTGGTTTTTATTTAAACCTGTTCTTTTTAACTTCTAGAATTTGTACTCTGGCAAAAGAAGATGAGTTGTTTAATTTCTACCCATTTGAAATTATTGAGGATTTCTTTATGTCCAAGACTATGTTAAATTTTAGTAAATATTCCGTAGACATTGCAAAGGAATATTTCTTCTGTTATAGAATCCAATGTTATATATTCATATATTCAGCCTAATAAATTGTAATGCAAAATTTCATAAAAATATAGATTTTTGTCTTCATTATCTATGAAAGAATGAAAGTATTTGTTTCGTCTCCCATGTAATTTTTTTAAAATTCTTTATTTTTAAAGCATTTGCTTTATATCACTAGATAATAATACATATAAAATATTATGAATCAAGACTATTATAGCATACTTTCAAATCATAACTTTTATCAACCTAAACCATTCTTTGTCCTATTTACTGTGTTGTACTTTAAATTGTGGTATTAACTCCCTGCCTCTGTTTTCTATTTGTTTGCATATGCCTGAAATGTTTTTTAATACTTTCAGTTTTAATCTTTCTCCATGAACTTTTAGATATAACTCTTAGAAACCGTACAAAGTTGAATTATTTTTAACTCAATTTAATTTTTCATTTAATAAAATAATTTAAACCATTTGCATTTATTGTGATAATTGATACATCTATTCTCTTTTTTAATGATTTTTTTCTTTTTATGTTAGGGAAGTTGAAGGATGAAGATGTTAGCTTACACAATGACAGACCTGCTGTGGTTAAAATTTCTTCTTGTCATTTTTTGGGTTAAAAAAGCTTTGGTCTCTGTTCTATTTCCGTGGCTCTTGGGTTTTCTGTATCAATTGGATGAGGCCACCTATTAAAAAGTGAAGATCAATTAATAGAGCATAGTGCTTTTAACTTTCCCCTGAAGACATGAAAACATATATAATTTGAGAATTAGCCTGATGAGTAGAGAACATGAGAAATAATCAAAGCCAGATAATTTCTATGAGGTGTCTCATAAAATCAGAACACTTTGGTTCATGAGGTTGTGGTAACTCTCAGAAACTTGTGGTAAGATAGAATAAACATCCCCAAATTCAGGGAGAAAGCTGCCACCTCTGCTAGTATCTCCAGATAAGTTCACCTGTAACACCGTCATAAAACTGATATAAAATGTTGGTGTGAAGAGGCCTATATTAGGAGCATATCATAGCACTGGAAAAACAGTTTCTTGTGACCTAAATAAGTCTACATCAAAACATACACATTTGAGACAGCCTGGCTGAGTTTACATTATTTTCTTCTCCATATCCAAGTTTGAAGTAATCTGAGATTTTTAGATTATTAATATAAAATAATTTTTACATTATTTATCTTTACATGTACATTGTATCATAAACATAGTAACAGGAATTATTTATACTAAACTTTGTGTTTTACAGTTTTAGTGATTTTCCTCCAATTATTTAGCAGCATGATTTCCCATTCATGGGTTTTATGTTAAATTGATGTTAAACTTTCTCTACAGGTCACTTACATAAATTTTTTTTCTTTTCAGTGAATGTTGACTTTCTGAGCATCTGTATTTCAGAAAATGTCTTTCTTCTGCTTTTGAACAGACACACCCATCTTAGCTAGATAAAAAACTTTTAAATCTCAGTATTTTCTCCAACAAAACTATATAATCATTTTTCTAAATCATTTGGATTCCCCAAAAAAGTATGAGATCATTCTCCTGTGTGTTTCTTTCTAAATAATCTATTTATTTCCATGCATTGGATGCTCATAGCAAAATCTATTTTAATTTTAAAATTCAGAATAATTTTACCAGGCTATGTCTTAGCATAGCTGTCTTTTTATTATGTGTTGATAATGCTAACATGGTAAGTCCATCCAACTAACCAAGGTATTTCTTCATACGTAAAAGGTTTTTTCCTTTCTTTGTTGACATTGTCTCTCTTCTGTCTTCTCTTTCCATCCTCCTTGGATTCCTCCTGGATCTGTCCTTTTTCACTTCATCACTATTTTTTTTAATGTATCTTTCCTCTGAGTTTTAAGAGAATTTATCAAACTCTTACTCTCTTTCAGTTATTCAGTTTTCTGCAGTCATGCTATCCAATACACTAGTCACTAGCCACATATGGCTATTTAAATTTAAATTTAATTTTTTTTGATGGTGTTTCACTCTCGTTGCCCAGGCTGGAGTACAACGGCACAATTTCAGCTCACTGCAACCTCTGGTTCCTGGGTTCAAGTGATTCTCCTGCCTCAGCCTACCAAGTAGCTGGGATTACAAGCATGCGCCACCACACCGGCTAATTTTTGTATTTTTTGTAGAGACAGGTTTTTGCCATGTTGGCCAGCCTGGTCTTGAACTCCTGACTTCAAGTGATCCACCCACCTCTGCCTCCCAAAGTATTGAGATTACAGGCACGAGCCACCAAGCGTGGCTTGGTCACAGTTTTCAAGTGATCAACAGTACATGGAGCAAGAGTTGGCTACTAGTGGATGGTGAAGATAGAGAACAGCATTGTTAAACTACAACACATTAGTCAAATGCATCCCATGGCCTTTTAAAAATATTATATTTTCTCTTTGTTTATTTTAATTGTGGTCAAATACACAAAACATAAAATTTGCCACCTTAACTATTTTAAGCTGTATAATTCAGTGACATTTAGTACATTCCCAGTGTTGTACCACAATCATCACTGTCTAGTTCCATATTTAAAGAAAACTCCATATCTATTAAGCAATCACTCTCTGTTCTGTGCTCCCTCCAACCTCTGGCAACCACCGACCTGCTTCTGTCTCTGTGGATGTGCCTATTCTGGATATTTCATATAAATGCGAACCATTGTTTTGTGTGTGGCTTCTTTCACTTAACATAATATTTTCCAGGTTTATCCATGTTGTAAGATGAATCACTATTTCATTCCTTTCTTTCTATGGCTGTGTAATATTCCATTACACAGAAATACCACATTTTGTTTATTCATTTGTTGATGAACACTCGGGTTTGCTTCACCTTTTGGCTATTGTGAGCAGTGCTACTGTGAACATTCATGGACAAGCTTTTGTTTGAACATCTGTTCTCAATTCTTTTGCACATATTCCTATTGCACGTAGAATTGCTGGGTAACATGGTAATTCTATGTTAATTTCTGGAGGAACTGCCAAACTATTTTCCATAAAGGACATGCCATTTTACATTCTCACCAGTAGTGTATGAGAGTTCCAATTTCTCCACATTCTCACCAACTCTCTATTTTCCTTTTTTAAAAAATTATAGCCAACCTAGCAGGCGTATAAGTGGTAAGTGATATCCACAAACTGTTTTTGTACCGTCCATGGGCTAAGGATTTCTTTTTACATATTTCAAGGTTTGTTTAAAAAAATAAGACTGTATGTGGCCCTCAAAGCCTAGCATATTTACTACTGAGCCCTTTACAGAAAAAGTTTGCTGACCCTTAATATAGAGGAACATTGCCACCATTGCAGAAATTTATATTAGACAATGCTCTGAGTATTTAATTGTCTAGTTAATGATCAATTGCAGTTTTAAAGTCAGAAATCTTATATTTTCATCTACCTCTAGCCTTTACTTGTCTTATATTATTTCCTGCTTCCTCACACATTTCAGAAAACTAGCTTCTAGAATGTTAAGGATGCACACTAACTTTTCAGAACTTTTCTCTTCCTTAACTGTTTAACATGAAGAAATCTGCTCTAATGATTCAAATGGGCCCCCTTCTTTTGACATTCTTTATCTTTTTATATGCTTGGAGAATTTCCTCTTTGCTCATCTCAAGTACCAGATTGGAGTTGAGATCGATTTTGGCAAAGACAGTGTGTATCTCTCTTTCTTCATGTTTAGATTTACTTTTCTTTAACATTGTCAGTTCAAAAGTCCAGTAGCCTGGTACAAGTGGAAATGGGGGTTCAAGTTAGACAAATTTCTTTATTTCACCATCAAGGTGAACAGTTCTCCTCTTCCATTTGAAAGCAGCCAAGAGTTAATTACACAATGCCCACCCTCTTTGACAGGCACAGTTACACAATTGGAAGTCAGCTCTGGGATTGGCAACATACTCTGCCCAGCCCCCTTTCCAAGAATAAATATATAGTGGTTGGCATGACCACCCAGGGGATTGCTGGGGCCTGGGTGTGCCTCCCTAAATATCTGTGGTCTTCCCTTCGAATCATCCCTGTTCATTGATACTGTTTTTCTGCTAGTTTCTTTTCCAGGTCCTTCTTAAGCAAATTCCTGCCTTACCTGTGGTTCCTTCTTTAATCCATTCTCCTCTGAACTATATCTGTCAGGAACTCTTTGACAATTCTGACATATAAATAGCATCTTTCCCTCATTTCCATTGCTGACACACAATGTGTCGTTGTATCCTGCTAGTTAAGTAAGAGGGTTATGGGTATTGTCATGAGCTATGCATGCTCACAGTGTCATTTATCCACAAATCTCAACTTATATTTAATCTTTATAGTTT
This sequence comes from Homo sapiens, assembly GCF_000001405.40. Taxonomy (NCBI): domain Eukaryota; kingdom Metazoa; phylum Chordata; class Mammalia; order Primates; family Hominidae; genus Homo; species Homo sapiens. Next base: position 39,553,158 of record NC_000020.11, on the reverse strand, counting down.
GGGGAGCATAATTCAGAAAAATGAGGTGTTATCCTGTTATCTATACCTTCAGAAATCCTGGAGGTTAGAAACATGAGGACAGAACCAGATATCTCCAACCTTCTGGCACATACTTAGCCTGATTCCAAGAAAAAGTGCCCACAAGAAAACCAAAACATTTAAACAAATAACAGATGTTGCAGATGTTATAAAAGCATTGCATCTTTCTGGTACCCAAATTTCTAGATGAATTATGAAAAGGAATGTGTCTTTCATCTGGATGTTTGACAGCATGTAGATGAAACACCCACTAAGACAGTAGGCACTAAACAAATATGTGCTGAAAAATGGCTGGCTGGCTGACTTGCTGAAAGACTGGATTTTTTCACTTCTTATCCAGATGTTTTGGCTTCACGGAGGCACTAGCAGGGCCTGCCAAGCTGATTTGTGATCTTTGAGTGAAGAGTGATACATGAGCACAGAGCGTTATACCGGCAAATGAGTACAAGGCACCGGTGTACTCGAAATGAGGTCTCACCAGCTGCAACTAAGGCATGTGACAGACCCTCCGGTCCACTCCCAAGTGCTTCTGACAGAGGTGCCCCCCATTTGCATACATCTCAGCATGCCACATGCTGAAACTGTTAAGTTATTATTAGTGCTGATAATAGAGTCATCACCAGGAATGTATTCATATTTCTAATGTTGTCACTGTAGATTGTTTTGCTGTTAAGGAGAAAGCCTATCAGGCATAAATATTTATGCTTGGATGGATGTCAGATTCTTTAATCAGGAACTGGATTGGTCTTAATTGAATCTTGGAGACAAATTTAGGCTCAACATGGATTGTGCGGCTTTTTGCTCTATGCGAGCAGGGCTCTCTTGGTCTATTCCTAGGATTCCTGAAACAGGAGCCTCTGTCATATGAGCAGGTAGATTACCTCTTACCAGGTGCTGGGACCTTAGCTGTGTTGAAGAGTGGTACTTTGGAGGAGACTGCCAGGGCTTTATGGGAGTGAATAAAGAAAATGTCCCTTGTCTACAGGCTGCTGCCCAAAGGCATGGTACAAATAGAACTCATTTCAAGCAGGCACAAGGCTGTAAACTCCATAAAGACTTAGAGCGTGTTCTGTGACTACTGTCCTTTCATTGTCTGTCTGGTCTATTTCCTGAAATGGGTGGACCCCACAACATGTGTGGAATAAATAAATATACTGATGAAAAGGGGCTATGGTGGGGAGAATCCACAAAGCCGTTGACTCTCAGTCACGTGTATGACACCCTTGTGATTCTGGATATGTGGACCATTCAGTATGACCTTTTGTTAAGGACTCAGAGAAGTGGATGCATTATGAACTCAGACTCTGGAGCCAGACAGCCTGAGTTCAGACCCCAGCTCTATGACTTTTTAGCTGTGTGTTGTCAGACAGGTCACTCAGTCTCTTTAGCCTCAGTTCTCTTCCCCATAGAGTTGAGCCTCCGTTCTCTTCACAAGGTCGTTGTGCATGTAAACTGTGATAACGGTGCTAGCTAACATTCACTGGACTCTTAAAATAGGTCAGGTACTATTTCAGGTGTCTTACACATTCTTTCTCCTTTAATCCTGACAAGAACGTCAAGGAAGCAGATCCTAGAATTGGATCCATTTTGCAGGTGTGGAAATTGTCTGTCAAGTCCTGTGCTCAATGTTGATAATAAAGACATTAAGTAGACATGACCCATAGCTTTGATTTACTCCCAGTCTAGGGGAGTCTAGACAGATGGAAAAGAATCCCACCTAGCAGGTAGAGCGGCTAGCATAAGCTGGGTAGAGTGCAGGAATCCGGATTCTTAGAAAAGGATTTGAGGCAACACCAGGTTTATATAGCTGAGTCAACATCCTGGGCAAGAAGGACTGCAGGGAGGCACTGAACTGTCACAGGATTCACAGAAGGCTGAGTATTTATTAGCAGTAATAGTGAAGCCCTGGAAGCATGCAGCTCGATAAAATAGAAAAATATGTGCATTCAATTTAGACCCTTAAGGCCCAAATGCCAACTTGGCCCTTTCTCACTTAGAATCTCAGTTAGCTGACCTGTGTAATGGACAGAATAATGCCCACTTCAAAGAGTTCAAGTATGTAAAGTGCTAGGCACATAGTAAGTGCTCAATAAATGCGGGCCTCTTTACTTTTCCACTGATGGCACTGGGCTCTTATGTGATGTGTGGAACAGAGACTTGAGCAACAGATGTTATTGGATTCAAGGAGCAGAATGGAGCAGGCAGGAGCCGGTCTTCTCCCTTGCATGCTCACAAGACATGAAATACCTGGCTACATAGCAGGGGTCATGTGGGATTATTTTTGTGCGTTTATAAATGTCCCATTCAAAGCAAGGTGAACTATATGAGGGTTCTTACTACTGTTTTCCCAGAACCAAGTGCAGAACCTCAGTGAAATCTCATTGCTTGAATGAATGGGTAGAGGGAGCAATAAGTGGGCTGATAGATGGGAAGGTGGGTAAGTTAATGAGTGAACCAACAGAGAAAGAATTGGTCTATAGTGTCAATACTCTTCCTAAGAAGGTTCTCTCTAAATTGTCACTCCCAGTCCTTCTAAGAAAAGTAAAGGACACCCTTAGGCACCATTCCTTCCAAGCTTGATGTCTTTGCTAAGGGTCTTGATACTGGCTTGATTGGATCCATTGGAGGTATAGCTCTTAGATGAAGGTCATAGCCTGTATCAGGCTCCAACAATGAGCCCTACACTTTCGTTGTCATTTAGCCTTTTTTTTTTTTTTTGTAAAACATTTTAGAAACAGCTTCAGAAAGAAACCAATTCTACATGCTTTCAGGAAAAAATAAAATAAAGCACCAAAAACAAAACCCCCAAGTCACATTTACAAGTTACCTGGCCTTTGGGCCATTGCAACTCCTGGACCAGCCTATACCAGGTGGCTTGTACCCCCTGATGCCCCAGCCCCATGGCTGGATTATTCAAAGCTGAGCAGGAAGAGATGTTCACTGCTTTCTCCTCATTTTCCAGCCCTTTGCTGCTCCCAGATGTTTTAATTACAGAGGAAAGGGAGCAGATGATTCCGGCCATATGTCTCCATTCCACACAAATAAATCTCCTTGCGGTCCCATGCAGCTCTGTGGCACTGCGACTGTCCCACCGAAACTGATGCTGTCGGGCCTAATCACCATCTTCAATCCTTCAGTGAGCATGTTAATTCAGGGAACACCGGCTGGGACTGTTGTCCCACGGAAACGCTCAATCTAGAAACAATTAGACTCACATCACAGCAAGATGCTGCCCCTCCTCTGGGGAGCTGGGTGCTCTTTCAGACTGAGCTGAAAAAAGCCCTCCAGGAACTGAGTGGGAAGAGCCAGGCAGGGCAGGGTGAGACACCAAGGAAATAATTCTCGGTTGAGACTCTGACATCCCTCACAGCACTTAGAAACTCAGGCACTGGGCTATTATCTACCGCACGCCCAGCTGCAAAAAGGTCCTGCCCTCTGAGGAACTTTGAGAAGAACTCAGAGGGGATGTTCCATACATGTAGCTGTAGTATACACACACACACACACACACACACACACAAATTACAGTGAGCTTTTCTGAGGAAATAGCAAAAGCTGGCAGATATATTTAGCGTTCTGATTCAGTTCCCACTAAATGCTAAATTTGCTTTTAATCTGAGCACCACCACACATAGACTAAGCACAAACTCAGGAAAATTCTATATGGTTTTTGGTTACTGATATAGTTCACTGTTTTCTACAATGCCATAGTATCCAAGAGTAATTATAGAGGAAATTCCAAAGGGATAAGTATTTTATACTTACACAAATACAGTAATAAAGCACACACATCTTCAATGTACATCTTAATAAAGTTTTACATATTTTTACACCCATGTAACTACTACAGAGATCAGACTATGAATATGACCAGATCCCAAAAACCTTCATCATGTCTTTTCCCGGTCAATATCCACCTTAAAGGCAACAGGTAGTCTGATTAATCTCCATGGATTAGTTTTGCCTCTTTCTGAGTTACACATAAGCAGAATCGCATGCTCTTTTGGGGTGGTTTGCTGTTTTCAACATGTCTGGAGATCTAGCTATGTGGTGGTATGTAGCAATAGTTCCCTCTTTCTCATTGCTATATAGCATTTCAATATCTGGACAATAACTGAATGTAGCAATAGTTCCCTCTTTCTCATTGCTATATAGCATTTCAATATCTGGACAATAACTGAATTCATTCTACTGAGGATGGATGTTGCAGTTTGGGGCTATCACTATTAAAATTATCTCTGCGAAATTTTTTGTGCATGTACCCTTGATGCAGGGCAGGTGAGTCCCAAAATGGGGGTTATACCTACTTTTAGTTACGTGTAGTTTAACGGGCAATTTATGCAGAAATTTCTAGGAAATGTGTGATAACTTTTGGGTCCTTGGGTCATTGCCATGGAAAGGGGCGGGAACTCCTGGGTGTTGCCATGGCAATGGTAAACTGACATGGCACGCTGATGGGTGTGTCTTTTGGAAAGTGACTTCTGCCCCATCCCTGTTTTAGCTAGTCCTTAATTTGGTCCCTGTCTGAGCCCTGCTGCTGGCGTCAAGTCCCACCTCCTACTTCACCTTCACTTCCTGTGGGCAAATACCCAAGTCTATTATGGTCTGAGTATAGAACAACTAGTTCTTGAGGCCAGGGTCATATGCTCCAATATTACCCCAATCTAATCTCTTACTCATATGGAAGTTAAATGATCTAACTAAAATATATATTCTCAGGTGCTTTCCACATTGAAAATCCTTCAATAATGCTCCATTGCCCTTGGGGTAAAATCTGAACCTTCCATGCCCCGTAGCCTGGTCTTTTCTCTCTCCACTGAGCATTCTTCACACTGGCCACACTAAACGCTTCTCGATCTGTTTCCTGTCTTCTGCCCTCTCTCTCCTAGCCTTTGCCTGTGTGGTCCCATCAGCCTGGAAATGTGCCTGCTCTTCACTGGCCAATGCTCAGCATTCCTTAGGAATGCAGCATAGCAGTCTATCCCCTCAAGAAGCTGCCCCTCAACTTCTTGTCAGTTTGTTTCCTTTTCAGTAGCTTTCTTTTTCTATTCTCCTGCTGCTGGTGATTTTAGCTTTGATGCCTTCTGTGACCCAACCTGTTCAGATTGGTTTTCTTGAGCTCTTTGCTCAAGTGAGATATATCTCACTTCAATCGTGCAGCTTCTTTGAAGTTTGTTACCACACACTCATGGATTTATTGCATAACTCATTCACGCAGGCATCCATTCAACAAGCTTTTATTGGATATATGAGACTCTCTATTGGCAGCAAGGCAGGGGTAGAGTGAGCAGGACCTCCAAGATATGTAAGGTGTAATCTCTGTCGTTGGACTCTTCAATCTACAGAAGAGTATGGGATAAGCAGGGCTGGTGGTAGGCAGTGGATAAGGCCTGAAATGAGGTAGATGTGGCTTTGAGTTCTGCACCACTATAGAGTGCTGTGTGACTCCATATAAAGTCCTTACCATCTCTGAGCTTCAGTGTCTTTCATTGTAAAATGGCTGTAATTTCTGACTCATAACTCTAGGGGGAGAAGTAAATGAAAATGAATATGTAAAATACCCAGGACAATACCAAACATCTGTGAAGTCTAGATTAAAAGTCCTTAGTTTGTTTTACAACAGAAAACAAAATAATGAGGGTTCCAGGGAGGAAATAAGAGCTCACAGAAGCGAACTTTTGTTTCAAAGGGATTAGAAACAAACATCAACACCAACAATTAAAACAAACAAAAATTGTCTAATAATGGGTGAATGACTTGTTTAAAGTAAAGTCACTGTGCCTATTTAGCTTTGTGTAAGTAAAAGAAGGGGGGAAAGTGATGACTCAAGGAAAGAGTGAGATAGTAGAGGAAGTCAATTCCTGCCTGACTCTGCAAGTCCTTATAGATGGAGTCTGGCTGGTCAAAGTCACTTCCCTATTCCTAATGCAACTTCTCATCTGGAAAAAAAAAAAAAATAGGTGGATTTTGTGGGTCAGTTCCCACACCCCATTCAGGACAAGCATTCTTGAAGTCAGTGGAAGAGTCAGTTGAGAGAAACGTTGGTTCCCATTGCAAGCACCATTCCTTGAAAGACTGGAAAATATGATTCATTCAATGCAAAGCCCAGAAACCTGACTGTCCCAGGCTGCTTTCCTGGCCCATAGTCTGCATTGCATGAGAGCTCGTGCCCCTGGCCTGGCTACAGCCTAGGAGAAGCCTTTGAGTGATTCAGAGGCTTGGGGATACCAAGAAAAGGGTGACATTAATATAGGTCATTCCTGCCACAATGTAATATGTTCCTTTATGTATTATATTCATCAAGGGGCTGAGGGAAGTTTAAGTGGCTTCCCAGAAACCAATGCAGAGTTCCACCACTTACCAAGTATGTCCATCTCAGCTACATATGCAGGAATCTCAGGAATGACCTCTGGATAGGTATATGGTCACTATGGACCCACTGTGAGATAAACGTTGGCCAGGTCTTTATTTATTACCTGATTCTCATATGCCCTACTTGTGACAGGCAGAGAGCCATAATAATGCCTTGAATCTCTGGTATCAATGTCAACTCATACCCTGTGTCCAAGTATCTTTTTTTATTTTTATTTATTTATTTATTTCTTTTAGCAGAGTCTTGCTCTGTCGCCCAGTCTGTAGTGCAGTGGCGCGATCACGGCTCACTGCAAGCTCTGCCTCCCGGGTTCACGCCATACTCCTGCCTCAGCCTCCCTAGTAGCTGGGGCTACAGGCACCCGCCACCACGCCTGGCTGATTTTTTGTATTTTTAGTAGAGACGGGGTTTCACTGTGTTAGCCAGGATGGTCTCAATCTCCTGACCTCGTGATGCACCTTCTTCAGCCTCCCAAAGTGCTGGGATTACAGGCGTGAGCCACTGCGCCCCACCCGTGTCCTAGTACCTTTCAAATGTCTCTGTTCCCCTGCTTCCCAGAGCACAGTAATCTATGTAAGTACCCATAGATCCCTTTGAGAAGGCACTGGAGGCATCTTCACTACTGATACTTGCTATAGGGTTGCAGAGAACTTCCAACTGAGGACTGGCTTCCATCAGTGGGTTTAGCATCTAAAACTGGTTCATTTCCAGAAACTAGGTAAGTGATCATAACTTTTAATTGGAATTGTTGCCCTCAGCCTCTTGGCCATCTATTCTTGACATCTCTTGATTTATACGTTGAGTATTAGAGTTGTTAGCTGCCCATCAATCTTTCCCCTAGGGTCACCTTGTTCTATGAACCATCCCCTAACTCTCTGCAAACCAGGCTCCTCCAGCTGCCACTCTAACTTTGCCACTCTTTGTGATCATTGCACCCACCTCTGTTTCTTCTCAACAACACTGGTGCTCCTGTCACCAGCATATACATTATTGATTTGGTAACTGGAGTGTCCTTTGGATCCTCCCGTGGAACAGGATTAGCTGATGAGTTTTCCAGCCTTATTTAGTATACTCCCTCTAGCATGATCTTTTGCTTTCTTCTTCGAATACTTGTCATGGCAGCTCTAGCATCTCTGGTTTACTTAGAATGGCCATGGCTTTTTCCATGTTTCCAAGAACCATCCCAGCAGTGTGTTAGGACCCTCTCCTGGGGTCCTTGGTAAGGTGTTAAATCCTGTATCATAGGCATGTGCTCTATCTCAATAAAATCTCCCATATTCAACTTTATGTTTCCCTTACTTGAGGCAGCACCCTTAGGATCCAGTCCCATGCATGTCTTCTAAGATCCTGCTGATAAGCATTGGTTGGGTCCTGTAGCCCTTTTGACATTCCCTCCCTTAGCAGGATCAGAATTTCCCTGTTCAGTTGTAATTTGAACATAGTTACTCATGTGATAGCAAGAAAAAGTGGTGGGGGTAGATTCTGTAGGTGGTGTATGTTATCTTGCAAGACAAAAAGGCCTCTGAATCATCTTCAAGCATAGGGAAGCACTAGATTTCAAGAAGGAGAAGTAGAGCACTTCTGTGAGGCCAGTGGGTTCCAGTAGGTCTGGAGTTTTTAGGTTTTCAAGTGTGTCAACTCAGTTGTTCTTATTTCAAGTCTCAAGATCCCAATGATGTTGTTAAAAACAAACATCAACACCAAAAATTAAAACAAACCAGGGTCCTAACTTGGCATGGTAAATATGCTAGGGTTGAGAATTTAGCCTTCTTTGAAGATCTACAACCCTAATATTCTGGACCTGATTTTCAGCCTTTTCTGCCTACAAGCTGTAGGAGCTGAGAGGTTTATTTCATGTGTGCCAAGGAGGCCCTCTGACTTTTGCACTTCATGTTATATTGGCGACTAGTCACACTCAGGCATTTAAAGTCTCTTTTTAATGCACTGATTGCCGCAGCAACAGTCATCCTATTCCATTGTCCTTATAAATTATTGCATCCCTTGAATGTCTTAAAATCCGGAGGTGTTGCATTCACCAGTGTTTTATCGTCTACCAGTATCACATCACAGTTCTTCACTGGCACATTTTAACTCTCGCACCACTATTTCTTTCTAGGGATAGTCGGTACTTCCCCTACCTCACTGATGTTGATGGTTGGCTAGTGGGTAATCCAGCTCCAAAATCCCATTTCAGAGTCTTCTTCCTTAGCCATTTCTGGCCCCAACTGTCTTAGGTTGGGTTAACTGGGAAATCGACTTTGAGATGAGGATTTGCATGCAGATTAGGAAGTGCCCTTAGGAACAACATTGTTTGGAGAATGTAAGAAGCAGAATTGGGCAGAAGGAAAAGGTGGATTAGATCATGGTACAGTTACAGTAAAGTCCTCAGCTGACTTTTCACAGGGACCTCTGGAGCTGGGATGGACTTTTAGAATTGTTTCCTATTTAGGCAAGATCTTTGTACCTCCACATTGACAAGTTATTGGATGTAAATGTCCCTTCCTAGAGCAAGGCAACTACCTTTGGCCAAAGGAAATTCCCTAAGAAGGAATCATCTATGAGGCATCAGCAACGAATCTTCAGCAGCTAGGAATCTGAATGTTTCATCTGTGAAGGAGCAAGCTAGGCAGCATATGACAGTATCCACTACAATGTGCACATGGATGCAAACTGTAGGAGACATTCCACAAAGATAATAATTACATTATGAATGTCTTATTAAATTATTAAATGTTACATAATCTCCCAAAATATGTGTCTTCTGTGGGTGAGAACTCACTATGATGGATTAAGGATGAAGAATTACAAATTGAACTTAAGCAGAAAAAAACTGAGAGGACACAGAATATTTGTTATGTGACATGTTTTTGAATTCATTCATTCAACAATTTTTGAATGAGAGACTACAATAATCCAGATACTGTAGATAAAACAGAGAGCAAGATAAGAAAGTTGCTGACCATCAAGAGAAAACAGGAAATGAACAAACCACATATCAGTAAGTGAGATAATTTCAAATAGCAATAACTGCTTTGAAGTTAATAAAGCAGAGCAATTGGATAGGTGATGGGAAGGATAGGCTGCCTTCCATAGAGTGCCCAGAGAAGGCCTCCTAGGAGAACAATATTTTTAGGTGCTAAGTGATAAGAAGGCACCAACCATGTGAGAATCTTAGGTAAAGACATTCCAGGCAGAGGGAATCGAAGCTGCAAAGTCCTTGAGGCAAAAATGAGCTTTTACATGTTGGAGGAATGCATAATCTGAGCCTCTTAAAGACCTATCATCTGAGATCAGGAGTTTGAGACCAGTCTGGCTAACATGGTGAAACCTTGTCTCTACTAAAAATAAAAAAACTAGCCAGGCGTGGTGGCGCATACCTATAATTCCAGCTACTCAGGAGGCTGAGGCAGGAGAATTGCTTGAACCCAGGAGGCAGAGTTGCAGTGAGCCAAGATCCTGCCACTGCACTCCAGCCTGGGTGACAGAAAGAGATCTGTCTCAAATAAAAAAAAAAAAAAAAAAGAAAGAAAAGAAAAGGAAAAAGGAACTAACTGTGATCATCTTGAGGACAGAGCCTGGTTAGTTAAACCCTCATTTATTCACAGAATTTTCTGCATAACAAAAAGATCACAAACTATGAAGATATTAGTCCGAACTACTGGGGGTATAATGTGGTGCTGGGAGGTTCAAAGGGCGAGTGATACGTGACAGTAGCCAAGGGGGAGCTAGGACTTGAAGAATAGGGAGTTGAGTACATGGCCTTGGGAATCAAAGCACTCAGCAGAGAAATTAGCATAGGCAAAGGCACAGTGTGAGCAGAAATTGTGGAAGGTGGCCATGAGCAGTTTCTTTAGGCTGGAATGTAGGATGAGAGAACTGACCCAGTGTGAAATTAGGCTCAAAGGCACTTAGGAACCATGAAATTCAGATTAACCAGGACTTGCTTTTTGCTGTAGACATTGTGAAGCCACTGACAATTTTAAAGCATGAGATAATATAATTCAAGGTCTTTAAGAAGACAAATCTATCTTCACAAGCTCTGTGCTGTGAAGGAGGAAAGACACAAATGGAAAAAAATAAAGACTGATAATAGCCCAGGTGAGATGAGGAAATAAATTCCATGTATTTGTTATTTATTGCAATATAACAAATTACTGCAAACTTAGTAGCTTAGAATAACACAAATTTATCATTTTATAATTTTCATGAATAGCTTGGCACATTTTGGTTGAGTCCTCTGCTCAGAGGCTCACAAGGCTGGAGGTCAAGGTGCCAGCATGCTGCATCCTCATCTGGAGGTACAGCTGGACTTCCAAGCTCCCTCAGGTCATTGGAAGAATTCACTTCATTATGGTTGTAGGACTGAGGTGTCTTCTTGCCAGCACCCAGCTGGAGACCATTTCAGCTCCTAGGGGACACCTGCAAGTTCTGGTCACATCTCTGTCTCCACAATTTGGTCACTTCTTTCTCCAAGGCCAACAAGGGGAGCATTTGCTGTAGTTTCAAATCTCTATGATTTTGTCTTGGAGCTCTAGACCCTTTTTAAAAAGGGTTCACTTAACTTGATGAGGCCCACCACACTCAAGGGGAGAGAATTGTACAGGGCCTACACCCCAAAAGATAGGAATCATGGGAACCATCTTAGAATTGTGCCTATCGCATTCATAAATCCAGTGATAACTCCTGAGCTGTGAGGTCAGAGATGTCTACAGAAGTTTCATCTGATGAAGTCTAAAAGGTGGTCACAAGGGCTCTTCTCTTCTGAAACATCCATATTCATCTTGTCCCAGGTTATGTCCCACCCCTTAGCAGTCTTCTCCCCAGAGAGTACAACAGAAATATTCAAAAACATAATTTTCATTCTTGCCCAAGTCCTGATTCTTCATATCACAATCTCTTTCAAGCTGCCAGATTTATTAAAGTTCTTTCCTCTTTGTTGCAAGTTAATTTACTTCTCATTTGCAGAAGAAATACAAAGAGGGTTTGTCTAAGAAGATCCCTCCCAGGAACTTAGGGGACAATAAATATGTGGGGAAGTGGCCCAGAAAGCAGTGTGTTGTGGGATCACAGCCCCCTGCCTAGAAGGTTGGTGCAGCAGTAGGCCCTCTCTTAACAAACAAGTGAGCAGGGGTGGGGTTGTGAGCCTATCCTCTCTGGGACAGTCTTTCTTTCAGTCCCCAACTCACTGCCTCCATGGTTTTCTGAACACATTAAAGAAAATGTGTGGGTGCAAGAGCCTGGAATTCAACAGCTCATAACTACAATTAACCACCATTAATTAATGGCTGCAAGATAAATGAGCCATGCGATCCGTTTCTTCCTGGGTTGTAAGTATTTAAATTCACAGTGGGATGCAAGCCCATTTTTCACCAATGTGAATTTAAAACAAGTTTGAGTCAGGGCTGCATGCTGCAGGAGGCAGACTACAATTTCCTCTCTGTGTAGTTCACAGTTTAGGTCTATGAACTGGCAAGAGGCCTACAGAAGCAAAGAATTCCCATGCACAACAGAATTAGAGAGTAGGGGTTGGTATTTGAGCACATGACTCCCTGGAGTCAGGGGAATTACTATGTAATGAGACTGACTTTGCACCAGGTATTGTACCAGGAAACATCCAGGGAGTACTTGATGTTAATCTTTACCATACCTCTGCAGGGACATTATTATCCCTATTTTACACTCAAGGAAATTGATGCTTAGAGAGGTTAAGAATTTCTGTAGAAACAAAGTTTGGCTTCCTCATTCCAAGACTTCTTCCAGAATGCTCCCAAGGGGTGCCTTTGGGTGTCCTTACCCCCAATTTTCACATATCCCCTATGGACTGTGTCCTCATCCATGAAAACTTTCCAAATAGTAACTAAATATGCTCCTATCTCTTAAATTTTCAAACCATCAAATGGACATCAATAAGATTCAGAAGATAAGAAAAACAGGCAAAGGATGGCCGGGCGCGGTGGCTCACGCCTGTAATCCCAGCACTTTGAGAGGCCGAGGCAGGCAGATCATGAAGTCAAGAGATCAAGACCATCCTGGCTAACACGGTGAAACCCTGTCTCTACTAAAAATACAAAAAATTAGCCAGGCATGGTGGCACACGCCTGTAGTCCCAGCTACTCGGGAGGCTGAGGCAGGAGAATGGCATGAACCCGGAAGGCGGAGCTTGCAGTGAGTGGAGATCGTGCCACTGCATTTCAGCCTGGGAGACAGAGTGAGACTCCATCTCAAAAAAAAAAAAAAAAGAAGAAAAGAAAAGGAAAAACAGGCAAAGGAAAGAATTTAATATTAATAAAAACGAAATTAAACAGGGTTCTTCCCTTCTCCCCAAGATGTTTATTAATTAAACAGATAAAAATACTATTGTAGAAACATAGTAGTTGGTCATCATCTTCACCAAGTGGTCCAAAGTCAACATCACCAGTGATAGGCTATGTTAACGTTATGCACCTCCTGATACAAAAAGGGCCAGAACTTCTGTGGTATGCATGCCGAAAATGCCTAACCTCAATCTAATCAGGAAGGGGGAAAATCAGATAAACCCAAGCTGAAGGGCATTCTACAAAATAACCAACCAATACGTTTCAAAAGTGTCAGGTCATGAAGACAAGGAAAGACTAAGAAATCATTAAAGATCAGAGAAGACCAAAGGGACACAACAAGTAAAAGCAATGTGGGGTCCTGGATGGGATCCTGGAATAGATAAAGAACATAAGTAGAAAAACTGCTGAAATTCAAATAAGGTCTGTAGTTTAGTTACTTTACAATACAATACAATTATTGTACTATAGGAACAGTGTCTTAATCTGTCTTGTTTTGCTATAACAGAATACCTAAGACTGGGTCATTTATAAAGAGAAGAGGTTTATTCAACACTTGATTCTTGTGGGTGAAAAGTCCAGGATTGAACAGCTGCATCTGGGCAGGTGCCTCAAGCTGCTTCCACTCAAGGTGGAAAGCAGAAGGAGAGTGGATGTGTGCAGAGGCCACACAGTGAGAGAGGAAGCAAGAGAGCAAAACTGAGGAAGCCAGGCTGTTTTTACAACCTGCACTCTCAGGAACTAACTCACTTCTGCAAGAGTGAGAACTCATTCACCCAGGTTGTAGGCCATTAATCTATCCTTGAGGGATCTACCCTCATGACCCAAATACCTCTCATTAGGCCCCACCCTCCAATGCTGCCATATTGGGCATCAACTTTCAATTTTGGTCAATTTTTAAGCTTTGACAGGGACAAACCAAACCATAGAAGACAGTATTATAGTATTGTACCAAGTTATTTTTCCGGTTTTGATTTATTGTACTATGGTTACTCAAGATATCAACATGAAGAGTAGCTGAGTGAAGGGTATACAGAAACTCTACCATTTTTGCAATTTTTCAAAATGTAAATATTTTCAAAAGTGAAATGGCAACTTGAAACAAATTTTAAATAATGACAAAGCTGAAATTTTTCTGAAAAAATTCCTATCTTTATGCATAGGTGTGAAGAAACCACTCTAATTTTTTTTTAATTTTTTTATTATACTTTAAGTTCTGGGATACATGTGCAGAATGAGCAGGTTTGTCACATAGGTATACACCTGCCTTGGTGGTTTGCTGCACCCATCAACCCGTCATCTACATTAGGTATTTCTCCTAATGCTATCCCTCCCCTAGCCCCCCACTCCCCGACAGGCCCTGGTGGAAACCACTCTATTTTTAAAATGTTTCATTCAGCTAAATTTGCTAAAAGATCAGAAGGAAATATGTTCTATTGATTCACAAAATAGTTTGAAATAAATGTAAATTCTTTTGAGAACTGCTGCTTGTGGGAGCAGCATAGAGTTTGTAAATAATGCATGTTCCTGTCCACTGTAACAAGGCACTCATGTGGTGCTATTCTGCTTGGAAGAAAGCCACTATAGGGTCAGAAAGAGAAGAGAGAAAACAATATATTAAACCCTTCTGACATGGGAGAGAAGAGAGGAAAGAAAAAGATCATCTGAGATCTCTGCTATGAGAAATAGAATTTGCACACTTTATCTACTATCTAATTAGGCAACTCTGTCAGAAGGCATTTTAATTGTTCATTTTTGCACAGTATCTCATGGAACACAAATAGAAAAAAAAATCTAAATGTTGACATTTTTGAAGCTAAAGGCAAAGAAACAGAGAAGTAAGGTCATTTTTTTAATCTTGCAGGGTTAGAGAAGCATAAGCAAATTAATAGACAATGAGGAAGAAGCAGGTGCAAGAGAAAGAGGAAGGTAAGATACACACAAGATGAGCTATAATTATAAAACCAGCCCCAGACTTATAAGAGTTCAGCCATTTGCACTCAAATTCTCACAGGACCAGAAGGACTGAGATCACAAGCCAGCAAAAAAATTAGCAGCTCCTTCCTAACCTAACCAGGTTTGGAGGGAATCATTTTTCTGATCTGCACTGAAGGGTTGATGTACAAAGGAGTCAGTACAGCTGGAGGATCAGGGATGGCTGCAGTTTTTACCTGTTCTTGCCTGGTCCCATAGGAGAGGTGCTACCCCAATTGCTAGCCTGAAACTCCCTTCTTAGGCCTGCCAGTCCCTTTTCAGTTCTGGGGTGCCTTCCCATTGTGCATTGCCTCCTGTGACCTCCTTTGTGTTCTATCTGGACAACATAGGAGTGCTGTGATTGTTACACTCTAGAGAGCTTCACAGACCTCCCAAATATAGACATTCGGGCTGCTTCCTCAGGAATGGACCCTAATGGCTTCTCTTGATTTTCCCAAAGCTACGTTCAAATTGTCATATCCATTAAATGGATATCTATAACGAGTGCCACACCTCTGTTCTGCAGGGGAGAGTTTGCTATATGTGTTTAAATGCCTGGCCCAGCATGTTTTCCATTGCCCTGTGATCTCCTTTCTAGTTCAATTGCAGTTAGCAATAACATCTCTTGACATGAGCAAAAATCCAAAAGGGATGAATATCTTGACAAAGCTGGTAAACATCTCTGTTTGAAAGCTGGTTGCCCTGTAAACTTGTACCTGGAAATGTTTTTAGGTCATTTTGCCACCTATGAAAATTGTACTCAATATAATCATTTTAAAACAAGACAAAAAATTATAAAAGTGCCATGTTGAAGATGTTTATTTATTTTCTTTTTTTTTTTCTTTTCTAGACGAAGTTTTGCTCTTGTTACCCAGGCTGGAGTGCAATGGTGAGATCTCAGCTCACTGCAATCTCTATCTCCCGGGTTCAAGCAATTCTCCTGCCTCAGCCTCCTGAGTAGCTGGGATTACAGGCACGTGCCACCACGCCCAGCTAATTTTTGTATTTTTAGTATAGATGGGGTTTCACCATGTAGGCCAGGCTGGTCTTGAACTCCTGACCTCAAGATCTGCCCACCTCAGCCTCCCAAAGTGCTGGGATTACAGAAGATGTTTATTTCTGTGATAGTTTAATGTATTATTAAAAACAATTGTAAATACCATAAATACCTAATAATAGAGAAATGGTTAAGTAAATAAAATTACATCCACTTGATGGAATAGTATGCAGCCAGTCAAAATGTCTGTTAGGAATACGACAAAGAAACTCAACATTTGTTTATAATATAATGTTAAGTGAATCAAGCAAAATATAAAATTATATGACACTATGAGTAACACTGGAAAAATTATGTCTACATATGGACAAGGCCTGCGGTAAATATGAAAAATGGAAACAGCTTTATTTGGGGGTTTTGTTATTGTCATTGTAATTCTGTTGCTCAGCAAATACAGAATTTGTAAAAGGAAAAAGAACTCAACAATGAGGCAATTTTCAGGGGAGGGACACATTTATTTTGCGTACTTCTTCAGTGTTTTTATTCTCGGGGGAAAATATTACATTTGGGAGAACGGATCACGTTTAGAATAGTGAATAAAAAGTCTAAAGAAGAACCCCAGGTTTGCCCCTTCAAGACAGCATTCCCAAATACTACAGCACAAGGTTTCCCTGCAGTACACTCCACATCAGTGCGTTCAGTGAACAAGAAAAGGGACCTAGAGAGGTGGGGAGTGAAAGGATGTGTCTGAATCTCCCAGGGAGCTTTTGAATAAACACAGAGGCCTATCCCTCCAGCCACTGGAGATTCTGGACCCCAGTCCCTGAACTTGAGAACAGCTCTCCAATAATCCAGTCCCCTCCTGATCTTCTACCTCTGGCTGCAGGTCTGTAATCTTCTATCATTGCATTCACTTTATGCAAAGCCTGTTCACAGAGGGCAAGTCTGGAATGCAAAGCAAGGCCCATTTCTGCCTCTGGGAGCATTACCATTTGCCCAAGAGAAGGAAGGATCCAGTGTTCTCTTGGCATTTACTCATTCTTATGCCTATACCTTAAAGGAGTGGATGTGGAGCAAACTTTGAGAGAATGGTGGATGCCACCTTCCCTTTGCACAAAAGGCTTAAGCCTGAGTGGGTGAGGAAAAAGTCTAAGCATTTACAGTTAGAGAAATTAAAATCTGGCTCTTCTCAGCCTGTGGCCTTAAGATTCAGGAAGCACAGAGAAATTATTTGTTTATTTATTTATTTATTTAGACGGAGTCTCGCTCTGTTGCCCAGGCTGGAGTGCAGTGGTGCGATCTCGGCTCACTGCAAGCTCTGCCTCCCAGGTTCAAGCCATTCTCCTGCCTCAGCCTCCCGAGTAGCTGGGACTACAGGCATCCGCCACCACGACAGGCCAATTTTTTGTATTTTTAGTAGAAACTGGGTTTCACCATGTTAGCCAGGATGGTCTCGATCTCCTGGCCTCGTGATCCGCCCACCTCGGCCTCCCAAAGGGCTGGGATTACAGGCGAGAGCCACCGCGCCCGGCCAGAAGTCATTTATTTTTTAAAGAAAAAATAACATCAGATATTCTGTCTCCTAACTAGTTGCCAGTTTTAATATTCCTGTCACATTGCATTCTTCCACACCTTTGTATAAGCTGTTCCTTGTTTGTGGATGAGTTCATCCCACTTTGCCTAGGAAGCTCCTGTTTTTTTTTTTCTTGGAAAAGTGAGTATTATTATTGTCATCCTACTTATGACAAAATTGAAGTTAAATGGCTTGGTTAAGTTCACACAGCTAGAGAATTACAGAGCTAAGATTCACACACAGGTCTGCTTGACTTAAAACCTCAACTCCATTCTATCACGCCATGTACCATTCAGACAATAGGCATATACATCCTAGCTCTTCCCTGCTGGGCTGTGAATCTACACTATGAAGCTGATGTCTGTTGAATGAATGAATATTAAAGCTACTTAGCTGCATTCACATATATTCATAGGCTCACTCATAACAGCCTAATTCAAAACCACCCCTATTATTCTCATCATAGAATGAGGTTCATGCTCTGGCAGAAAGAACATGTTTAAGTCTGTCCATCATGATCATGAGTTCTAGCACTCATATACAAGCCAGGAATCAGGCTGACTTTCTTTCTCTTCTCAGCAAAATGAGACCATAGCTTCAAAATATTCAAATATCCTGGGAGGAAAAGTATACCAGCTGCAAATATTTCTTCATTTATCTCACAAAATATGTATTTCCAAGTGCAGAAAGATAACTGAACACAACCTTTTCTAATGCAAGAACAGACCTGCTGGCAGGAGGAAAGACTTTCATGAATGTTATGCAGATCACAATGGAGAGAAAGCAAGGAGCCCTTTGCAACAATCCTGATCCAGACGCTTACCTAGACACCCCACTGTTAACCCAGCCAGTCCACAGGCATGGCAGAGGAAAGGTCACCACATGTGGGCAGAGGAAAGGTCCAGGCACTACCAGTGGTGTTCTGGTAAACATTTGACAGTCAGATCTCCTGGGAAGGAGTGGGAAAGGTGTGGCATGATTTAAAGCTTTTGTCAATGTTCATGGTGTAAATATTTCCAACACAGCCATTTTCAAGCCACCAATGTAACACTGACGAGTTTGCGTAATTCCTGAAAAGTTAACAATAGGCTCTTGTGAGCTGGTATAAGCCAGCTCCTGTGCCACACTGAGTATTGCTACCCCTTTCATGGCAACTTTTTTAAGATTAGGACTATTGGGGAATAAAGAATTCATCAAAATGTGATTCTAGAAATTCTCTTTAAATTGTATAAGCCAGGTCAGCATTACAGAACCTTTTTATACACACAAGTATCATTGACTCCACTGTCACACAGCTCAAAAGCAAAAAACAAATAACCTTATTTAAAAATGAGCAAAGGATCTGAACAGGCACTTTCCAAAAAAAAAAAAAAACACACACATGAAAATGGCCAATAGATGTATGAAAATGTACTCAGCATCACTAATCATCAGGGAAATGCAAGTCAAAGCCACAATGAGAAGCCACCTGCTAGGATGGCTTCTTATCAAGAAGATAAGAGAAAACAAGTGTTAGCAAGGATGTAGAGAGAAGAGGATCTTTTCAAACTGCTGGTGGGAATGTAAATTAGTACAGTCATTATGGAAAACAGTATGGAGGTTCCTCAAAAAATTAAAACTTGTACTACCGTATGACCAGCAATCCTTCCAATGGGCATATACCCAAAGGAAACGAAATTGGCACCTTGTAGATATCTTTGTTCCTATGTTTATTGCAGCATTATTCACAATAGCTAAGATGTGGAAACAACCCAATAAACAAATTAACCTGTGTTTGAATCAACAAAGAAAATGTGTGTATGTGTGTATAATCTTCATATATATAATAAAATTTTATTTGGCTTATAAAAAGGGAGATACTGCCACTTGCAAACCACACAAATGAGCCTGGAGAGAAATAGGCTGAGTGATACAGGCCGGGCACAGAAAGACTGCATGATCTCACTTATGTGGAATCTAAAAAAAGTTGAATACATAGAAATTGAGAATACATAGAAACAGAGACTAGAATGACGGTTACCAGGGGCAGGGAGGAGGAGAAAATGGGGAGATATGAGTCAAAGAGTCCAAATTTGCAGTGATGTAGAATGATTAAGTCTACAGATGTAACATATAGCATGCAGATTTTGTTAATAATATCATACTGTATACTGAAAATTAGCTAAGAGGGTAGATTTTAGGTACTCTTCCTATACACACCAGAACTTAGCTATGTGAGGTGATGGATACATGGATATGTCAGTTTGCTTGACTCTAGCAATCATTTTACCATATGTGTATATATATATATATCAAAACATCACATTGTGCACCTTAAATATATAAAAGTATAAATAAATATAATATCATTGGCCCAGTGAAACACATGCTACATATCAATAAAATACCATTTTAAAAATATAAATACATATTTATCTATATTTTTATATCACTCTCTATAACTAAATGGGATTTTCAGTGACTTTTTGAATCAGTATTAAACTCTATAAACTCTCTCTTTCTTCTCCTGAATATGATGTTTCATAGTGAGGAGAACAGAAAAAAAATACCCAAAAGAGAAAAAGGGAGGGTGATACAACATTTACTAGTTTGTGATACTAGCTAGCAAATGATAACTTGTGGGTGGCACCATGTGCCCACCACCTCTGAGCTCTCAGCCTGAAGGAGAAGATAGGGAGGCTGAAGCAGGAAGAATCCAGGAAGATTAATTTGCAGGCATTTGAATAGCATTCCCCTCATCCACTCTTTCTTATTTCACAAATTCATTAACTCTAATACATGGAGAAAAAAATGGGAGAGGAGTTTCAATCTAAATTAAGTTGTTTTCCTCTTTCCTTTCCTGTAATCAATGAACCATTTCATTTTTTGGCCCAAGTATCTGCCTGGCTTCTACCTCTCCTTAGCAGCTCTTTATATTTTTCTTCAGGGAATGAGTCTTGGGACAGGTCTCAAAACTTAATGGGGTGGAGTAATGAAATCATTTTAGAGCTTACTATAAAAGGCAAACATGGTCTTAAAGACTCAGTAGTGGATTTAGAATTTAAAGATGTAGCCAGATCTTACAAATCCTACTGAGTTTCCAATATGGTGCTAGGCACCGAATACCTTACCCAGGAGGCATAGATAAACTACTTGCACGCACCTCACTATTCAAATTACTGTCCCCTGAAATGAGGATTTGTGCACAAGTGATTTATGAAGGACATGCTCCCAGGAGAAACTGGGCAGGGAAGAGGGAAGGAGGAAAGAAAAGAGGGGTTGTGAGCAAAGTCAGACAGGAGTACATTATCATGCCAAGTCCAGCAGCCTGACCCACAGGGAACTCTGGAGGGTAAGTTACCCCAGTAGTTGTCATCATCATCCACACCCCACACAAGGAAGCTTTTAAACTCCTACATCCCCTTAGTCATTGGTTAAGGGCCACCCTGGAGGGTGTGAATTCCAAGGCACTTCTCACTCATCTCAATGTGGGCATAGGGTTCCATAGATCAAAGGCGTTCCTTTGGGAAACACCTGCAGGTGTGGCTGTTTGAAGGGAAAGCACACTGGAGAAAGAGTGTGCAGGAAGTGGCAAAGAAGGTCTTCACAGAGTGCAAACTCAAACACCACAGGGATGAATCATAAGAGAATGGAGAGAATTTGGAGATCTAGAAATACATGTTCCATCTAAAAGCATTCATAGGCATTAAATAAAAGCATCTAGATTCAGCACAGGCTATCCCTTTGTGGCTATCCTTGCAGGATGCATTTCTCTTAGTAAGGTTTCTATGTTCCCAGGAGAGATGTAGCAGTCACCTTCCTGCATCTTGAATAACCACCCATCCATCTTATTTGGCTCTGGTCCCTGGGATGCCCCCATTTTCACCTCTCCTTCTCTGTCCCCATCAAGTAAACAAGTGAAAATGGATCAGCCAACACCACCATCACCATAGATTTACCCACTCATGACACACAAAACATCAAACATGTTGAAAAATTGTTTGTACATAGGTGTGTGTTCACACCCAGCATCGTCCCCAAAATCCCTTTTTAAATATCACACTTTCCTTGGCTCCCTTCATAAACTGGATGCCCATGAAGATTAGGGCAACTGTGTTCCAGTTCTGATTGGAGCAACGTCTCCTATCACCTGACCATAAACACCTGAAAAGGCCTGCCGGTGGGAAGCTTAAAGACACCACCACCTCATTGCACAAGCCCGGCAGTCACTTAGGGATCCTCTGGTTGGATCAGAACATCCACAAGGGATAGTGTCTATGCACGGAAGAATCCAAATTTCTCTACAGGGATCAGCAGTCTATAGCCCACAGACCAAATCCACCTGCTGCCAGCTTCTGTAAATGAAGTTTTTCAGAAAGCAGTCATGCACATTTGTTTACATATTGTATAAAGCTACTTTCACACTACAACAGCAAAGTGGAGATATTGTGACAGAGACTGAATGACCTACAAAGCCTAAAATATTTAATAGCTGGTTCTTTACAGAAAAGAGTTTGCTAAATCCTGTTATACTAAGTCCAACAGCACTCACAGACAAATATTTAAGAAGTCTGCAAACTGTGAAACAGTTTCTCAATTTGTCTTTTACCCAAGCCTTCAGAAGGAGTGAATGAGAACCTATAGGAGAGATGCCATGTGGAAGAATTCACATTCTCAAATCGTAGGCATGACAAAGTGCAAGCTTTGCTCATAGACCAAGTAAAAGAGTAGCAGCTCTCCAGGGGACTGCAGGAGATCAAATGTCCTCACATTACCGGAGACGTGTATGTAGTCTAAATGTTTTCCTCGATGATATTAAGACTGAGCTTCTGAAGGTCAGAGGGTGTGAACAAGATCTGGCACAGAATGGGTGCTCCAAAAATGGATCCTGAAAGGAAGGAAGGGAAAAAGGATGGAGGGAGGGAAAGAGAAAGAGGAAAGGAGGAAGGGAAAGCTAGAGAAAAAGAGAAAGAAAGAGGGCAGAAAGAAAATGAAAATAAAATTGCATTGTTTTTAGCTGCCTTGCTGTTGTAACATGTGGCTCACCAGGCTCAGCATGGAGTGATATCCATTGCAGAATGCAGGATAACAATAAAACAGTGTTCAGAACTGTGAAAGCCTTTTTGCCTTTACTTCTCACACTTGTCAGCAAAAGAAGTTTCTCTTCTCCGCAATGCTTCTTAAAATTTCCCTTTGAGTCTCACAGATCCTCAGACCTCACACATGGCAGCTGCAGTCTGTCTCTCTAAGCAATCTCCTCAATCCCTGACAATCTCCTCCCCACACTCTACCTTTTCCTTTTGCCCTTTTCTCCTGACACTAAGTAACAAACCCCAAACCCTGCCCTGCTTGACAGGAGGCTCCTGAGAGCTCAGAGGATGAGGGAAGATCCACATGTCAAGTCAGAATCCTCTTTAGTGGGCAAGGGAAACATACGAAGCACAATAGGGTTAAAAATTATGGCCTGTAAGCACAGTTTCTACACAAGGAAATTTCCATCGGATGGAAATGACTAATAGCAGAGACACAGGGGACAGACTTCCAGGGCTCAAACCCAGCTCTACCACTTCCTGGCAATAGGAACTTGGGCTGTTTTACTTAATCTCTTTGTGCTTCAGCTTCTTCATCTGCAAAATGGGGGTGATAATAACAGTATCGATCTTATGGGCTTGTTATAGGGTTAAATGTGTTTATTCCTGTAAGGCATTTAGATCATAAGGAACACAGAATGATCTCTATATACATGTTGGTTAAATAAAATTTAATCTTGGCAGTCTAATAGATCTTTTCCCTGAGGTCAGGCTTGCTGCGACGGAAAGTTAAAAAAAGATAGAAATGATAAAACAATAAAACATTCCAAAGCTATTGATATCTTCAAAGAAAAAAAATGTACAAAGGAAAAAAATAGAATGCTAACCTAGTGTAGTAAAACTTAATGGGGTAGAGTAATGATATTATTTTAGAGCTTACTAAAAAGCAAACATGGTCTTAAAGATTCAGTAATAGTTTTTAAATTGAAAAATGTACCCACATCCTGTGAATTCTACTATATTTTCCCATATATTGCTAGGCATTAAGTATAATACCTGCCCTTGGAGGTATATACAGACCAGTTGAGCACACATCTTTATCCAAATAACTGTTTCTTGAGTTGGCTTCTGCCACTACAAAATATCTGGGGATGGGAAAGGCCCTAGGGGATCGGCTAGGGAGCTGGGGGATGTCACATTATTAATGAGCAAGCTAAGCTGTTACTCACCAATATTAACTATAAGTGAGTACTGCAAAGCTACTGAAAACTCTGAAGCAACTTCCCAGTGCATATATAATCCCTTCATGATCTGCCTGAAACCTCCCCTTCCATCCCATCTTTTACCACTCTCTGCTGTCCCTTGTTAGTTCTGTCCCTCCTGCACTTGTCCCTAGAGCACTGGGGCTCCTTCACTCCTCCGGGCCTTTGCACACATTAACCTCTTAGCCTGGAGCTCCTTTCCCCTCCAGCAGCTCCCTCTCACCCTGAAGGCTTCATGCTTTTCTGACTGCCCTGGCTGTTCTAGGTACCCTGCCATTCTTGTCCAAGCCCTTTGTTTACTTCCTTCATTTAAGTTAGTGCAATTTGTAACTACACATTTTCTTGTTTAACTTTTTTAAAAATGTTTGCTGTTGTCTGTCTTGCTCCACTAAAATGTGTCTCCCAAGAGAGATGGCATCATATCTGCTTTATTCTTAGTGGTATCCTAAGCCCTTTTTATAGGGTCTAACGGTGGTAGAGGCTCCATAAATGCTCATTGAGTGAGGGAAAGACTAAATTATGAATGACAATTTAAAGGAAGTGGCAGCAAACATAGATCTGAATACAACTCGTAACTCTAACGCTCAAACCATGACCTTGGGCAACCACTCTGTGTCTTTAATTAATATGTGTAAAAACTGATCAGAATGGAGCTCAGGACCTGATGTACATGCAATAGTTGTTGGTTATTATTATTGCCAGTCATAGTGTTGGTGATTCTAGCATTATGTCTCAATTCCCTTTTCTAACAAATAGAAAAAAAAACTGGTCTTGCTCATTTCTTGTGGACTGTTTCTAAAAGATTGATGACAATAACTCATATTGACAAGGGCATAAGTGTAGCTCTCTTCTTGTCTATAAGAAGAGCCCCCATGTCTCACACAGTTGGAAAGGGTGTGTTTGAATGCCAGCAGGGCATGTGGCAGATCTAGCTCCCTGCACGTTACAGCAGACAGGCAGCCTCGACATTGGCAAAGGGGGGACCAGCCCACACAGCATATGGACCTGCAGCGGAGCATATGGGTCTGGTCCTAGAGAAGGAGCCCCCATATGCTCCCCGAGCTGGGCCCACCTCACCCACTCCCAGCCTCCCCACACTTTGGGCTGGTTCATAAATCAGCCACTTCCCACCATCCTTGTGCACTGGCTGATCTGTGTGATTAATGCACCATTTGCCTGCAGTCTGGAGAGAACCCCAGGTACAGGTGGAGAGAAAGAAAATGACTTAATTGGAGTTGGGGGGAGAGGAGGGAAGAGGAGGTCATTCCTCATTGCCATTGAGCCAGCACTATCTTTAGAAATCCTGGCTTCATA
The DNA here is from genome assembly GCF_000001405.40 of Homo sapiens. Taxonomy (NCBI): domain Eukaryota; kingdom Metazoa; phylum Chordata; class Mammalia; order Primates; family Hominidae; genus Homo; species Homo sapiens. The sequence continues at coordinate 39,528,303 of NC_000020.11, read as the reverse complement.
AGAATGAGTTTTCTTGGAAATCTTTCTTACAGACTCTCCAGGAACCCCACCATAGCCTAGGCTATTGCCTGGGTCTTACCTAAAAAAGCTCAGAAAGATGACTGCTCTATTCAATCCTGTCCCAACCCTCATGATCCTCCTGGGTCTCTTTATCTGAGCTTAAACATGCATTCAGATCCTGTAGGGAACCAGCAGGCTATGGTCCCCGGAGACAGTAAGCCTAGATGTGCCAGGCAGCAAATCCACTCAACTATGCTTCAGACCAATATTTTCCTACTGTGCTCCACAGAGGGCAAAGGTTTTTATGCAGTTGTCACAGGAAGGGGGGCTCTAGGGCTCTGTAACTGGTTCAATCACAGCAATTCTGGTTTTACTTTGTTTTACATTTTAGGCTTCTCAAATGTGATTTAGTTTTGATTTTGTTAAGGGTCACATGACTGAAAAGGGTTGAGACCCATCCAAATTTAAAGTGCTGTGGATACAGTGAGGAGTGTTTCCTTAACAAAGCATAGTAATAAAACTAAGGACAGGTGTCATTCACTGGGCAGGAGACAGGTCAGCAGTGTAACTGGCAACCCAGGGTCTGGGTCACCTTGCCATTGGCTCTTGTGTGACTTTAGGCAAAATCTTTCCTCTGTAAGCCCCAATTTCTTCATCCATGAAGTGGGGATAATAAATGGTACCTGACTTAGAGAGAGACACAGAGGAGAAAATGAGGTTAATCCACACACTGCATTTGCATGATGCCTGGAACATAAATGATTAGTACATATTTGCTGTTATTTGTCTTCTTATTTAGTGTACTACTCACTGTGCTAAACACATTATTTGCATTATCTGTTGTCCTTCCACCTCTATTTCATGAAAGTTTACTCCCGTTTTATAGATGAGCAAACTGAACATAAGACCTTGGGCTTACATGATGGTCCCAGAACACCTACTAATGTCATGGAGGGCATTGATGTTCTGGGGAACTCAGTGTGAGAGTCATCCATTTAGCTACTTACTGTCTTCTCTTTACACCTTCTTGAAAACACCATGTGGTCAGGCTTTCTGCTTCCTTTTCTTGCATTTATTCTTACATATGCATGCATTCATCCACCCACTGAACTGCTATTCATCCAGTTTAATAAACATAAACATTTATTAAATGCCTACCTACTGTCAAGAACCATAGAAAAGTTACTTCATTTCTCTGAAAATAAGAGTTTCCTTCAGCAAAATGAGGGTGTTGTGATTACAATGAAGGATTTTTTTTGTAAAATGAAATATAATTATCTTAAAAGGGTTTGTAACCCATAAAGTGCTCTCTCCATATTAGTTAGAGATAGGGTGGCCATAGAGCCAGCTTGCTTAAATAAGCCTCATCTTCTCCATTCTGTGAAATGGAGATAATAAAAGCACTTATATGTTCAGATGATCATTATGGGTATATCACCTAATGTTGTCAGTGCTTAGAATAATGTGGTGGGAAATAAATATTTTTGGCATAGTTATTAGTAGCATCCCTGTTATTCTCAAAGAGTCCAATTTGTAGGGCAAATCCTATGGCTTCCCTAGTTATGAAGATGGCAATGATGGCAGTTATATTTACATTGTGTTTTCTGGAAGGTGGGGCTACTTTTTCCTCCACAGAAGTTTAAAACAAGGATAGGGATGATAATGATTCAGACCATGTTTTGGAGTAGTACACGCTACCTTCCTTTATTTGCAAGACTTCTTGTGAATTGCCCTAGCTGCTAGTCATTATTCTGCCATTAATTGGCCTTAGCACCTTAGGAAAGTCACTGAATCCTCTGAGATATTCAATTCCCTCTTCTGATTTATAATACTTGTCCTTTTTAATTCTGTAGAGTTGCAATAAGAGATGTATCGGTTAACTTTTGCTATGTAACATACCATTACAAAAACTTACTGTCTTAAAACAGTGATTTTATAAATAACTTGGTGGTTTGGCTGCGCCATCCTTCCAGTCTAGACTTAGCTTGGGGACAGGCCAGGAGCTGGTTGATCTAGGATGGCTTCATAAATATGTCTGGCTATGGGCAGACTGTTCTAGGATGACTCCCTTCCCTCCCCTCTTTTTATTGTCAACTTCTTTCAGGGGAGCAGAGCCCCCACAGTAGCCTTGCCAGCATCCTGTATGTCTCCTGACATTTTCTAGTATGAATTCTTTTTTTTTTTGAGACGGAGTCTTGCTCTGTTGCCCAGGCTGGAGTGCAGTGGTGCAATCTCGGCTCACTGCAAGCTCCGCCTCCCGGGTTCATGCCATTCTCCTGCCTCAGCCTCCCGAGTAGCTGGGACTACATGTGCCTGCCACCACGCCCGGCTAATGTTTTGTATTTTTAGTAGGACGGGGTTTCACCATGTTAGCCAGGATGGTCTCGATCTCCTGACTTTGTGATCCGCCTGCCTCGGCCTCCCAAAGGGCTGGGATTACAGGCGTGAGCCACCGCACCCGGCCTCTAGTATGAATTCTTTCTAGTCATACTTGTCATTGTGGCATTCATAGGTTCCCAGCATAAGATTATAGAAAGATAATCCAAAAGGCTCATCTAACATTCCAACACCAGGATGCACCCTCAAATAATCCCCCTACTTGAAACTGCTAAGGGTTTTGTAGGGCAAAGCTTGACAATCCTGACATCCTGTTTCCATGGAATGAGTTCACTCTCAGATGGTTTCTCACAATCTCGTTCAAATAAATTTGAGCAGGCCAGCTTCCCTGCTCTGTAAAACAGAGCATTTAAGAACCCAGGGCTGGGCACGGTGGCTCACGCCTGTAATCCCAACACTCCGGGAGGCCAAGGCGGGCAGATCACCTGAGGTCAGGAGTTTGAGACCAGTCTAGCCAACATGGTGAAGCCCCGTCTCTACTAAAAATACAAAAATTAGCCCAGTGTGGTGTTATACACCTGTAGTCCCAGCTACTCAGGAGGCTGACGCAGGAGAATCGCTTGTACCCAGGACGTGGAGGTTGCAGTGAGCCAAGATCGTGCCACTGCACTCCAGCCTGGGTGATGAGCACGGAAAAAAAATACACAGGTTCTGTGGAGAGATATATATATATATATATCTATATATATATATAGATATATATATATATATATATGCTACTTCAGGCTGGGCTCCTTACTGACTGTGTGATCTTGAGCAAATTGTGAACCCCTCTAAGCCTCGGCTTCTCCATTTTGTGAAATGGAGATAATAAAAGCACCTATATGTTCAGATGATCATTATGGGTATATCACCTAATGCTGTCAATGCTTAGAATAATGTGGTGGGAAATAAATGTTCATCTTTATTGTTAATGTCTTCCTTATTATTATCCTAGGAGTGAATATCATCTAATTTCCTGCTGGGAGACAATACCAGCTCCCCTGTAAAATGTAGAACAAACATGAGTGTTATTTCAATCTTTGCTTGCAGCTCTCATGCCCTACCCTCAAGCCAAAAGGCAAGCGTTCATCAATGACTCAGAGTCACAGGATCAAGGCAGAATATCAGCTTCCTTCTGCCTTTCAGCTAAAAGTCATTTTCCAGAGGAGTTAAGGTGCCCCAGTTCATCTAAATATTTCAGTTTCTGTCTGAATGTTTGCCAGCCTGTTAGGACAATGTTTGTAACAAGGAAGATAAAATGTGTATTTGGAAAGAATGTGAGTGAGTGTGTGCATATGTGTGGGTGTTTTTAAATGTCTGTATAAGGGAACTCCTGATTCAGTATATGTCTGTGCTGGGGGCAAAGGCTGTCTCATGCAAGCCTCGTTAGGAGGATGACTGGTTGAGCGCCAGACTCAGATTATCACAAATGGATGCAGAGGGAGGCTGAAAATCAGGCCTCCTGCCCACTCAGCACTTCTTGGCACTAGCCCCATCTCAGTCATCTAATGCCGTTCTTGCATTAGAGACTGCAAACACAATTGACTTCTATTACTTATAAAGCCAACCACTTTACTTCATTTAGACATTTAGGATGGATTTCAGAGATTTCTGAGATGCTGGACAGGACAACCAGCCCCAACCAGTCGGTCGCTCCAGTCACCACTCAAAGAGCATAACAAGAAAAGAATACTCATTCATTCTACATGCAGCATCCAGTCTCCATCAGCACACAGTTTTAAAGGTTGTTATTTCTGCATTTGAGAGGTATGGCCCAAATACACATATCCTAGAATATTATTTTTTAGTCATATAGTCATTTGATACATATTCAAAGTTCTGTCTCCATTCTAGGCCTGAGCATATAAAAATAGATTACATAATGAAGTTGCTTTCAGGATGCTCCCAATGTATCACATGGAAGAGAAAGGCAAAGAAATTGGAATAATACAATGGTGCCAGTGTTGTGAGGATTACCTGCCCCCTCAACAAAATGGTATTGAAAGTCAAAAGGAAGGTATGAGAGACTGAGAATGGCTCATAGTTGAAGGAATGTCTGAACCAAACCCTAAAGGGGCCCGATTTTGTAGGAAAAAAAAATGAGATGAAGAATGTTCTAGGCAGAAGAATATTGTAGAAGAGTCCCAGAAGTTCAATTCAGGTAGACCTTTGATTAAATTCCACGAAAACTTGCTTGATCTTGGGCAAGTTACTGCATCTCCCTGAATCTCAGCTTCCTCCTTTATAAAACAGCTGCCTAGGATTATGGCAGGGATCAAATGGTCACATAAGCAAATAGCCAAGAGAAATATGACCCATGGTAGAATTCATGGGCTGGTGCCTGTTATTATTAGGTTGATGTGGCTGGAGCTGCAGAAGAAACAGAACAAAGCACCTTGAGTGAGGATTTGTCCTGTGGACAAAAGGCTCCCACTGATGGTGTTAAGCCAAGGAGTGACTTGTTCATATTTAGGTTGAAAATAGTTATCAAGAATGGTGAGGTTAAAGTGGGCCTGAAGGGGGAACCAGGGAAGCAGATGAAAAAAAAAACTTAGAAAATACTGTTTATCCTTTGTTGTAAAAGGACAAATTTTATAAATATAAACCTTCGATCACAAGATCCTTTTTTCCTATCCTGGAGCATTTTCTATGGAACATTTAAGCTACCTTTAAGGCTACAATTTAAATCCCATTACATATTTTGCCCAACGTCTGTATTACTTTTCCACCATGGAAGAACTGACTTACAAGTCAATATAAAAGTTATGAGTCAAGAGGACAGTTGGTTTCTACTCGCAGTGTTTCACTGTCCCTGCCTTTTCACATCAAGGCCTGAGTAGAGACAGACCAACTGTGTAATCCAGAGTAGAGGCATTTCTCTGGCATTTCTCCTTTACCTCCAAAATGTCCTAGTGGGAGAACTAGGTTAGACTGTTTTCTCAACATTTTTTTAGGGTGCATCCTTCCTGCAAAGAAAAAACAAATCAATTCTAAAAGCAGTATGTGTACATGAGTGCAGTGAGACTCCATTACGGGGCTCAAAGATCACCTCCTGGGAAACGGTCCCTTACACATTCTCACCCTGAGCCCAGATGGCCACTCCCTGCCATGTAAATGTAAGTAACACCTACTGCCTCATTAGTTGCATGGTGTTACAATTAATTCTCTGTTCATCCCTGCCTCCTCAACTAGACCAAGAGCTCATCCAAGTCTGGGATAAGATCATAACCATATATTTCCACCACTAGGCACAATGCCTAGCACCTAGTAGATAGGAGACAAGGTTTGTTGAGTGACTAATGGGCCTACTCTTATTTCAAAGCCTCCCAACTTTCAATTTTCACTAGAGTGACCTGAGGTCTTAAACATCATCAGGGATGTGAATATACAAATGAGGGAACCTCAGGGATAAATACATGCTTCTAATTATTCCATCTTCTGCTGTTCTGTACACATGAAGAAGAATGCTACTCACTCATAGAAACCGATGTGGGTTAGTGAAAACTAAGTATGTGTAGATTCTGTTTCTGGCACTCAGAAGCTGTGGGGAGGAGGCTAGCAGATGCTCTTTGCATCCTTCTTGTCATCAGTCTCCCAGGTGAGGGGCTATGTTAGTTGTGTTTGCATTTACCTGGTTTACTCGGGCTGGAGCTATTCCTCATGGATATCCATGAACTTCCCCTGAATCTAGGCATATTTGCATTTGTACCCTCTCTGTGAAGAACAGATCCCTTGACTTTGTCATTTTCTAAGGCAGAAGTCAGGCAACTATGGTCCACAGGCCAAATTCAGCCCACAGTCTGTTTTTATAAATAAAGTTTTATTGGAATATAGCAACATCAATTTATTTATTTACTTTCTATGGTTGCTTACACACTAGAACAGGAAAGTTCCATAAATGTCACAGAAGTGTATGGCCTGCAAAGTCCAAAATATGTACTATCTGGCCCTTTACAGAAAATATTTCCTGACCCCTGCACTAGTGTTTGACTTTAGTTGTACTAGCGGTAGTGACCACGTGCAGCCATGGTGCTGAACACCTGATACCCAGTATCTCACTGAATCTTCACCACATCCTTAGAACGTAGCCACTATGATGATGCTCTTTTTGTTGATTAACTCATTTATTGAGCACCTGCCATATGGTAGGCTCTGTGCTAAGCACTGAGCCATCACAGTAAACAAGGCAAATACAATTTCTGCTGAAATTTAGCTTCCAGTCTTGGTTCCATGATTCAAGACTTCTGGGCTGTGGCCCAGGGCTACTCTTACCTATTACCTTTTGAAAGCTCCTCCATGCAACACACTTCCCCCGCCCCCATACTTGTTGTCTAAAAGCCAGTGCCCCTAATGGGTCCAAACCAAAACCAACACACAATAATCCATGACTTCCCAAACTTCCTCCATGGGTTGGTTTAGGCTGTTAGAGGAACATCCTCTTCCCTGACATACCACAGCCTGACCACCAGTGGGTGTTCGCCACATCCGGCCTGACCTCCAAGATGCTCATCACTTCCCGCTGATGACCCTCTGAGACCAGTGGACTGATGAGGAGCCCAGGCTGAGCCTCCCACAGCAGCAGCTGGATCTCTGGGCCTTATGCTGGGGAGGACCTTCAGCTGACTCTTCACCAAAGAGGTCTTAAAGGAGATCTGCACCCTTCCACGGAGGGTGGCTGGGACTTCATCCATCCACCGCCATCAGCTTTGGTTTCTCGTCCCTTTTTCCAGCATCTCTGGAGAAACCTGCTTTACTTCCCCCCTTTGTTTAAATGGCCCAGGATTTAAAAAAAAAAAAAATGCTCACAATGCTAAATTGCTGCATAGGAGGAAGACAACCGAGGGAGAGGAGGGCAGGAGAAAAGGCGTGATCATCCCTGCCCAGGCTGCTCTGAGCAGATCCTAATTAGAAGGCTGGCAGAGCGGCCCTCTGCAGGAAACCCGGATCATTAGCCCTGGCACCATGCACATTCTGACTGCAATATGCGGCCACGGCTGCCACGCTGGCACCATGCGGACCCTGCTCTTGGCTTCTGTATCAGAACAGATGTCCAAAAGTGGTTTTTGATTTTGTTTTTTTGTTTTCGGTGTTTTTGAGTTCTTTTTTTTTTTTTTTTTTTTTTTTTTTTTTTTTTTGCATTACATGACCTGCCAGAAATTTCTTTTGCGAGGATAGTTTTCGATGAGTCAAAGGAGTAAGACAAGTCAAGAGAAATTTAAACAGTGCTTATGTGGGCTCTCTGGATGAAAGATAAAGAGGAGATGACAAAAGAAGCTGGATTGCTCTACTGGAACTGGAGAAGTTGACCAAGTTGACCAAAAGGTTCTTCCCAACATTGCCTTTCTTGGTAGTGGAAATACTTCTTCAGAATCCATCCGCCCCCTTAGCTCGTGCATTAATAGACACCAGCAATTTTGGCTCCTGAACACCTCTCAAATCTGCCCACTACTCTGTATGTCCACTGCTGGAACCCTAATCCATGCCACTGTTGTCATTCATCTACACTAGGGCTTGGCAAACAGGGTTTCCTGAGGATTCATTATAATAGTATGTCTACATGTGCCTCACACATGTATGTAAACATGTGTGCTCACAAATGTATAAAACATCGTAAGTTTCTACAGAAAGCCTTCCCTTTAAGTTAGAAAATACAAAGTGACTCCTCCATGTTATCAAAGGGAAACCTGAGGGGGAAAAGTTGTTAAATGTGTCACTGAATATTTCAGAATAAATGGAACCAGATCCAAAATTGCAACGTAGGCTTCCTGCATTCTACTCATGACTCCAGGCAAATACGGACCATATTGTCTACCAAAAAACTGGGGCATGTCAATTGGCCAGCAAAAGAATGGAATATTTTAAAAATCAGGACTATTGTAGAAAATCCCAATTGCGTGGTGGCTATATCTGTAACATTACAATTTGGTAAATTTTTTAAAAGTGAATTGATATACCAAACCCAGCCCACCCAACTTGGCATAGAAAGTAAAGGTATGTGCCTTCTATTTGGGGGTTGGCTTTGAAACTGAGACCACATGATATCAAAACATTCAATTAAAATTTTATTTGTCCAGATGTCTGACCATATAATACCAACAACTTGTTTGACTAATGTTTTAAATTTAATTGACCAGATGTTTCTGGTGGTAGGTGTCTTAATGACTAGGAGAAGTGTTTGTGGAATTGAATCAAATTTCTCTGAGAATAGCCAGCCTCGCTGGAAATTGGAACTTAAATAATGTCACTGCAATGAGCCAGAGCTTGTCAAAAGTTCCAAAACTATCTCATCTGCATACCTGGTCAATTAGGAAAGTGTGTTCTTCCACTGGTTTAGCAATCAACAAACCAAACACAGTTAAACAAAAACAGTTATTCAAAGAGTAGAAAGTGAGTGGATTTAGGGACAGAGGTCTCAGATTCAATACCAAGTAGGCCATTTACTTCTAGTAGAATAACAAAAAAAACAGCAACATCTATGGAGGGCTTCCTGTGTAGTGAGTGTTTCACATGGACTCATTTAACTTGTACAGCAACCCTCATCTGTTTTACAGATGAGAAAGTCAAGAGACCTAAGCATTAAGTAACACACCCAAAATTCACCGCTGGAGAGCCACGAAGGTGAAATTAGTTCCCAGGCACTCTGAGCTGTCAACTGCCCGTCTATATTGTGTGATTTGGAGCTTGTTAGAACCTCAGTTTCCTTCTCTGAATGCCATCCCCATCTTAGAGAGTAGCCATAAGGGTAGTCACAACTAGAAGATGGCCTGGCATTTATACAGCACTCTGTGCATCATGAGTGAGTACCCCATAAATATTAGTTACTAAATCCAGATAACAGTTGATTGTAAGTACTTGCATATTTCTGCATCTTCTCTCCAAGACAATGAAATGGACTGGGTCCCTGAAGTCCAGTGGCTTTCTCTTTAACACAAAAGCACCAGCCTTTTGCTGCTCAATACTGTAGTAGAGGAGGCCTGTGGCCACCGTACCATGTCTTTTTCCATAGCATCTCCTTCTGCTGTTCCCACAACCTTGGGATTCCCCAGCCATCTGTATGAATCACGTTAATGTGGAGACTTAACACTCGCAGGCATGGAATGTCAGAAGGGGGCTGGTTGAAACCCACACACGAGGATGCTCCGAGAATGTGCAGACAGTGAGGAGCACCAGGATCCAAGGTGAGATTTCATGAAGACACCCACAGGTGTACAGAACCTGCTCTGGGAGGCCCTGACAGGTGGACAGATCTGAGATCTCAGGAGGTCTTTGCACTGGATTCACTTCTATGTATCCCTTCCTTCCCAAATCTTAAGTGAGTGACTCTCATGTGCAAGATACAAAGGCAGTGTCTGTGGTGAATAAGATAAACTCTCTGTTCCTTACCTTCCAGAGGGGAGTGCAAACAATGAGTGGTATTTTAATAAGTTTACTAATATGCTAATATTAGTAATATTAGCATATTAGTAACTATAAGTTACTATAACTAGTAAACTATAAGTTTACTAATATTACTAATATTTACCTTAATAAGTTTACTAAAATGATTTAGAAACACAGCAACAATTTTGCCTTTTTTCTAAAATCAACAACCTCTATCCTAGAGGACTGTCATAAGAAGGGCTAAATGATATAAACTATAATAATATGGAAATTAAATGATTTAAGAGAGGATGAGAGTCTGAAGCCATAAATAAGGCTGGGGACCAGAGAGGAAGCCAGAGATGGAGGGCATTCAATATAAGCTGGGATGTCAATGAGAAAAGGGAGGCAGCCACATGCATAATTGGTGGAAAGCACTCTAGACAGAGGAAACAGCCAGTGCAAAGGCTCTGAGGCAGTGTAAGTGTGACATGTTATTGGTCCAGAAGGAAAGTCAGAAGCCGGATTGGAGGGGCCAGACAGAGACAAGCAAAGACCAGGTTATCCATAGCCTGGTGGACCTTCGTTGAATGTTTAGATTTGAGCCTCAGTGTGATTTGGGGGCATGGAGGGCTTTGAGCAGTAGAGTCTCATGATCTCCTTTATATTTTCTAAAAGTTTACCCTGACTTCACCGTTGTGAAGGTAGACAGGGAGGGATAAGGAGCTGGAGGCTATAACAGAATTGCAGGAGAAGGCCAGGCATGGTGGTTTACACCTGTAACCCCAGCACTTCGGGAGGCCATGGCAGATGGCACAGTCAGAAGTTCAAGCCAAGCCTGGCCAACAAGGTGAAACCCCATCTCTACTAAAAACACAACAATTAGCCAGGCATGGTGGCGTACGCCTATAGTCCTAGCTACTTGGGAGGCTGAGGCAGGAGAATCGCTTGAACTAGGGAGGTGCAGGTTGCAGTGAGCCAAGATTGCACCACTGCGCTCCAGCCTGGGTGACAAAGTCAGTGAGACTCCATCTCAAGTAAAAAATAATTGCAGGGGAGATGATGGGAGTTTGCACAAAGGCATCTAGAGGCAGCTGAATTTGTGTAGGAACTTAGCAGTAGGCACTGCTGGGGTTCATGGTCCAGATTCCAGGCCTAGAGAGATGGCCTGATGAGACCCCAAGGCCACAGTAGATTGGTCCAGATACAGGCAGGACAGACATCCAGCAATAAGATTCGTCCAGATATAGGCAGGACAGGCATCCAGCAATAAGATTCGTCCAGATATAGGCAGGATAGACATCCAGCAATAATACCCAGGGGATGAGGACAAATTTGCTCAGTGCATGTGTTGAACATGAGAAAAAAAGGAAGTAAGTGCAGAGACAGATGTGGGGAAGTGAAATAAAGGCAATGATAACAGTGCTGGTGGTGGTAAAGAGGAGAAGGGGGAGGAGGAGGAGGATATGAAGGGAATCAGAAAGAGAGCAGGATGGAGAGGTGCTGTCTGAAAACTCTTGCACTCTCAAAAGTCTGGCTGTGCTTCCTGCAGTGGGTTCCAGATTGAAGGACAACTGGATGCTCATGACCTTGTTTAAGTCTCATGCAGCTCTGCCACAAGACAGTGGTAAGAGGAAACTGAGCCAGAAAGCAGTCAGGGGTCCAAGGTCAATCCGCGGCAGGGCTGGGTCTTAACAGAGGACCTTGTTTCTCCTGGTCCAGATGACCCTTCCCTGAAGGAACGGAGAGTTCTAATCCATTGTGATAATTTCAGCTGTCACTGGACATAGCTAGGTAGTGGCTGAGGATGGAGATGACACCATGGAGAAGAGCAAGGCTTGTCAGTGTGGCTGCTGATGTCATTTCCAATCCCAAGATTCACATGTATAGAATCTACATTTATAAAATACTATCTTAAAAGTCATAATCTGATCAAATCTCCATTTAAGGTATTATATAAACATATAAATAATAGCAATAAAACCAAAAGAGAAAAAAAATAAATTTATTATTAGAAAAAAGACAAATTTCTTGCTGTTTCAGATTATATTGTGGATTTATTAACAAGAAAACTACTGTAATAACACTACCTAAAAATAGAATAAAATGGAAGCAGCTAACTCATAAGAGTCATGTTTAAATGATCCACAGTCGTAGAACTTTACCTTAGAATTCTAGCTCTACCTGGTTTATATTTAAGCCATTTACTTAATAGCAGTAAAAGTAAAAGAAAAACAATTAAAATGATTTTAGTTGACAGAAAAAAACATCTTGTGGTTCTGGATCTTCAGAAGTCTACTCATTGGGGATAGGGTCAACTTGGAGATGACTCACTTCTGCTTTCAGACCATGTGGGCAGTGTTTGGTCCAGAGATCTTTCCTGTGGCTAGTGGAGAATGTGCCCAGCCAGGGAAATCCCTCAGTGGGGAAGACCCCTAGGCAGTTTCTTCCAAGCTTTCTTGGGATAGAGGGAAGTTCAGTGTATCCCCTTCTCAGGAGATGTACCTTGGAATATCTCTGGGACATCTACCATCTGACTAGGGTACTGGGTAGAGAACAAAGACTGGGTGAGCAGCACACTGTTCTGGTGGGAGGGCTGGATCGAAAGGAGACTCTGGGCCATGACCAGTTCCAGGAGCAACAGAACTGCTCTCTCATGCTCTTGAAAAGGAGCTGCAGTGTCAGAACAAAGTTGACCTGATAGAAGTTTCCTTCTCCTGGGAGGATGGCATCTGCCCACAGCGGGCACTGGATCCTGGATCTCCATCCCTCCACAGCCCATGATCCTCCTTCCTTAGTGATCTGGTCCTCCAGAGCATTCCCTCATGATCTCACAGGACTCTAATAAATGCCCCATTTGCAACAATGGAGACTTAAGGATGCTTTTCAAAACTTATACCACCTTTCTCAATTTGTTTTGTCTCAGGGATGCATTCTCTTAACTTATGAAGGTGTCTTTAAAGCAACAGAACTCTCAACACCTCTTGAGATTTTTCTCTCATAGGAAATAAGCTGGCTTCAATAATAGCCGGCATATTCTTTTGAATTTTTCTGGAAAAATTTTGGATTGCATTTACAGGTGCCTGGCTTATCACATGCATGGCTGATCTTGTCATCTGCTTTTGAAAGATTCCTTTCTATCTTTACAGGGTAAATTCAAAAAAAAACAAAAATTCTCTCTAAATCGTACATTTAGTGAAAATTTGTTTTCTCCCCTTGATGCAACTCTGAAAAAACTTGGAAGCTTCCTCTGAAGTAGTTGCCTCTGCCTGTGTTTATTTGTTTGTTTGTTTCTCTTGACTTCAGTAAAGCTTTACTAGTTTAGAGACTTTTCAATGATCTTAAAGTGCAACAATTATTTAATCTTTTTTGGTTAATTTCATGTAAATTATAATTTCTTTATTCTTCAAGAGATCTTAAATAAGTATTTAACTCAATCACATCAATTGTTACATTCAAAACTCATTTGGACTCATGTTGTACATGGCCTCTGTTTTCTTTCAAAAAAAAAAAAACAACTTTTAAGTTCAGGGGTACAAGTGCAGGTTCGTCACATAGGTAAACTTGTGTCATGAGGGTTTGTTGTACAGATCATTTCATCCCCTAGATATTAGGCCTAACATCCATTAGTTATTTTTCCTGATCCTCTCCCTCCTCCTACCCTCCATCTTCCAGAAGGCCCCAGTGTGTGTTGTTTCCCTCTATGTATCCATGTTTTCTCATCATGTAGCTCCCACTTGTAAGTAAAAACATGTGGCATTCAGTTTTCTGTTCCTGTGTTAGTTTGCTAAGGATAATGGCCTCCAGCTCCACCCAAGTCTCTGCGAAGGACATGATCTCATTCATTTTTATGGCTGTATAGTATTCCACGGTGTATATGTACCACATTTTCTTTATCCAGTCTATCATTGATGGGCATTTAGGTTGATTCCATGTCTTTGCTATTGTGAATAGTGCTGAAATGGACATACACATGCGTGAGTCTTTATAATAGAATGATTTATATTCCTTTGGGTGTGTACCCAGTAATGGAATTGCTGCGTGGAATGGTACTTCTGTCTTTAAGTCTTTGAGGGATCACCACACTGTACTCCACAATGGCTGAACTAATTTACATTCCCACCAACAGTGTATAAGACTTCCTTTCTCTCCACAACCTTGCCAGTGCCTGTGACTTTTTTTACTTTCATGGTCTCTGTTTTCTGGTGGCTTCCAGCCTTGCACCATTTATGCTGCCCCCACCAAAGCAGGATCCCAATCACTCAGCTCCTGCAGGTGTCCACCCAGAGATGTGGCCTTTCTTATTTCCTAATATTTTTCTCTTCTGAATAATAAGTTTACTCTCTCATCCTTTTGTTCTCTCAGCATCTTGAGAAAGCCACTTCAGATTTCCCTGAAGACTGGAATTCACCTTCAAAGAATTTTTTTAGAGCTGCCTGAAACGGCTCTTCATTTTTCTGATGAATTTTGAACAATGCCATGGTGGGAACTACTTGCTTTTGCATTTTTCAGATTTGTCTTGAAATAACTGTAACTTTATGGAAATATCAACCTTATAAAATCTATTTTTCTCTGGTAGTAAAATAAATAACATAAAAGTTACCATTTTAATCATTTTAAGTTCATTCACATGGTTCTGCAACCGTCACTGCCATCTATCTACAGAACTTCATCTTCCCCAATTGAAACTCTGTACATATTAAACAATAACTTCTCTTCCTTCCAGCCCCTGGCAACCAACATTTCTCTTTCTGTTTCTATGATTTTGATTACTCTATTCCATATAAGTGGAATTAGTATTTATCCTTTTGTGACGGGCTTATTTCACTCAACAAAATGCCCTCAAGATTCCTCCATGCTGTAGCACATGTTAGAATTTCCTTCATCTTGGAGGCTAAATAATATTCCATTGTATGAACATACCACATTTTGTTTATCCATTAATCTGTCAATCAATACTTGGACTGCTTCCATCTTTTGGCTATTGCGAACAATGCTGCTTTGAACATAGATGTACAAATATCTGTTCAAACCCCTGCTTTCAATTCTTTTTAGTATATACTCAGAAGTGGAATTACTGAATCGCATGGCAATTCTATTTTTAAGTTTTTAGGGAACCTCCATACATAATATTTTACATTCCCAGAAACAGTGCTCAAAACAGTGGTCAAGGGTTCTGATTTTTTCTTAACCTTGCCAACACTTGTCATTTTGTGGTGTGTGTATGTGTGTGTGTGTTTTATTGTTTTGATAATAGCTATCCTAATGGGTATGAAGTGGTATCTCACTGGGGTTTTGATTTGCATTTCCTTAATTATTAGTGATGATAAGATCTTTTCATGTGCTTATTGTTCATTTATATGCCATTTTTACAAAAAATTCTATTCAAGTTCATTGCCAATTTTTTTAATTGGGTTATTTGTTGTTGAGTTGTGAGAGTTCTCTATATTTTCTAGATATTGACTTCTTTTCAGACATATGACTTGCAAATATTTTCTCCTATTTCATGGACTGTGTTTTTACTGGTGTAAAACTGTGTTTTTACTGTGTTTTACTGACTGGTGTAATGGTGTCCTTTGATATCATCCAATTTATCTATTTTCATCAACTTGTTTTAAATGTTGAGATTCATCTTCTTTTAGTATTTGTTGGAAAGTGTCTGTTCCATACGCAAATAAAGATGTCTATCTTTCTAGTTCTTTATTGATGATCTCCAGTTTTTATATATTGATACTTCAGTGTCCAAACTGGCTTCTGTTGAAGTTAAATGCAAATTTGCTCTCAATTATTCTGAGCTTCCGAAACATATGTAATTTCTCTTCCAGAAGGACAGAGGCTCAGGTGCCAGTTTATCTCTACCTGAATGAAGTCAGTCCTTTTTTTTATTCACCAAATCTACTGACACCTTGAAAAAGTCAGTTCTTTTCTTTTTTTTTTTTTTTTTTTTTTTTTGAGATGGAGTTTCACTCTTGTTGCCCAGGCTGGAGTGCAATGGCACCATCTCGGCTCACCACTACCTCTGCCTCCCGGGTTCAAGCAATTCTCCTGCCTCAGCCTCCTGAGTAGCTGGAATTACAGGCATTTGCCACCACACCTGGCTAATTTTGTATTTTCAGTAGAGACTGGGTTTCTCTATGTTGGTCAGGCTGGTCTCGAACTCCCTACCTTAGGTGATTCGCCGGCCTCAGCCTCCCAAAATGCTGGGATTACAGGAGTGAGCCACCAGGCCTGGCCAAAAGTCAGTTCTTAATAATGACAAATCAGATGACAGCCAACACCACTATCTCACATAGCAATCTATGGGGCCCTGGACCTGGTCTATCATCCCCTGACAGTGCTGTCATCACCCAGCATCCTCTCTCCACGACCAGCCATCAGCTACCACAGATCATCACAGCCATCGGCAGCTTTTCCGTGGTCCAGGGGCCACTGTGGAGTCATGTCAGGGTTCCTGAACCCTACTGGCCACCACAGACTTTGGAGAATACCAAGAGCATTTATCTTGGAACCAAATATTTATAGTAAGTATTTACTTTATGCCAAATATTTTCAAAAGCTAACTATAGAATGAAGTACAAAATGCATTAGGAACCTTTCTCCCCTGTTCTATGTAACAGGCTTATGTTGCTAAAACTCTTCATTGGCCTCCAGGGGCCAAACTTCTTTAAAAAGTAATTTGTACTTTTTGGGGCAAAGACATAAGAGATGACCCACTGTGAATACCTGATAAGTGACTGCTTTTTAGTAATATAAAACAAGTGATATAAACTCCCTCACAATTAAGAAGTTGAAGGGAATGTTGATGACCTCAGGTATAGCTAGATTCAGGGTCAAATAATTTTACTCAAGCACCTTCTGTCTTGTGCCACATCTCACTTGCGCTTCCCTGAAAATTTCTGTACACACAAAAACCTGTACAGGCATGTTCACAGCAGCTTTATTTGTAACAGCCAAACTCTGAAATCTGCCCAAATGCCCTTCAATGGTGAATGGTTATACATGCATGCAATGGAATACTGTTTAGCAATGAAAAAAGAATGAATTGTTGCTATATGCATCAACTCTGGGTAGTCTGCTGAGTAAGAATTTCTCCAAAAGGTGACTTACTGTATAATTCCATCTCTATAATACTTTCAAAATGATGACATTTTATAAACAGTGGAGATATTCTAAATTTCCAGGAGTTAGGGATGGGAGAGAGGGAATTTCAAAGGAACAGGAGGGAAGTGGTTATAAAACAACAACCCAAGGGGTTCTTGCGGCATTAGAACTATTTAGAATTTTAATTGTGATAGGGGGTTCAAGGACCTACACAGGTGATAAATTGTATGAAACTTAGTAACACACACACATATATAGAAATGAGTAAATAAAACTGGATAAAGCTAATATAGTGTATCAATATTAATATCCTGGTTGTGAAATTATACTATAGCTTTGCAAATGTTATCATTGGGGGAAACTGGGCAAAGTTTACAAAGGATCTCTCTATGTTAGTTTTACAAATGCATGTGAATCTACAACTACCTTTATCAGAATTTTAATTAAAAGAAAACTGTTGTCTGTATTTGCGTGGGCCTTTTTCTGACTTCTCTTTTCTGTTACACTGCTTTTTGTATCTATCTCTCCACCTAGTATCATAGAGTCTTGATTAATGTAACTATATAATAAGGCTTGAAATTGGGTATATTAAGTCCTACAGTTTTATTCTACTTCATCAAAATTGTTTTTTAGCTATCTAGTTACCCTCCCTTTCCATTTAAGTTTTCGGATAATCTCTTCAATATCTATACAAAAATGCTATGATTTTTATAAGAATGTTAAACTAACTTATCAACTGGAGGAGTAGTAACTACTTGACTATATTGTTTTCCAATCCATGAACATGGTCTGTCTTTTCATTTACTTAGATCTTCTCTGATTTCTTTAATCAGCATTGTGTAGTTTTCAGCATACAAGTCCTGTATATATTTTGTTAGATTTACACCTAAGCACTTCAATATTTTAATGATTTAAATGATACTTGAAACTTCTGTTTTCACATGTTTACTGTTAACATACAAAAATATAATTAACTTTTGTATGTTGAGCTTGGACCCTGCAACTTTGCTTAATTTGCTTATGTCTAGCAGTTTTTTTGTCGATTACTTGGGATTTTCTATGACAATTATCATGTCATCTATTTCTAATTTGTGTACTCTTTATTACATTTCCTTGATTTATTGAGCTGGCTAAGACTTCCACTACTATGTGGAATAGCAGTGGTAAGAAAACTCCTTGTCTCACTTTCATTCTTGGAGGAAAAATGTTTAATCTTTTACCACTAATATTACATTAAACATTTTTTTGTAGGTGTTCTTTAGCAAGTTAAGGAAGTTCTACTTTATTTCTGTTTTTCTGAGAGTTTTTATCATTAATGGTTATTGAATTTTGTCAAAGCTTTTTCTACAGCCATTAATATTATCATACAATTTTTATCTTAGTATGTTAATGTGGGGATTACATTGATTTTTGGATATTAAAACAGTCTTGGCATACTTGGAATAAACCCCCCCTTAGCCATGTTTTATAATTCTTCTTACATGTTGCAGAGCTCCATTTGCCAACATTTCATAATAACTTGTTTCTATATTCATGAGAGATATTGGTCAACACTTTTTTTTCTTTTTTGCCTTTCTTGTCTGGTTTTGGTATCCAGATAATACTGGCTTTATAAAATTATTTGGGAACAGTTCTCTTTTATTTCCTGGAAGAGACTGCATAGAATTGACATTAAATCTTGTTTAAACATTTAGTGGAACTCTCCAGTGAAAACACTTGAACCTGAAGATTTCTTTCTGATGGCTTTAATTATATATACCTTTAATTTTTAATGGTTATTGGGCTATATAAATTATCTATTTCATACTAGGTGAGCTGTGTTAGTTTGTATTGTCTAAGGAATGGTCCATTTCATCTATGTTCTCAAATTTGTGTGTCAAGTTCTTCATTATATTTCATTGTTATTCTTTTGCTGTCTGCATGGTCTGTAGAGATACCCTCTGTTTCATTCCTGATATTGGTAATTTTGTCTTGTCTATTTTTTGCTCCATCAGTCTTGTTAGAAGTTTGTCAATTTTACTGATCTTTTCAAAGAACCAGTTTTTTGTTTCATCGATAGTCTCTATTGCTTTTCTGTTTTTAATTTTATTGATTTCTACTCTGATCTTTGTAATTTCTTAATTCTTCTGCTCACCTTGGTTTTATTTTATTCCTCATTTTCTAATTTCTTGAGAAGACAACTGAGATGATTTATTTGAAATCTTTCCTTTTTTCAAAATAAAACGTTTAGTCCTGTAAATTTTTCTCTCAGCATTGCTTTAGCTGTGTCCCAAACGTTTTGATACATTATATTTTTATTTAAAATTTCCCATGTATTTTTAAATTTTTCTTGAGACTTCCTCTTTGAATCATAAATTATTTAGAAGTATGCTGTTTTGTTTCTAAGTGGTTGGAGAATACTTTGTTATCTCTTTCTTTAATTTCCAGTTGATTACACTGTGGTCAGAAAAAAACAATCTACGTAATTTCAATTGTTTTAAACTTGTTGAGTTCTGTCTATGATCCAAGAGATGTTCTATCTTTATATACATTTCATGTGAGCATTTAAAAAAAGTATACAGATGCTCCTTTACTTACAATGGAATTACATTCTGATAAATCTATCATAAGTTGAAAATATTAAGTTGAAAATGCATTTAATACACCTAACCTATCAAAATTATAGCCTAGCCTAGCCTACCTTAGATGTGCTTAGAACACCTTATATTACCCTATTGTTGGGCAAAATCATCTGGCAACACAGCATGCTGTAGAGTATCAGTTGTTTACCCACATAATTTGGCTGACTGGGAGCTGGGGTTTGCTGACCAGCATCATGAGAGAGTACTGTACTTCATATCACTAGGCTAGGAAAAGACCAAAATTCAAAATTCAAAGGACGGTTTCTACTGAATACATATCACTTTTACACCATGAGTCATGAGTCAAGCCATTATAATTTGGGGACCATCTGTATAATGTGCTATTGTTGGATGGAATGTTTTATAAATGTCAATTAGATCTTGTTGGTTGTTAATGTTTTTGAATTCTATGTCCTTCCCGATTTTATGTCCAGTTGTTCTATCATTTGTTAAAGAGGGGTATTGAAGTCCCCAACTCTAATTGTGAATTTGTCTATTTCTTCTTTCAATTTGATCAACTGTTGCTTTCCTTACTTTATGTCTCTATTTTTCATTGTATATACATTTGGGTTTGCTATGTCTTCCTGATTCACTGATCCTTTTATTATTATGTGATGTGCCTTTCCGTCCCTGATAGTTTTCTTTGGTCTAAAGTCTATCTGAGAACTAGAAATACCATTTGACCCAGCCATCCCATTACTGGGTATATATCCAAAGGATTATAAATCATGCTGCTATAAAGACACATGCACACGTATGTTTACTGCGGCATTATTCACAATAGCAAAGACTTGGAACCAACCTAAATGTCCAACAACGATAGACTGGATTCAGAAAATGTGGCACATATACACCATGGAATACTATGCAGCCATAAAAAATGATGAGTTCATGTCCTTTGTAGGGACATGGATGAAATTGGAAACCATCATTCTCAGCAAACTATCGCAAGGACAAAAAAACAAACACCGCATGTTCTCACTTATAGATGGGAATTGAACGATGAGAACACATGGACACAGGAAGGGGAACATCACACACTGGTGACTGTTGTGGGGTGGGGGCAGAGGGGAGGGATAGCATTAGGAGATATACCTAATGCTAAATGACGAGTTAATGGGTGCAGCACACCAACATGGCACATGTATACATACGTAACAAACCTGCACGTCGTACACATGTACCCTAAAACTTAAAGTATAATAATAATAGAGATAAACTTCCTGATTTAAAAAGTCTATCTGATATTAATATAATAACTGCTGCTTTCTTTTGATTAATATTTATATAGTACATAGACCTCTTTTAATTTTTTTACTTTGAACTTACCTATTTTATTATATTTGAAATTAGTTTCCTGTAGACAGCACATAGTTGGTCTTGTTTTCTAACCCAATCTTTGTCTCTTAATTGGTATATTGAGGCATTTACATTTACCCAATCTTTGTCTCATACTTGGTGTGTTGAAATAGCTACATTTAATGTGATTATTGATGGGTTAGGCTTTAAGCCTGCCATTTTATTTTGTGTTGTCTGTTTTGTTCTATCTGTTTTATTTTTTCTCTATGCCTTTCTGTGAGTTACTTGAACAGTTTTTAGCATTTTATTTCGACTTAATCATAGTGTTTTTGGGTGCATCTTTTTAAATAGCTTTTAAAAATAGCTTTCTTAAACATATATATAGCTTATCACAGTCTAGTGGTGTTGATAATTTACGAGTTCAAGTGAATTGAAGAAAACTTGCCTCTATGTTGTCTTGCCCTTTTCCATTTACAACATAATTGTCTGAACTGTTTCCTTTACATACATGAGAACCATATTAACATCAGATAGCATAGCTTTTGTTCAATCAACAAATGTAATTTAGTCAACAAACCAAAGATGAGAAGGAAAATCTATTACATTTTCTTTTATTTTTTACCTTAATACAGTCTTTGTTTTCTTTTATCCTTTTCTTTTTTGTTTAGACAAATTCCCTTTGTCTTTATTTTAGATTACATCTATGGGTAAAAAATTATCTTGATTTTTCTTTATCTGAGAGTGTCTTGATTTTCCCTTCGTTCCTGAAGGTTGTTTTCATTGGATACAGGAGTCCGAGTTGATGGTTCTTTCACTGCAGCACTTGGAAAGTACTCTGTCACTTTCTTCTGGCCTCCATGCTTTCTAATGTAAAATCCATGATCTTTTAAATTGTTTCTCCCTAATAGGCAAGTTGTTGGTTTTCTCTGACTGCTTTTAATGCTTTTAAGAGTTTTTTTCTTGTCTTTAGTTTTCAGAAATTTAATTTTGGTGTGTCTAGACATAGATTTCTTTAGGTTTACCCTACTTGGGATTCACTCAGTTTCTTAAGTATGTTTACGTCTCTTAGCAAGTTTGGGAAGTTTTCAGCCACTATTTGTTTATTCAAGTTTTTTTTCAATTGTGCTCTCTTTCTCCTCTCCTTTGGGTATCTAATAATACAAATCTTAGACTTTTTGTTACAGTGTCATAGGTGCCTAAGGCTCTGTTAATTTTTTTCAGTCTATTATGTCTTTGATGTTCAGATTCAGCATTCTCTATTGTTCTGTCTTCAAGTTCACTGATTCCTTCCTCTGTTCCCTTAATTCTACTGTTGAATCCATATATTGAGCTTTTTCTTTTGGTATGATACTTTTCAGTTCTAAAATTTTCATGTGGCAGTTATTTGTATCTTTTATTTACTAACTGTGACTTTCCTTTCTGAGGCTTTTTATTTTTTATTTGTTTTAGACACATTTATATTTGCTTGTTGAAATATTTTTATTATGGATTTTTAAACATCTTTATAAGATGCATTTAACATATTAATAATCTTGTTGGTGATGGTTTAAAAAAAAAATCTGCACGTTCGTGTTTCCAGGTTTCTGGATTCTTCAGTGCAGTGTCTTGGGTATATGAGTGAGAACGGAATCTTCTTATTTTATTTTCTTTGAGATGGAGTCTCACTCTGTCACCCAGGCTGGAGTGCAATGGCGCAAGCTCTGCTCACTGCAACCTCCACCTACCGGGTTCAAGCAATTCTTCTGCCTCAGCTTCCCGAGTAGCTGGGACTACAGGCGCCCACCACCACGCCTGGCTAATTTTTTGTACTTTTAGTAGAGACAGGGTTTCACCGTGTTAGCCAGGATGGTCTCGATCTCCTGACCTCGTGATCTGCCCGCCTCGGCCTCCCAAAGTGCTGGGATTACAGGCGTGAGCCACCGTGCCCAGCTGGGAGAATGGAAGCTTAAAGGAATTCACCATCATATCATTCCTCAGGTGTTGAGATCCTAGCCAGTCTGCCTTCTTCTCTCCTCCTGTCAGAATATTAGTATATTTGTTTTACACATAATATCCAGGATTTTTAGTTGTGCTTACTGGGAAGAACAGGGAAAAGTACATATACCCCATCTTCTCACTGCAGGAGTGTTCTCATGTGCAGGACAGACCAGGGGTGCCAAGAAACTAACACTCCAGAAGCAGCCCTTAATCAGTGATAGACAGAAGTTAGTAGATTGATACCCCAGAGTCCTCAGTCCTGGGAGCTCCAAGGCCTGTACTATACAGACTTTCTGAGATATCTAGTGAGAATGAATCACAGTTACCAATAGCAGAAACCTGTTCATCAGTGGACCCTCTGTTGACTCATTCTCTTTCCTTCTTACTTCCTATATTAGCCTGTTTTCATGCTGCTAATAAAGACATACCTGGGTAATTTATACAGGAAAAAGGCTTAATGGACTTAGACTTCCACATGGCTAAGGAGGCCTCACAATCAAGGCAGAAGGCAAGAAGGAACAAGTCACGTCTTTCATGGATGGCAGCAGGCAAAGAGAGTTTGTGCAGGGAAACTCCCCCTTATAAAACCATCAGATCTCATGACACTTATTCACTATCCTGAGAACAGCATGGGAAAGACCTAAGACCTGCCCCCATGATTCACTTATCTCCCACCAGGTCCCTCCCACAACACATGGGAATTCAGATGAGATCTGGGTGGGAACACAGCCAAACCATATCACTTCCCTACTCCCCTAACAGTGTTTTCTTGGACCCCCTCCTAAATCAACTGCTTGCACCCACATCCTTGTCTCCAAGTTTGCTTTTGGGGGAATCCAACCCAAGTCTGTTGGCTCAATGAAGTAGGCAGAGATGGTAAGGATGATCTTCTCAGTGGAGAAAATTAAGGAAAGACACATGCAGGAAATAAAAGGAAACGCTTACAATGGTTCCCAAAGCTTCATATGTTGAGTGTATAGTAATCAGTCCCTTCTCCTCATATTCCCCTAAGGGATTCCAGACTAAAGACTCATAGTATTGCTGTGTCCTTACATAACATTTGTAATACCAACAACCCCCAAAGCAGCATTGTCTGCTGACTTCAGTACGGAGCTACAGATTCCCTCCCCAGTCCTCCTATTTTGCTCATGCTTTGTGAAAGCAAAGCAGAGGTAGGAGTTCCCACCTCCCTTGCAATAACCTGGAGTTGGCCCTGGGGGCATGGCCATGGTGTTGGAGGCATCTGTATGTGCTGTGGCTGACTTTTAATAAACATTAATGTGGAGGAGGAGATTGGTTAGAGCAAAATTTGCTTCAAATTATAGCTGGCAAAGCAGAATCCAGTTATCCACGGAAAAGCTCAACTTGTGAGCGGTCCAAGATTATCACACCTTCATAAATCAGGGGGAAAGAAAAACACAACTTCCCTCTTCTCCTCCTCCCTCCTCCTACTCACACTAATGGTTTCCATCCCCAACCATGGAATGTTTTGTTTAAGGAAAAAGTTGTTTAACATAATTAGTAATTCTATTACAGTAATATATCTTTATCTAAATAAACACAACCTGCTTTCTCACCATGAGGAATTATGTGATGGAAATGGGGGAGGAGAGGATCAGGCAGAGGTTTGGAGGAACTGAGTGAATCTGCCCTGGGTTTTATGGGAGTCCTAGAATCAGAACTGCTGTCCCAGGGTAGTCCATAGGATAAGTAAATAGGCTGATAGAAGATGTGTTATCAGAGGCTGAGTCGTTTCAGCTGCTTTGCTTCAACCGCTGACATGATCCTTATTGCAAAGTGTCTCCTGATGTCCTTCCTTACAGACTCTTCCTCCTTCCCTATGAGAGAAACCTGAAAGAGTACAGGAGAACAGAGACTAATTCTGGTTAACAGCTCATCTTCTTTAAGGAGAATAGAAAAGTGGGCACAGGGAGAAATCCAACTCCTCACACCTGCATGGATGCAATTTGTGGTGCAAAAATATCCACTTAGGATTTTGCTAATCCACAAAGCACTCTCTGCCATTTGCCCCTAAATCCTACTGGTGAGAGGTGAGAGCAAGGCTTCAGGATATAGGTCAAAGACCTTGACACAAAATTCTCAACACATCAAGCTCTGAGAGCAAAAAATAACCAGGGACTTCTACTTCTCTCTACTTATTTCCTCCAGGGATTTCTCACATTTTCCTCTGGGCAGTGGAAGACAATTCACACTTTCTTCAATTAACAAATGTTGTTTTATACATAAGAGAATTTTTCTATATTATAAATATAATACAAGTTCACCTTAGAACATTTAGAAAATATCAAAAATTGTTAGGGGATTGGAAAAAATTCTTAGTTACAAGAAAACATGGCCGGGCGCGGTGGCTCACGCCTGTAATCCCAGCACTTTGGGAGGCCGAGGCGGGTGGATCACGAGGTCAGGAGATCAAGACCATCCTGGCTAACAGGGTGAAACCCTGTCTCTACTAAAAATACAAAAAAAATTAGCTGGGCGTGGTGGCGGGTGCCTGTAGTCCCAGCTACTCAGGAGGCTGAGGCAGGAGAATGGCGTGAACCCGGGAGGCGGAGCTTGCAGTGAGCCGAGATAGTGCCATTGCACTCCAGCCTGGGCGACAGAGCGAGACTCCGCCTCAAAAAAAAAAAAAAAAAAAAAAAAAGAAAGAAAAGAAAAGAAAACATATGTAATCACTTCACTGCATTTCCTCCTAGTATTTTTTCTATGTAAGATATTTTGGTTAGTTTGTTTTATCTAGTTGTGATCAAACCTTATAGAGTTTGTTGAATACCTGCTTTGGCAGGCCTGATGCTCGTCCTGGCTGAACCAGGATCCTGGTGCCCCTGAAAGGCAGATGACACCTTAGGGGTTGTAGTCCCCATCACCTCCTAGCTTGAGGCAGGCAAAGGCAAGGAGTGTTGCCCTGGCTACAGCAACTTTGATAAATTTGGGATTACCTGTGTACCTTTATTTGCAGACAATTTTGGAAGATAATCAAGTCTTTCCTAGTGGACGCTCTTCGTGATCAGAGTCACATAAGTTAGAGAACTTATCCTGATATAAAATGGGTGGAGTCAGGGCTCATTCACTGTTACCTAAGTCTATACAGGCTCCACTAGCCATAGAATTTTTTGTAGAAACACTGTATCTGTCAAAGCTCTTAGAACTGTAACTCAGAGTAGGTAAACAGCCAGCAAGTAAGCTAAGGATTTGAGAAGAAAAAGAAAAAGAAAATCCAGGGGTTAAGATACAGCTGCATCAGGGCACTTGAACAGTGTGGTCACTATGTAGTCACCTTTTCCATTGTTCAAATCTACTTTTCTCCATGTGTCATTCTCAGGCTTTCCCATTGCAAATGACTTTTTCCATGCCTCCTTGAGACCAGAGAGATCATTCCTTTCATAACATCAATTTAGGGAAGGAATTTAACTTGCCTTGTTAGGATCAAAGGCCCATGCAAGGATTCATCTGCATGTCCTGGGGAATGAGCTTCATATGACTATGCCTATGACCAGAAACACAGAGTCTATAGAACAGGAAGAGTCAACATGCCAGGCAGTCAAGAACAGTTTTCCATATTCTACTCAGAGTTCTTAGAGCACTTGGACCTTAGAAAGAGTCCCCCAGCAATGCTGCTGTAGCAGCCTCTTTACAACTCCAGAGCATATTGGGAAAATACCAGTGATGTCATCCCTTATCCAGTTGTTGGATCTGTTGAAGTACACCAGGCCCACCAACATCCATTTCCATGTCACTCCTTATTCCAGATGTGCCATATCGTATACAAAGGGATATAAAACCACTTTAAAATCCCATCTCACTTTTTATGTGGCTTTTTGAGGAGTGAGGTGGCAAAGCTCTGCCTGGAAGGGAAGAAGTTGACCAGGCATGACTTCGAGCCCTCAGGCGGCTCAGCCTCTTTAGAAAGACAAGTGGCAGGGATACAATCACTCCCACAGGCTGAGATGTTAGGGGGAAGAAGAGATGCCCTCTCTTCTCCCTCCTTTGTATCCAGCAGAACTCCACAGAGCCATTAAGCACTGGCATTATACTGGGCCTCCAGAGCTCAAGGTTCCCTTCACATTGCAAACAAATTCACTTTGGCCACTTTTCAGCAGGAGAGCAGACCAATTAGCACTCAAGACCAGAACTCGATTCAGGGTGCTGAGTTGGAGAAGAGAAGACCGTCAATGCTGTGATTTCTCTCCCACTGCCCACGCCCACCATCAGGCAAACCTGGAGCAGCACTCTCAGGTGAGATCCTCAGCATCACCAGAATATAGGAGGTTCAGGGGCCAAAGTTAAGGGAATAAGCAAGGGGTACTCAGGATTTGCAATGCAAAGTTATTACCATCCCTAGGCTGCAAGAATAATCGGAGTATGTATTATTGGAGAAGGGTCCTACAGGTGAGAGCTGTAGTCACAATGGGAGGAAGCTATTGCCAGAAACAGGACACCAAGGGGGAGTGGGGAAGAAACACTCTGACCTCTCCCTACTCCTTCCTTCCAATCACCAGCTGGAAGCTCCCACGGGCCAATCCCAATTTGGAGACAATAGCAAGGGAGCCAGTTGATGGGATCTATGGAGGTTGACTTTATAAGGTACAGAGAAGGACAGAGAGTATATGAAGGGGATAAAGCTTTGCAAACATAATAATAACATAAGGGAGAGGATGTGGAGGAAGAAGAAGAGGAAAAAGAGAAAACAGTTACCAGCACAAATCCTTCTCAATGGATATGCACTTCCCAGAGCATAGGCTGTGAAAGAATGGATCCATCATATATCATTCCAGTAGGACCCAAAGACCAATGGAAAAGAATTCATGTTCATATAAGAAAAGTTAGATTTTGAAGTCACAATACCTCCATCTTTTTGCTCTTTGCCCCCTAAAGCAATAACAATGGCTTTGGCTCCTTTCCTTCTGCAGGCATTGTGGTCAACTCTTTATGTGCCATATCCTTTTCATTCACGCAACAACTCTGCAACCTAGATATTATAATCCCCATTGTAAAGACTAGGTAACTGAGATTCAGATGAAGTCAAGCCAATATCCTGATGAGATAAGTTTTAAGTTCCAGTCCCTATTAACAATTATTATTCTGAGAATTGCCTGTGAATGGACCCCAAATATCCTTAGCCAAGCTGAGAATCATTTTTAATTCAGATCCCAGAGCCAGCTCCCAGCCTTTCTGTTCATCCTTGACACACGTATCTGCTTTTGACTCTTTTATAGACATTTCACTTTTCTTAATTGGAGCTTTATTTTTCTTCACAGATTGTTTTTGCTTTATGTTTAGTGTCAGTACCTGCCACTAGCCTGCATTTTTCGTAAGAGTGGGGGCCATGGTTCTCCTTGCACATCGTGTGGGGGCATACAGCAGGAGCTCAGCAAGCATGCATTGAATGAATGTGCCCAGTGAGCAGGGCTGAGGCCACCCAATTCTCCCCACGTCTAGCTCAGAGAAGAACCCAATAAGTATTCAGAAAATATCAAATTATGTGTCCCCCATGTTCCATTCCCTGCTGTGGTTCCTGTGTCTCTATAAATCCTACCATTCTTTAAGGCCAACTTCAACTTTTCTCTTCCCTAGAAAGCTGTTCATAGGCATTGCAGCATAATGATGAGGAGCCCAGCCTTAATATTAAAAAAGCAAGGGTTGGAATCTGACTTCATCACTTATTAGTTGTGTGACCTTAGCAAAGTTACTAAGTAACTCTCTCAGTCTCAATTATGACATCCATAAAATGGAGTAATGTGTGTTCCCATCATGCAAGGTGATGACATGTGGAAAGTATTTACAACAGTATCTCGGGTAGAGTACATGCTCATTTAAGGCAAGTTGCTGTTATGCTAACACTCAGTGAATTGCCTGAATTATTATTATTTAGCATCATCTTGTTTTCTATTGCAGCATATGTTTATTTTGTGTATCCCAGCAAGCATATGGGCTCCTCCTAGGTGAATCCTTGACATACCTTATGATCTCCTGTATTCCTAAGGGCCACATAAATTCTTGTGACATTAGAGCAGGTATTCAACAAATACATTAGTGCTGCATGAGGTTTTATTTATTATTTTCCTTTGGTTCGCTAGGGAATTTATGAAATGTATGAAAAAATAAATAAAAATAATTGTTTATAATTTCCACCACTACTCAGAATGATCTAGGTTCTTCCTTCACATACTCTTCACCCAAATACATGTGAATTATATAGTTTACATATATTACATACATAGGCTCTTTCCTCAAGTATATATGAGATTATACAGTATAAACAACCTCATGCTCTGTATTTTTCACACATTTACGGTATGTTTCCCCCATAACATCATAAACTATAATAAGCATCATTTTAAGTGACTCTATTATATAACACAACAATTTGGCACAATTTATTTAACTGGTCCCCTATGGTTGGACACTTAGGTTGTTTCCAACTTCCTGTTATTATGAATAATATTATAACTAATAGATTTGTGCATAAAATGTTTCTGCATCTTAGATAATAATAGCTGTAATAGTGAGTGTTCTACTAGAATATAAATTATACCATTTTTTACCCCATTTACTGTTCTTCCTTTTATATTCTTCTAATAGACCCTCTGCTTCTCTATAGCACTAACCACACTCATTATTATTTGTTTAAGCTCTTTCTTCCTTGATGGCTCAATGACAGGAGATATTCCCCATATCTGGCACAATGACTTGTTCAGTAAACATTTTTCGATGAACGAATAATAAATTGGACAGATCAAAGTTAGAATTTGGATTGCTGCACTTTCCATCTGTGTACATTTGAACAAGTCCCATAACCTATCTCTCATAGATGTAGAGGCTCAGAAAGCTTAAGTGATACGTCCAGTGTCACACAGCTGGTGAGCACTGGAGCATGGACTTGCACCCACATACTCTGATTCAAAGCCCAGTTCTTCCCACCCTAATGCTATCCTCTTGGCTGTCTCTGTGCACATTCAAGCCTTCTCTCCTCGCATCCTTAAATGACACTCACATCTCAGTATGTGACACCTAAGCCATTCCATGAGGCATACAATGGGCTGCCAGCTGGAGGGGATGACAGTGAGCTCTCCACAACACAGTGGAGCTCTGCAAAACTTTTAGCCAATGGCACAATTTGACTTCAAGGTCTTGAGGCTGTTGATGCCGCTGCTCAAACCAGGGAAAGACAGAATCAAGAGCGTGTCAGGTGATTAACCAAAAATACCAGCTTGATGGCAGAGCCTCTATCTGGAGTAGTCTGATTTCTGGATGAATCTGAGACCAGTGTTGACCCTTTCCTCACCAAATAACTTGTTGTCTCATTGTCCTGTAAGATTCTGAAAGAACTCTGCTGCTTTTAGGCCCATTCCGACTTAGGAGGGGCACCCAAGCCTGCACCCTCTTTCACTCACACATATCTGAGGCATTGGAGAGGTTCAGACATGAAGGAGCACTTGGATTAGTCTGAATTATCTGTTAAGACTTTTTTATTATACTTGAATTCATTTATTAGCATAATCAATACAAATTTCACTCTCAGATCCTAAGCATGCAGGAAATACAGTTACTTGGTTTTTCTAAATGCAAATTCATTCTAATTCTTAACCCCAATCCTGCGAGAATGTGGGAAATTTGACCTTACACATTATAGAGTCTTTCTCCTCTAAAGATAAATTAATTGTTTTTGCAACACAGAATCTCCTGCAGGAGCTCTCTTGGCTTTGGGTTTGTTCTATGTTTCTGTTCTGTTGTCTGAGGCTGGGACACCTGGCACTGAGAATACAGCCTCTGGGTGCTCTGTGAAACCCTGTCCCACCCCTGGGTACAATAGGGGCTGAGGCACATAATCCCGCTAAATCTGGTCCTGAAGCCCAAAACCACTATGCTGCTCTGTCTTGGGAAATTTATTCCTTTTTTGTCTCCTTCCCACCCCAAAAAGGTACTCACCCCCTAAGCTAGATATTTTCCATTTCCCCTCCAGAGCTACGCATACCACCTACTCAGTATTTGGAGACTAACCTTTAAGTTCCACATCAACCAACTCTCTTGCCTCCTGGCCTTGATTTGGGTTTGGTTAATGGGGTTACGAGTTCAGCCAATGGAAGGTGCCATATTGGAAGGTAGGAATAGAGTGAAGTAGGTGTTTTATTTCCTCAGATTCTCTCCTGTCCGGTCATCACAGATTGGGCTTCTCCCTCTACCAGGGGCCACAGCTCTTATCTGGTGGCTGGTTCTGGTTTTAGTAATCACTTCCGTACCTTGCAGATCTAGAGCTGGTAAAGGCTCCTCTCTGTTCCTAGCCATGGAGTGCTGCACCATTCTTTGTTTCTTTTAACCTTTCCCACAATTTTGTAAATTGCTCCCTCATTAAATGCATTCAGCTAGCCCATGTGCGTGTGCTGTTTTCTGTTGGGACCCTCACTAATGCTCCCTTTTCTCCTCTCCCTGGCACAATCACATCAAAGAGTTATAGTTTGTGAAACAGAAGTCGTAAACACCAAGTGCATGTGTTTTTGACATGGAATGGGGAATGGGTTGGGAGAGTACTTCCAGGCATCTTCCCATCTTATCCAACAACAAAGAGAATCAAAGCATACAGAGTTCTGGTTACCTTCTTCTTAGAGCTGGAGGAGGGGAGAATTCAATGAAAACAAAACACAACGCATATTGACACCTCGGTTATACTTTATCATCATAAACGTGGCCAAGAAAAATCAAGGAATAAAAAACTGATACTCATAGAAGTATTCAAACTATATATTATTTGTTTTGTTTTGTTTGCTTTTGGGGTTTTGTTTTTTTTGTTTGTTTTTTTTTTTTTTTGACGAAGTCTCACTCTGTCGCCCAGGCTAGCGTGCAGTGGAACGATCTCAGCTCACTGCAGCCTCTGCCTCCCAGGTTCAAGTAATTCTCGTGCCTCAGTCTCCCGAGTAGCTGGGATTATAGGTGTGAGCCACCATGCCTGGCTAATTTTTGTATTTTTGTAGAGATGGGGTTTCACCATGTTGGCCAGACTGGAAGGACTCAAACTCCTGACCTCAGGTGATCCACCCACCTCAGCCTCTCAAAGTGCTGGGATTACAGGCCTGAGCCACTGCGCCTAGCCATATTCTTTGTTTTAATATTCAATGCTGAATTTTGAATAAAAACTGTAGTTTTTTTGAAATATCTATAAATGTGTTTAAATTTATGAGGTACCTGTGTGATTTTGCTACATGTATAGGCTGCATAGCAACCAACTCAGGACTTTTGTGGTATCTATCACTCAAATAATGTACATTATACTATTAAGTAATTTCTCACCATCCTCTCCCTTCACACCCCCTCACCCTTCCAAGTCTCTGTTACCTATCATTCCACCTCTATGGTCATGTGAACAGATTTTTTAATAACCAGTGAAAACTGAGAACATGTAATATTTTTCTTTATGGGCCTGGGTTGCTTCACTTAAGATAATGACCACCAGTTCCATCCATGTTGTGGCAAAAGATGATTTTATTCTTTTTTATGGCTGACTAGTATTCTGTTATGTATATTTACCACATTTTTTAATCCATCTGTCTGTTGATGGACACTTAGTTTGATTCCATATCTTTGCTATTGTGAATAGTGCTATGATAAACATACAAGTACAGGTACCTTTTTGATATATTGATTTATTTTCCTTGGGTAGATACCCAGGAGTGGAATTGCTGGATCAATGGTAGTCCTCTTTTAGTTTTTTGAGAAATCTCCATACTGTTTTCCTTAGAGGCTGCACTAATTTACATTCCCACCAACAGTATATAAGAGTTCCCTTTTCCGCACATCCTTGCTAACATTTCTTTTTAAATCTTTTTAATAATAGCCATTCTGGAGTAGGATGATACATCATTATGGTTTCAATTTGCATTTTTCTGATGATTAGTGATGTTGAGCATTTTTTCATATGTCTGTTGATTGTTTACATATCTTCTTTTGAAAAATGTTCTTTGCCCACTTTTTAATAGGATATTTGGGGTTTTGTTGTTACTGTTGTTGAGTTGTTTGAGTTTCTTTTATATTTTGGTGATTGGTTTCCTCTTTGACACAAATCCTCTTCATCTCAGTGTCCACTTTGCAAACCCATGCAGCAAATTGAACTTGCATTCCCTTGATCTCCTAAGTTCAACATCTTCCATTCCCCACCCCACACCAGTCATCCTCCACAGGGCCATGACTATATGCAACCATCCCTCAGAACTACTTCACCTCTGATAGCACGTTTTGAAATCCCATGTTCTGGCTGTTACTTCCTTCTGCACTCTACCTTTTATCATTTTGCCTCCATTGACCCTGCACGCTTTCTCATTATTGCATCATTAAACCTATATTAAAGTGCTCTCATTCTCCATCCACTTCATGAAAGTCCAGGAGACTCCTGGTGAACCATATCAAGAGCACTGTAAGTGTCTCCTTACCTTCTAGTCCTTCTACCTTCCCCTCTTAACAAAACCCATTGACCATGCTCGGACTCAATATTTGGCCCAACAGACCTGCAGGAGAAAGTTATAACTATACACCTACTAGATTCACTGCAATGTCCTGATGTTCCTCTCAGGCCTTCACAGATGCTAAGTCATTCCTGCATTCAGCTCCCGTTGCTTACTCTGTGCTATCTGTCTCTCCTTTCCTCAAGCCTACAAACTAAAAATGCCAATAGATTTTATATCCTATTCTACATCCAAACAATTGAGAACAGCTATTCAGATCACTGTTTTAGAAGGATTGTGAGAAAAAGAGTACAAGAATTGATTAGTCGTATCTGCCACAGGCATGGGTAAGAAAGGGTGTGTGTGAGCCACTCATTCACACCATCTTGGTCCCAAACCTGCAACACTCACATTCTAAGGAGCTGCTCAGCATTCTGAGAAGACTTACACCAGATGGGGTTAGTACCTTCAATGTGTTCTCCCCATCAAAATCTCTCCCCTTCCTTATTTCTCTCCCATATCTGAGAAAATTAACATCCTTACTGAAGGCTAAGGTTAACCAATGTTCTGTACTTTTGATCTCCCTGGGATGATGTACATAGACTGATGAAGGAGTGGCACCAGCAGTGGCTGATGAAGGAGGCAGAAATATTATGGCCATTGTAAGCTGGTTTTCTCTAGGGCTCAGCAGAAAATGGGTACAAAGTAGATTATGTTCTGGGGCAGCATTTTTTTTTTTGTCTCTGAACATTGTCATCCCCTCCTCCCAAGAAAGATTGACTCTAGCAATCCCAGCTCTTAATGACAAGCAACAGAAACTGCCTCTGATTTAGGCAGAAAAGAAAATTTGTTGAAAGGATGGCTCAGAGAATTGCTAGGAATTTGGGATCACCTGGCCCAGAAAACAAACAGGAAGATATATTTGTTTTTTGTACCTGATTTAACAAATTATCACAAACTCTGTGGATCAAAAACAGAAATGTATTCTCTCATAGTTCTGGAGGCCAGAAATTCAAAATTGGGGTGTGTTGCAGAGCCATATTCTCTCCAAATGTTTTAGGGAAGAATTCTTCCCTGGCCTCTTCCAACTTCTGGTGGCTCCAGGCCTTCTTTGGCTTGTGGCCATATCCTGCCTCCTGGCCACATTGCCTTCTCCTCTGTCTATCTCTCTCAAAACACCCTCTGCCTGTCTCTTACAAGGAAGCATGAGATTGCATTTAGGGGCCACATGGATAATGTAGGATAAACTCCTCCTCTCAAGATCCTTCACTTTATCAGATATTTTACCATATAAGGAAACAGCCACAATCTTTGGAGGCCCATTTTTCAGTTCATCACACAGCCATACTCCATCTGTACCAAACATGAAGGCCCATGGTACTACCACCGCTGCTCATGGGAATGGGTGTTTCTGCCACCGCCCTTGCTATCATCACCCACTCTGAAGGAGTTTCTCCACTGTCACTGCTTCTTTGCTTCTATAGCTTCCAAAGTCCTGGAGCAGTATTTCTGATTGGCTGAGCATAGATGATACAACCATAGGGACTAACCTCAAAGAAAGAAGGGACAGTGGGTACCTGTGCCTTGCTTTGTGGCTCTGTGGTCAGAGGTAGGCAGGGCCTTTCCTGAAGTCTCATACAGTGGGCAATTTCTCCAACATCAGAAGAGGTTCATGTACTAGACATGGGAAACAGCAAGCTTCCACTAGACTTTCCCAGATCTTTCTCCAGGTATGCATGAGGTTCTTGAATGATTTCACAAGCTGATTTCTCCCATTCTTTTGTGCTGATGGCACTTCAGAATCTCATGATTTTGCATGAGGGTACCATCTTGCCACAATCACGCTGGCCACCGTCCACTCAAAGAGTGCTGGAATCGATTAGACATTTGACTTCTGAAGATCCCAAAACCACAAACACATGATACCAATGCATCCGAGAAGTCTTAGATGTCCTTACAGCCAAGCTATTCTATAAGCAAGAGGAGGACTGTCTTAGTCTGTTTGGGCTGTTATAATAGAACACCATACACTGGGGTGCTTATGAACAAGAGAAATTTATTTCTTACAATTCTAGAGGCTAGGAACTCCCAGATCAAGGCACTTGCAGATTCCGTGTTTTGTAAGAACATGCCTCCTGGTTCATAGATTGTCTCTTCTCACTGTGTTCTCACATGGTAGAAGAGCAAATGAGCTCTCTGGGATCTCTTTTATAAGGGCACTAATCCCATTCAAGAGGGTTCCACCTTCATTACCTAATCACCTCCTAACTCCATCACATTAGGGATTAAGTCTCCACATATGAATTTTGATGGGACACATACATTCAGCTGACAGCAGGGATGAATGCCTCTCTCTTCCCCTCTGAGTAACAGTGTTCCCTGAGCCCTACACCACCAGGACTGTGCCCTGGTTTCTATGGAACTGCGGCTCTTTCTGCTCTTTAACCTGAGTCCCTTCTTTCCCCGTTCTCCACAATGCTCAGAAATGAATCCATGGGCCTGACCCAGGGAGTCACTCTCTGTGAAATCGCTAAACTATTCAATCCCTCTTCAATACAGCTGTGTGTGCAAGCATTTTCCTCTTTCTTATTTAGACAAAAGCCCTCCTACAAAAGACATGTCTTCACTCCTGACAGTCCTGCTACACATATAATTCTAAAACAGGGTAAAACTAAACACAGGCCAAATAAAAGTATAAGCCAAAGGCTATGAAAGCACAAAGAAAAGGCATGCCTTGCAAGGCATCACAGAGGGTGCAGAATGGAAATTGCCTTTAGAATGTGATGGCTACCCGTGTGTGCTCATGCCAAAACACATGCGTATGCACCCTTTTATCTCAGGCTCAGATGCCAACACATCCCACATCGGGAAGACTAGGCTCCAGGTTCCATCTGACCCTTCACTCCATTTCTCACCAGGCATCAAAGGAGTTATATTTTTAAGTTGGGCAACAGTGTTGCCTAACTCTTTAAAAGCTTCCCATGTCACTTGTTATTATGGGTTGGACTGTAAGTCCCCCCCACCCCCAACTCCCCCAGCAAAAAAGATATGTTCAAGTTCAATTCCTAGTACCTGTGACTGTGACATCACCTTATTTGGAAACAAGTTCTTTGCAGATTTAATCAAGTTGAAATGAAGTAATTAGGGTGGTCCTTAGTGCAATATGACTGATGTCCTTATAAGACGATGGAAGTTTGGACACAGACACAGACACCACACTGGGAGAGCAGCATGTAGAGACAGAGATTGGAGATAAGCTAAAATAAGCCAAGAAGCACATCAGGACACCAGACACTGTAAAAGGAAAAGGAGGGATCCTCCTTAGAAACTTGGGAAAGAGGATGGCCCTACCTTGATTTCAGGATTCTGGCCTCCAGAGCTGTGAGACTATAAATCTCTGTTGTTTTAAGCATGCGGTTTGTGGTACTTTGTTACAACAGCCCTAAGAAACTAACACACTTGGAAAAACAGTGGAAACCCCTTACATGGCCACAAAGCCATGATGATCTGGCACTGACATTCTACCTTTATCTCCTAACATTTCTCAAAAAAAAAAAAAAAATCTCCTTATGTTCCCAGAGCATTGGCTTTCCTAGAATGCACCGAAGTCCCTCCCACCTCGACTTCTTAGAATCACTGTCTCCTCTGCCCCATGCTTCTTCCACGTCTTACCTGTCTGCCCCATCCTCATCCTTCATTTCTCGGTGTAAACGGCTCTTACTCTGAAAGGCAGCCCCCAACTATTTAGTTGGATCCCCCCAGCCCCAGATTGTGTTACTCACCATAGGGCTCCACTGATTTATTTCATAACTCTTACCGTCATCTCTATTTTTTCATCTTTTTGTTTGTTTGTTTGTTTTGAGATGGAGTCACACTCTGTCATCCATGCTGGAGTGCAGTGGTGTGATCTCGGCTCACTGCAACCTCCGCCTCCCAGGTTCAAGCAATTCTCTGCCTCAGCCTCCCGACTAGCTGGGATTACAGGCGCCTGCCACCATGCCTGGCTAATTTTTTTGTATTTTTAGTAGAGACGGGATTTCACCATCTTGGCCAGGCTGGTCTTGAACTCCTAACCTTGTGATCCACCAGCCTCAGCCTCCCAAAGTGCTGGGTGTTTGTTTTAATAGCTTACCTCCCCATTGAAATGTCAGCTCCAGGAGAGCAGGGGCTTTGTCAAATACATCTTTTCCCCCTAACTTCCATTTTAGCCTTGCACAAGGCCAGGCACATAGCCTTTTCCAAATGAATATTTGTCAAATGAACAAACCCGTGTTTTAATTAGGGGGAATTGGAAATCGTGTGAGCACAGCCACAGAGGCCTAGAAGAGTTCTGTATGTTATCAGAGTGCTGAGTAGCACAGTATGGGAGGAAAGAAGAGAGTTGGCAGCCTGTTGGGAGACACACAGTGGATGTTACTTGCTGGCAAGAGGTCTGATTTATGGTGTCTTGGAATGCCCACCAAGGCACTTGGACTTAATTCCTTATTAAAATGTGGATCACCAAAGATTTTTGAGCAGCAGTAACCCAAGATGACCTACCTTTTAAGGAGATTTCTCAGGTAAGAGCATGGAAAATGAATTAGACAGGTGGACAAGTGGGCCAAGGAAACCAGTGAGACAGCTATTAAATATTCCAGGTAAGAGGTGAAGACAGTATGACCCAGGGCAGGAGCAATGGGGATGGAAAAGAGCCAGAGATGCAGAGGTTGAACTGGTAGAATTTAGCAAATGATTGCATGTGGGAGTGTAGGCTATGGGAGGGTGGGAAGACAGCTTCAATTTTTCCAGCTGGAGTGACCGCACATGTGGAAAAGGGCCTCTGTAGCTGGGGGAGGGAGCTTTCAAGCAAATGCACCATCCATTCCCCCAAAATGAATAAGTAAATGTTTTTATTGGTTTCCAGTAAGTTAAATGGTTCAAGCTTAACTAGCAAGGTCAGTTGCCTTTTTTAAACTTTTCTGCTCAAAATGCAAGAAATAAGAGTAGATTCTTTTGCATGTCCTCCTGCTCTCAAGGAGGGCTTGGCTGTCTGGACCACAAGAAAAATCATCAGACTTTGGCCAGTCAAGCAGGGCCGGCAAGGCCCACCTCACTCTTGAGCCAAAACCCACTCCAGTGAGGATTGCTTGGAGGCCTCTCTCCTCCCACTGAGCCAGGATGAATTTTTAACTCATTATTGATCAGGCAATTTTAAAATCAATTTTAATTAAATGAAAGATTTCTATCAGGATTGCTTCTTTCTGGACAGTAAATTGGACCTTGTAATAATACTTACATTGGAACATCTCTCATACAAGTAACAGAGCCCATCATAAATAAGTAAAGACTCTTCTCTTTATTATGCATTTGGGGGAAACCAAGGTTAGAGGTTTTGCCTGAGGCCCTGCAGTAGTGGGAACAGCAATTGAGAACTTGAATTATGGGGATGCCAACATCAAATCCCACTAATACCACTCTCAGCCTCCAAAAACCCTCTCTTTACATGGAAAAAAGAGAAAATAGATTCTTGTCAGATACCAGGGAAGAGAAAATTGGGAGTGTTTAATTGATGAAGATGAAGCAAGTTCGCTGCATGGTGCGTATAGGAGACAGTTTATTATCCAAAGGCATTTTCCTAGTTAGAAATGGTCACGCTTGGTTGACCTGTAGAAATATTGCTCCAACAGTGAGAGCTCTTGCTTAAATTACTCCTTTACATGAATCACTGACGCAGTCTTTGTTCCTTATCTGATGACAATTGTCTGGGTCTCATACGGGGAGGCTGGGTCATATAAGCCCTTGCTTGGAATCTTCAGTCAGGTTCTGTCTTCTCCCAAACTGCTTCAGCTGGACTGTTTTGCATTGTCCATCTGTGAACTCAGCCTTTTACAATTCCTAAATCAGCACTGACTACACCTCAACCAACCATACATGAGGTACAGACTTCAACTTGCTCCCATAGGCTCAAGACTCCATGACAAAGGGATGAGGTATGATTGGCAAGTGTACCTCAGACCCACTTCACATCACCATGTTCATGTTTGCCCTCCCAAATACATCAATGTCCTTCATGGCTAAAGCTCTTCTGTAAGAGTTAAAGAAAGAGGAAAGAAACACGAAATACAGCTGGCAGTTAAAGACAGGTTTACTTTGGACAAAACCTGAGAGGTGTTCCTAGCCAATTTCAGTCAGGAGCACTTACTCTTACAGACTAAGAGTATATATTGGGTTTAGGGTGAGGGGGCTTATCACAAGCTTGGAATGATTATGTGTGTGGAGAAGTTTATGGTGGGATTGGAATCTCTCTGGGACGAGGGGAGGTTATCTTGGGGCAGACATCTTTCCGGCCCAGAGCGGGGTTATCTCGGGGCTAGCATCTTCCCGGCTGGAGGGGACTTATCTAGGGGCTAGGATGTCTCTGGTGGGGGAGGAGTTTGGAATGTTTCTGGTTGGAGATGTTATTTGTGGTTTATGGTCATGCTGACTTTAGCCATTAGGCTGGTGGATTTAGGCAGTTTTTTATTAAGGTGAAACTTAGAATGAGGGGTTTGTCCAAGATGGCAATGCTCCTGCTCTGTCAATCCAGACTCTATAGCTATAAAAAGGAGGAGGGACAGCGTGTTCTTTTAGGCTACTTCCTGCTGACGAGGGGACAGAGAGTTTTCTGGTCTCCGGTTGACTGTAGGGGAAATGCCGTTTGTAGATGTTTTGGGGTAGTTGTCTATGAAATGGCCATGATTCTGTCAGTTAAAAATCTTGAAAAAGGTTAATTAGGCAGGAAAAGAACATTAGTTCCAGGCATATTATTAGGAGAGGGCCCAGGAATGGGATGACCCATGCTATGATTTTGTTTTCAAACCAAGAATTTATTTGGTTGTTTTGATATTTCCTTAGCTTTTTAGCCCTTTCTTTAACTTTTTCAGCAGTGTTTCTTACTAGGCCCAATTGGTAGAGGTAGAAACAACATTTTTTACATAATGACAGGCAGAGGTGCTGCTAGGAAAGGCCCAATAACACATGTTATTTTCTGTTAGTAACCGTTATTCCTGCTATGAGGATAATAATTAAGCAAAATACTAGAGTAATTGACGTTTTTTGTCTGATATTTCACCCTGAGGGTGCTACAGTATATAGGCCTACTGCAAATAGTAGAATGAGTAAGGCAATTCCCACAAGGGTGGCATAATAAATAATTGCCATTAAAAAGTTTTAATATTTGGCTTAAAAGGAGAGGTAGGGGTGAGACTGAGTAAGATGAGTAGTTCTCACTCAGTTACTTATTTTTTTATGATTTTCAGCTTAAGATTTCCTATTTCTTTACATTGATATTTAGGACGTTTTTGGGGGCTGTCAGGGGTTGCTTCCTTAGCTTTCCAGGCTTTGACTTGCGTGCAATATATTTAGGAGTTGATTCCTGTAACAGATGCCATTTTAATTACCCTGGGTTCCGTGGACTCGCTAGACATGGGGACGAAGGATTCTGGGAACCTTCAGTTATTAGTTGTCAGCACCAACAGTGAAGACATTTCCTCCTGTGATGATCGGGGGCACTTAGAGGCAGCACCCCCTGAAACACCTAGTTTTCCGTTCATAGGGCTTTAAGAAAGCACAGCTTATTTTGGAAACTTGTAGCCAGAAAAATTAGAATTTAATTTAAGCAGTACAAAATAATAAAAATTGAAAAACACTAGAATCTAACAACAGGAGTGCCATAGTTTTTGAAACATAATTTTCTCTCTCTAGTTTCCCATTTTTATTAAAAGACAAATCATGGTAGGACAGGTTTGCTTTGTTATACTTGGCTAAATTATTTGCATACAGTGCAGCAAGAATAATTATTTGTTACATAGGCCTTTTAAATTAGCTTTGATGGAATTTTGTTCCGTAGAAGGAATCTGAGATAAGACCTTTTTAAAGCCAAGCCCAGCCATGGATTTTTACCATCAAATACCTATGAGTTGATGAATCTCTCTCCTCTTGAGGTCCCAAGACAACTTAAGAATATTCAGATAGTTTCCAAATTCTGGAGAAAATCAGGAAGAGAGAGACAAGTATGCTCCAAATTTTGTTTATGGGAGCATACTAAATTGTTAAAAGCTGTTAATAGCTCAAAAGAAAAGTTTACTTGACTTTGAAAAGCAAAACAAAGGATTAGCAATGTTTTAAGCAAAACACTAAAAAGATTACTCCAGTCTCCTATTAGTTCATTTTATGCAGTTAATTTCTGTACTGCTTGACATTAATGAACATTTTAGCTCTTCAAAGGTCCTGAATGTTTTTCCTCTATTTTGATGTTACAATCTCCAGTTAACAGAAACCTTCATTCAAGAGCACCTGTTAGAGCTTTATAGCTGATTATAAAACCACCCTCTTGTTTTCTAGTTAATTGTGATGTTAGGGTGTCAATTTTAGATCTTTCCTGCTTTTTCTTGTGGGCATTTAGTGCTATAAATTTCCCTCTACACATTGCTTTGAATGTATCCCAGAGATTCTGGTATGTTGTGTCTTTGTTCTCATTGGTTTCAAAGAACATCTTTATTTCTGCCTGCATTTCATTATTTACCCAGTAGTCTTTCAAGAGCAGGTTGTTCAGTTTCCATGTAGTTGAGGGGTTTTGAGTGAGTTTCTTAATCCTGAGTTCTAGTTTGATTGCACTGTGGTCTGAGAGGCAGTTTGTTATAATTTCTGTTCTTTTACATGGGAATAAGTTGAATCTCTGAACAGACCAATAACAGGATCTGAAATTGTGGCAATAATCAATAGCTTACCAACCAAAAAAAGTCCAGGACCAGATGGATTCACAGCCGAATTCTACCAGAGGTACAAAGAGGAGCTGGTACCATTCCTTCTGAAACTATTCTAATCAATAGACAAAGAGGGAATCCTCCCTAACTCATTTTATGAGGCCAGCATCATCCTGATACCAAAGCCTGGCAGAGACACAACCAAAAAAAGAGAATTTTAAACCAATATCCTTGATAAACATCGATGGAAAAATCCTCAATAAAATCCTGGCAAACCGAATCCAGCAGCACATCAAAAAGCTTATCCACCATGATCAAGTGGGTTTCATCCCTGGGATGCAAGGCTGGTTCAACATACGCAAATCAATAAATGTAATCCAGCATATAAACAGAACCAAAGACAAAAACCTCATGATTATCTCAATAGATGCAGAAAAGGCCTTTGACAAAATTCAACAACCCTTCATGCTAAAAACTCTCAATAAATTAGGTGTTGATGGGACGTATCTCAAAATAATAAGAGCTATCTATGACAAACCCACAGCCAATATCATACTGAATGGGCAAAAACTGGAAGCATTCCCTTTGAAAACTGGCACAAGACAGGGATGCCCTCTCTCACCACTCCTATTCAACATAGTGTTGGAAGTTCTGGCCAGGGCAATCAGGCAGGAGAAGGAAATAAAGGGTATTCAATTAGGAAAAGAGGAAGTCAAATTGTCCCTGTTTGCAGATGACATGATTGTATATCTACAAAACCCCATCATCTCAGCCCAAAATCTCCTCAAGCTGATAAGCAACTTCAGCAAAGTCTCAGGATGCAAAATCAATGTACAAAAATCACAAGCATTCTTATACACCAATAACAGACAAACAGAGAGCTAAATCATGAGTGAACTCCCATTCACAATTGCTTCAAAGAGAATAAAATACCTAGGAATCCAACTTACAAGGGATGTGAAGGACCTCTTCAAGGAGAACTACAAACCACTGCTCAAGGAAATAAAAGAGGATACAAACAAATGGAAGAACATTCCATGCTCATGGGTAGGAAGAATCAATATCATGAAAATGCCCATACTGCCCAAGGTAATTTATAGATTCAATGCCATCCCCATCAAGCTACGAATGACTTTCTTCACAGAATTGGAAAAAACTACTTTAAAGTTCATATGGAACCAAAAAAGAGCCCACATCACCAAGTCCATCCTAAGCCAAAAGAACAAAGCTGGAGGCATCACGCTACCTGACTTCAAACTATACTACAAGGCTACCGTAACCAAAACAGCATGGTACTGGTACCAAAACAGAGATATAGACCAATGGAACAGAACAGAGTCCTCAGAAATAATGCCACATATCTACAACTATCTGATCTTTGACAAACCTGACAAAAACAAGAAATGGGGAAAGGATTCCCTATTTAATAAATGGTGCTGGGAAAACAGGCTAGCCATATATAGAAAGCTGAAACTGGAACCCTTCCTTACACTTTATACAAAAATTAATTCAAGATGGATTAAAGACTTAAACGTTAGACCTAAAACCATAAAAACCCTAGAAGAAAACCTAGGCAATACCATTCAGGACATAGGCATGGGAAAGGACTTCATGTCTAAAACACCAAAAGCAATGGCAACAAAAGCCAAAATTGACAAATGGGATCTAATTAAACTAAAGAGCTTCTGCACAGCAAAAGAAACTAACATCAGAGTGAACAGGCAACCTACAGAATGGGAGAAAATTTTTGCAATCTACTCATCTGACAAAGGGCTAATATCCAGAATCTACAATGAACTCAAACAAATTTACAAGAAAAAAAACAACCCCATCAAAAAGTGGGTAAAGGATATGAACCGACACTTCTCAAAAGAAGACATTTATGCAGCCAAAAAACACATGAAAAAATGCTCATCATCACTGGCCATCAGAGAAATGCAAATCAAAACCACAATGAGATATCATCTCACACCAGTTAGAATGGCGATC
This sequence comes from Homo sapiens, assembly GCF_000001405.40. Classification (NCBI taxonomy): domain Eukaryota; kingdom Metazoa; phylum Chordata; class Mammalia; order Primates; family Hominidae; genus Homo; species Homo sapiens. The sequence goes on along the minus strand of NC_000020.11, from coordinate 39,484,404 downwards.
ATTAAAAAGTCAGGAAACAACAGGTGCTGGAGAGGATGTGGAGAAATAGGAACACTTTTACACTGTTGGTGGGACTGTAAACTAGTTCAACCATTGTGGAAGTCAGTGTGGCGATTCCTCAGGGATGTAGAACTAGAAATACCATTTGACCCAGCCATCCCATTACTGGGTATATACCCAAAGGACTATAAATCATGCTGCTATAAAGACACATGCACACATATGTTTACTGCGGCATTATTCAGAATAGCAAAGACTCGGAACCAACCCAAATGTCCAACAACGATAGACTGGATTAAGAAAATGTGGCACATATACACCATGGAATACTATGCAGCCATAAAAAATGATGAGTTCATGTCCTTTGTAGGGACATGGATGAAATTGGAAACCATCATTCTCAGCAAACTATCGCAATGACAAAAAACCAAACACCGCATGTTCTCACTCATAGGTGGGAACTGAACAATGAGAACACATGGACACAGGAAGGGGAACATCACACACTGGGGCCTGTTGTGGGGTGAGGGGAGGGGGGAGGGATAGCATTAGGAGATATACCTAATGCTAAATGACAGGTTAATGGGTGCAGCACACCAACATGGCACATGTATACATATGTAACAAACCTGCACGTTGTGCACATGTACCCTAAAACTTAAAGTATAATAATAAGAAAATTTAAAAAAAAACACCTTCTAAAGAGGACCAAAACAAGACAACAATTGTTTATGGATAACAAAAAGTTTTAGGGTAGCCATAGTTAAAGACACAATTGACAAGGATATCTGTTACCTCTGTGGCACATAATAATTTTAACATAACAATTATAACTATTACTGATAATGTACAATAAGATTTATCAGAATTATAGGAGTCTCCCATAATTTTGGAACACATACCAATAACATATTTATACAAATATAGTCAAAAGAAAGCCAAACACCATTTGATATTTGACAATGCTTCCTGTATGATTTTATACCAGATAAGCCAAATTTCACCTTTATATTAGTGTGCTATTAAACTCAATTTTAATAAAATCTGGTAGACATATTTACCCAATTTTAATGTTTGACCATAAGGTAAGATTTTTATAGACTCTTTTTAACCCTTTATAATTTTTGTTAAAGAACAGGTTAGTGCTTTAAGAGAACACATTGTGCTTTTATTTGAATGCTCAATTTGCAGAAAAACTGGATGATGCTCCTTCAACTTTAGCCAATATGTTTACGCACAGAATTTCCTTTACAATTAACCTTTTAAAACTTGCTTAAACCTTCAAAACAATTCTTTAGGCTTTTAATCTAGGTAAAAATCCACATTCTCATGCCTCCTTATAATCTTTTTACCAAAAGTATATTTTACTTTTCTTACACACCTTGCACATAAACTGTCTCTTCAATAGTTTTAAATACATGTTATTCTGTTAACTTTTAGCAGCCTTTACCTTTGTTGAAAACCTTGGTAAGTTTGGGATTTTAATTATGTGCTAGGTGTAGAGTCTAGGACTTAGACAGAAGTGCAGATAAGGTCTGGCTTGTTCCAGCAGTTAACTCCACGTATACTAGGTTGTTCCTAGCTGCAAGGCAGGCAAGTCGTACAGCTAAGAGTTATAGTGACATTTTATAAAGCATCCAGGAGGCCTAATTACTTTTAAATTACACAATATTTCTTGCCTAAGTTCCCTTTTATAACATTTTTCACAACTTTCACAGACAATCTTTGACATGCCTCAACTTTCTGACTTGTAGTAAACATCCCTTTCTTTAAACAATCAGTTAATTTACTTTAGGACAATAATTTACCATATAAGATTCTTTTTAATATAAATTATATTTTCTTTAATATTAAAGATGATAACATCTTCTTCTTATAGCTCAGGATATGATTCTTCATCTTGTATCCCAGCTGCTTCTTGAGACTTCATTTTAGCTAAGTTTAGTAAGATATAACTTAAATACAGTAATATCCACCTTTTTTAATGTATGTAATTTGACAGACAGTCATGTAACCAGTACTGCCATAATGAAGACACAGAACAGCTCCATTACCCACCAAGATTCCCTCATGCCTTTTATAGACAGCCCTACTCCCTGCCCCTGGAAACCACTAATCTGTTTTTGTCCCCTAACTTTGCCTTGACCAGGCTGTCCTATAAATGGAATCATACAGTGCATCGCCTGTCAACATGGTTGTGTTTTCCTTCAACAAGCTTGGGTGCTGGTTCAGAGAAAGTAGACCATTAGATTTAACCAGGGTTGGAGTTTTACCAGGCAACTATGATGGAGGAAGACAGCAGCAATGGAAGTGTACATGTGGGCAAGAGGACATTCCTGTGAAGTACGATGCACTCCCAGGGCTATACACAGTGCCCATCCTGACTGCAGATCTTTTTCAGGATGGGGGCTGCCCTTACAAAGTCTCAGCTCACAAGACCACCCTATGTCCCATTTCTGGAACTGGAGTCTAGTATCTCTAGTATCAGTCTTGCCTAACCCTATTTCCACCTTCAGTCCATACTGCCGACTTTCCAAAAAAATAACTTGTGCAACTCCCATTGGGATCTTCCAACGGAGTAGATGTCAGTTTGGTGTGAGGTGCTGGTGGAAGTTTTATCCAACATGGATCACGAATTTTAGTCAACACAATATTGAGAATTCTGTTTTTCTCCTCTTGGACACCCTTGCTGTGCTATCCCAGTAAGATGTCTCATTAAGTAAAGGTAAAGAGTTCAACATAAAGAGTCATAATGCCTGGACTTAAATCATGGCTCTAATGTCTACTAGCTAGTGACATTGAGTAGCTACCTAAATTCAGAGCCTCTCATCCTCCTCTGCAAAAATGAGGGTAATTATAGAACCTACCTTGAGAGTTGCTGTCAGAACAGAATGAGTCAATGTATTCAAGGTCTTAGCCCCGTGCCCACCAGATAAATGTTATCATTACTATATTATCACATAATTTCTCACTCTCTGCATCATCCTGACCACATACAGTACTAAAGAGGTTTATATACCCAGGCAAGAGGTATTTAAAGACAATTAACCAGATTAAAATCTCACGCAGAGATTTCAAAACTATTTACTTGTCTCTTAAACAAACAAACAAATCTAAGAGGACTTCATTCTCTAAAAAAGAAGAAAATCACCCCATGGAGAGAGCCATACTAATAGGCTTATTGCAGCGATGCCTTATAGTTTCTTTGAATCCAATGTTTACCTGAGGTGGGTCTGCACAGCTCTGCACATGTGGCAACCACATCAGCCTCTGTATTGGTAGACAAGGCTTGGTCTGGAGTGGTTTCTCCTATGGGCACAATCCCAGCCTGCACTCAGTCATGGCTACTGGGACTTCTGTTGTCCATTAGAGAGAGGAATCTCCTTTTGACCATAAAATTGAAGGGGTATAATTTCATTTTTGAACACTTGTCCTTTACCCTGGATGGGTGATGAGACATCTGTCTTCTTAAAAAAAAAAATGCTCTAGCTCTCCTATTTAATCCCTAATAATATGTGGCTGCCTCCTGACACCATACAAAGAAAAAGGGAAATGACATCACCATACAAATAAAAGGGGAAAAAAAATCTTGATATCTTGATAAGACATTAAAAAATTCCGTACTTTGCTTGTCCAGGCTCTTGCCTCATACTCTAGAGAAAGTTTCTAGAAGAATTGCAGAAACCTTTTAAGAATAACTAATTCTTCAAGACCTTATAGATGTGTTGCTCAAAAAGAAAGAAGCTCACTGTATCTATTAAAGTTATCTGGAGATGGGCTCAGGAATCTGAATTTTAACAAGTTCACTGAGTCATTATTATACACACTCAAATTTGAAAACAAATGCTTCAGAGCAGTTGACATGCTATGGCACATTGACTAAATCCTGCCATGTGCCTGTTTTTGTAAATAAAGTATTATTAAAATAAAGCCACACCCATTAGTTAGCATAATGTGTCTGTGGCTGCTTTTGTGCTAAAACAGCAGAGTTGAGTAGTGGCAGCGGAGACTGTATGGCCCACAGATCCTACAATCTTTACTATCTGGCCCTTTACAGAAAAAATATTGCCAATCCCAGCTATAAAGAAAATGTTATGTCATATGATATGTACACTTAAGGCACACAGTGAGAAATAGGAAAATGTTCTAAGTCTATTCATGGCATATTGTTATTTTTCCCCTTATTCTGTGTACATGTTATTTTAACTAAGAATGCCAGACAATCAGCACATACATATTAAGCATCTATTTCATGCCAGCACTATGCTATGTGTTGAAAATATGGTGGTCTCTGTCCCCATGGAGCCACCGTGAGACTTGTACATACAGCCTACTTTCTCAAATCTGTGTCACCATTGATTAAAGACATCATTATTTTAAGCACTATTAAGGAAAAAAATGCTACAAATTAAATCATGACACAGTATTTCCTTATGCCTTGGAAATTTTATTTTCTAATTATTAAAAAGCTCTTTTAGATTTATGTCTATCACTTTTGGCATACATAAAAAATTATATGCAATATTACTGGTTACGAGCTGCAGTCTCTGGGGTGTCCTTCCAGGTTGCTGATCCCCACTCTGCAAGTTACTTGCAGACATCCTCCTGATCTTATCAGAAGCATCAATACTTTTCAGATCAAACTCATGCATGTTCAGGCAATGCACCTTTGTCACAACTGCCACCTGGCCAACAGTGCTTGTAAGAGGCAATCAATCATAACCCATTTACAGAAATGTTAAATGGCTTTTAAAATATGTGCATCATATAATTGATGAGATATGATTTATTGCTTGATGAACAAGAAGTCAAGTGATACAGGCTGAGACCCAGGGAAATGGCCTCCTGCAAATGAGTTGAGGCAGGACTAGCTAGAGGAGCAGAAGGGTAGAGAACTTATTCCTTGTGACAAGAACCAAGGATGGCCCCCAGCTGCTCCCAGATCTCCAGTACTCATCATACTTCGCCGGGTGCATGACGTACATCATCAGATTACCTGTTTCTGCTTGAGACCATGATATCTTTCAGGGTATAGGCATGACCTCATCCATCTCTGAGCTCTAAGAAAACTAACAGAGTGCCTAGAAATCAGCACACAGCAGCCCTTGTTCCCTTGTTTCTTCTCTTTTTTTTTTTTTTTTTTTTTTTTTTTTTTTATGGTGTTTTGCTCTTGTTGCCCAAGCTTGAGTGCAATGGTGCAATCTCGGCTCACTACAACCTCCACTTCCTAGGTTCAAGCGATTCTCCCGCCTCAGCCTCCCGAGTAGCTGGGATTACAGGCGGGTGCCACCACGCCCAGCTAATTTTTTGTACTTTTAGTAGAGACAGGGCTTCACTATGTTGGCCAGGCTGGTCTCGAACTCCTGACCTCAGGTGATACACCTGCCTCAGCCTCCCGAAGTGCTGGGATTACAAGCATGAGCCACCATGCCCGGCCTGCCCTTGTTTCTTAAACAAGGAAGTAAAGAGATGCACAGAGGTGAACAGGGAGGAGGAAATTCTGCAGCAGGAGCTCCAGGAATGAATTCTTAATCAATCCTATGTGACCAAGGATGTTTGAGAGTTCAGGTGGGAAGATGAGCCTCTCCAGGAGCTTGACCCAGACTGGAGACTGCTTGAGGAATGGATGTGGAGGAATTTCAAAGGACAGGCCTGTAGTGTAGCAGGGTTGTGTCTGCACCCAGATCTGAGACTCTGGCCACAATGGAAATGTAAAGGGCTTGAAGAGGAAATCTCCTGATTTCATCTGTTGGGTGTTACTATATCAGAAAAGCAGCCCTTCGTGTGATTTGACTGAGAATGCCAATCATGGGCCTTGCCTCTTCCTTGAATGACTGCAGGAGTGTGCTCCATTAAGCACACCATGCCTGGGGCTTGGGCCCACAATACTTTTAGGGCCCAGCAGGAGTGTTTTGATTTATTTGAAAACCAGAAGGAAAAAATGAATATAATCCAGCCTGAATTAAATACAACTTTATACCAACCCAATCATAAAACATAATTTTCCTTATCTATTGTGGGAAAAAGGGGCCTACAAAGGCGAAATTGTCCAAGGTCCATTAAAATCATAATGGGGCCCTGAAAGCAGGCCTGTGGCACAACCCATGTACATCAGACACTCCCCCAGATATGGGACTGGTTGGGGATGAGCCATGCTAACAGAAGGCCTAAGACAGAGAATGCCCCACCATATTGGTTACAGAGATGCACGTAAATTAGAAACCACTCTAAAGCATTGGTTTTCAAACTTGAGTGTGTTGAATAATGACCCAGTGAACTAATTAAATTTCATATTCCTGTGCTCACCTCCCAATAACTCTAATAGAGATGGTGAGTTTATTTTTTAGAAACAGTTCTATGAGGTCTTAAATAATTAGTTATTCTTAGGAGGTACCTGAAATTATTCTAAAAACTGTCCCTAGAGTATGGGACAAGAGCCTGAACAAGCAAAGTTCAGAATCTCTTGATTCTGAACCTGAAAGGGTGCACAAACTCACAGTAACATTCATCTCCAGACTGAGGGGAGGCAAGTGGGACTGGAGACTGAGAAGTTAAGTTGGTTTCATTTCATTCATTCAGCAAAACAAGATCAAAAAACAAACTCCTCCAGAAACAAACACATCAAAATGAATGATAACTGCTATTGATTCTGGATGGAGGGAAAATTGATGTTTAGTTTATTATTTCTCTTTGTATATTGTTTTTTGATTTCTCCCCTTAAAAAAGTAAGAGCTTACATATATCCCTGAACCAAAGATCACAGGAAGCATTCTAGTCCCTTTCCTTTTTGAGGCTTGGTGACTTCATTTTTCCTTTAAGTCCATAAACTACCTTTATAATTAGGGTCTTTCCCTGTTTCATTTCACTTAATCCAGAGGCTTATTTCTGTTACTTGCAGCCAAGGAGCCCTAATTCATCCAAGTGCACCACCAGCTATTGATGGTGGACACGAACAATTTTCTAGGATGGAAGAGGGCCATTACCTGGGCTCTCACTGAATCTGGAGGCCCTTAAAATGCCAGTTTACTGTGGCACAGGTGAGCCTGTATGACCACTGATCCAGGCTAACCAGTCTACACTGTCATCATCTCTAGGCCGTGTCTCAACAGACGGTTCCTCATGAAAAATGAACCTGCCTGACCAAGGGAATTGGGATTGAGGAATAGAAAGGTGTAAGTACAAGGGAGAGATTATAATAAGAAATATGTATTTGGTATTTGTCCCAGGTCCCTGATGCAGAGCTTCTCAAAACAAAAACAAAACCTTGGAACTTCCTGAGTGACAGCCGTAACAGGACTGTCCTTTGCTATTTGAAACAAGCCTCTTTCAATCGTGCCTGACTTTCTGCTAATAAGGTGAGTCTCAGTGGGCCTCTACATAGCTTTAGGATGGGAGTTGGTTGCTGGAAGGACCAACCATGTAATTAGATGGTTGGAACTTTCAGCCTTACCCTAGTCTTCTGCGGAGGGGAGAGAAGCTGGAGACTGAGTTAAGCATCAATGGCCAATGACTTAAACATTCCTATGTATGAAGCCTCCATAAAAAACCTTAAATGACTAAGCTTCCAAGCTGGTGAACACATTGAGATGTTGGGAGGATGGTGCACCTGGAGGGGACATGGAAGCTCCAAGCTCCACCTTCATAGCTTTTCCTGTGCATCCCTTCCATTTGACTGTTCCTGGGCTAATACTTACTAATACCAGCATTAGCAAATAAATTATTTTCCTGAAATTTCAGTAAGTAAACTGTTTTCCTTAAATTTCAGACTCATGAGCCCATCGCCAGATAACTAATAGAAATGGTGAGCTTCCTTTTGGACAACAATTCTATAAGGTCTTGAAGAATTAGTTATTCTTAGAAGATACCATTCTAGCAAATTATTAAAACTGAGGAAGGGGGTCATGAGAACTCATAATTTATACCAGTTGGTAAGAAGTACAGGTGGGAGGTAGGACTGTGTTGCAGGACTGGCAGCTGAAGTGGGGGTCAGTCTTGTGGGACTGAGCCTTTACCCTGTGGGATCTGGGCAACTCCAAGTAGTTAGTGTCAGATCTGAATTGAATTGTAGGGCACTCAGTTGGTGTCCAGAAAGTTGAAGAACTAGTTATTGATGTAGAAAACACATACAGGTCTGGTGTCAGAAGGGTTGTGAATCATAAATGCTGCAAATATATTATTTATGAAAAAAAAGAAAGTAGTATAAAGACATTCATACTTACCAAGCATTGGGTAGTGTGATAGGTACTTCTCCATCATCCCCTGCAAACCCTGAGCACCTTTGTGAATTAGGTGTCATTCACTTCATTTTGACAGCTAAAGTTAATGAATAGTGACCACACGATTCATTATTTAAACGAGGATACATTTAAGAATGAAAGGGGGTGCTCTTGTAACTACACTGGGACAACAGAGGTAAATGGGACACTCCCAGGCAAATCGAGACATGTGCCTGTCTTGCCTAAGGTCACACAACTAATTAATGATTGAGCTGGGTTCTGGGTTCATTAAGTTACATTCCTAAAGAGAAAATATTTCTTGAAAATTCTAAGAATCCCATGTGTTATGCACTGAATTGTGTCCCCCTGCAAAAAAAGTCATACGTTGAAGTCCTAACCCCTAGTATCTCACAAGGTAACTGTATTCCAAGATAAGGTCTTTATAGAGATGATGAAGTTAAAAGGAGGACTTTAGGGTGGGCCCTAATCCAACATGACTGGTGTCCTTATAAGAAGAGGAAAAGTGGATAGAGAGAAACCAAGGATGCATGCACACGGAGAAAAGACCATGTGAGAACTCAGTGAAAAGGTGGCCATCTGCAAGACAGGGAGAGAGGCCTCAGGAGAAACCAAACTTCACAATCCCTTGACCTTGGGCTTCTACCCTCCAGAACTGTGAGAAGGACATTTCTGTTGTTTAAGCCACCCAATATGTGGTATTTTGTTATGGCAGCCCAAGCTAACCATGCTATGAGAGTTGGGAGCAAAGACTAATGCTGGTGAGAACTCTGGGATTCTAAAATCTTTGCCATTTGTCCCTGTCTGCATCCGGATCGCAGTAAAGCCCATTTACTGTGAAGAGTCCTGTATGCTCGGATTCTTAGACAGCAAGGAATGGGGAGTGTGCACCCTGCATTGCTGCTGAGGCAAGAGCCAGAAACACCCAAAGGGACAGAACACGTGGTGGTGGTCATAAAGGGAAAAGGGAAGGAGGTTGGGACCATGGGAAAGAAGGACTTGAAGGGAGAGCAGCCCTCCCTCCTCCACACCTCCTCACAGACTTAAAAGTCAGAAGGTCCATGCTCCATCCCCCACCCCCATCAGACTCCAGGAAGATTCAATTACATTTAGAGACACAATGTCTGCCTCCCCTGGATTAATTTCCGGATCCTGCCAAAGCTTGTCCTTATCTCTTTTTTCTTGCTGAGAGTAAGAACCCTATAAAATTGTCTCTATCAGAGACCAAGAAATGAACCAGGACAAGGCAAGCACAGGGAACAGGGCCACAGGGCTGAATGTCTCCCCTCATGTAGATTTGGGAAGGGCCCAAGCAAGACAATTTGCTATAAAGCTCACACACCTCTGTTCTATCTAAAAGAATCCATTCTATCAGGGCAGTGGGTAGGAGCAAATCACACTGTGGACATGAGTTACATAATAGTATTCTGGCTCCAAAGTCCCCAGTACTCCAGGCCCGGTCCCACCCCACTCACAGGAGCCTTTATAACAATAATAGTAGTAGTGACAACAGCAAGAGCTAGCATTTACAGAGTGCTTATTAAGTGCTAACTCCTTCACATACGTTGTCTTATTTAATCTACATAACAGCCCTAGAGGGGTAGATAACATTTCTACCCCCATTTTACAGATTGCTAAACTGTGATTTAGACAAGTTAAAGCAAATTGGCCACAGTCACATAGCTGGTACAGAGAAAACAAAAATTTCTTTGATGCTAACACCAGCGTATTAACAATAATCCTAAAATTAGAGTGTGAGGTACTCCATTGGATGTCAAAGTCATGATCAAATTTTGACCTAAGAGTTTTTTTAAAAATTAGAAACATTCATTGAGTAAATACTATGTGCTCATTCTTTACAAGCATTATCTCATTTCTACACAGCAACGCTGTGACTCAGGTACATTTTTTCATCATCATCATCTTACATATGAGAAAAAATCAAGGCTTGCAAAGGTTACCCAGCAAGGAAACAGAAGAACTCAAATCTGAACCAAGGTAGCCTGAGTTCAGAGCTCATGTGGTAAATACTCTACCACCTCTCCTGTGGCTGAGATGTTTTGCAGGTTGACCGGTGAGCTTCATGTGTGAGGTAAGAGATATATGATGTGGTATGACTAGCGCTATGAGTTATAACATGCACCCTGGGGCATTACTTCAGGGTCTGAGATACCCCAACTCCAATTTAAGAAGTATGCCTCCCCTACCCAGCTCAAATTCCCCAAGCAGGCTGGACAGTGTTAGATTTCTCAGATGTTGTACTGTTTAATGTTCTTTCAAAGTGTGTTAGACCCTATCGCCCACGATTACTCCCAGGTGCAAAATTGTATGCACAAACAGTTGCAGCAGCAATTTACTGACTGTGAGCTCAATCAGCCAATTGTGAGCACAATTAGCTGCTCCCTGCTCATTTGGAAGGAGCCGGGGCGATGATTGCCTCTGCAATTAGCCAGTTGTGGGCAGCTCAGTTTGCTTGTGCAATTTTGCACCCTCAGACAAGGAATGTGCAAAAGTGATGCATGCCCAGGAACTTGGCTCCAAACTGATACCCACCCACCAGTCTCTGTGCATGGCTAATAGGGCCTGCCTTCTGGGTCTGTGCAGAGGCAGCAGCCTCAAGAAGAGAAAAGATGGAATGATTGAGATCAAGCCTCATAGAATGCCACACGGGCTGAAGAAACAAACCTTTTCATATTTTTCAGAGGAGGGAAGGAAAGAGATGAGGTACTAACTTGGGCTGGCAAAGGGGAAGGTGTGTCCAGCATTGGGAAGACCTAAACATTAATAATTTGGGTTCAAGAGAGATCCATCTGAAAATGAATCGGCATAGAATGCAGAACTTTTTGTATTACCGAAATGACTTGGGGAGTCAGTTGAAACCAGAAACTAGATGGAATGGGGGAATTGAAGTGCCATTTTAGTCGTTTGTGCAATCAACAATTTTTCTCTTCCCTCTTCCTGTATCCTGCTAAAAAAAGAACAAATCCTCCCACTGGAGTTGGGCAGATTCCTACCCACCTGTCCCTGCTGAGGGAAACCCGGAAATCCAGAAATTTTTATTGCAGCTGTCCACAAAATGAGATGCAGTCTGATTGGATTTGTTCTAGTTTTCCTTTAGCAATGAGTTGATTAAAAATAAAAGTTCACCGTATTTTAAGTGAGATTTTGTTGCACTGATAGTCCTTTCTACCTAGAAGCAGCACATCTGTAAGTTTATAAAATAAATCAAAAGGAAAGGTGACTCACTGGTGGGTATAAGACACCACTGATTGGTGACCCCAGCTGTCCTGTGAGCCTTTGATAAACTGAGGATCACTTGTTCACTCTAACTAGTCTAAACCTATTAGCCAGTGCAGAATTATTCATAATAACCAAAATGTAAAAATAACCCAAAGGTCCATCAACTCATGAATGAATAAACAAAAATGTGGTATAGCCGCCCAGCAGAACATATTATATTCAGCCATAAAAAGAAATAAAGTACTATTATACATGCTATGGATGAACCTTGAAAACATTATGCTAAGTGAAAGAAACCAAACACAAAAGACCACATATGGTATTATTCCATTTACATTAAGTTTTCAGGAGAGGCAAACTGATAGACACAGAAAGTAGATTAGTGGGAATCAGGAGGGACTGATAATGAATTTGGAGCTCTTCTTAGGTTTATGAAAATATTTGGGGATTAGTGGAATTAGATGGTTGCACATCCTTGTGAATATACTAAAACCACTAGATTGTGTACTTTAAAAGGTTGAATTTTGTGGTATGTGAATTATATCTCAACTCTTAAAAAAAACTGTTAGAGTAGAGAAAAATTGTCTTTTGGGAGACTGGGTATGGACAGAGCCACTGTGAGGACACCACTGCATCGACTTATCCACAGGCCATTCAAGAGCCCCTGAGCAAAAAGTATAGCAGGGAGAGAGTGTTCAAAGTTTCTTTGATTCAGGCCACAAAGCATTCATTAATTCATCAAAAATAACCCTTGAACAACCAACTGTATACCAGACTATCTGGAAAGACTTGAGAAGAAAGACTTGCTGCCTTTTTAATCTAGTGGTTGGCGGGGGGTAAGGTATATGTGTTGTGGGGGAAGCGTAAATAAACAAGTAGGCCATTCCCTGGGTCAATATTTCCAAATTTCTATTCAACATTTTGACTCAAATATGACAACATTTTCTTAAACCATAATGGAAAGCAAGGATTCCCAAGGGAATTTTCCTGAGCCACAACACTTTAGCCAGGAGTAAGCCAACACAGTCAAAAGTACAGTGTGTAAGGAAGGGATCCAGTTTCAGCTTTCTACATATGGCTAGCCAGTTTTCCAAGCACCATTTATTAAATAGGGAATCCTTTCCCCATTGCTTGTTTTTGTCAGGTTTGTCAAAGATCAGATAGTTGTAGATATGCGGCATTATTTCTGAGGGCTCTGTTCTGTTCCATTGATCTATATCTCTGTTTTGGTACCAGTACCATGCTGTTTTGGTTACGGTAGCCTTGTAGTATAGTTTGAAGTCAGGTAGCGTGATGCCTCCAGCTTTGTTCTTTTGGTTTAGGATTGACTTGGCGATGCGGGCTCTTTTTTGGTTCCATGTGAACTTTAAAGTACTATTTTCCAATTCTGTGAAGAAAGTGATTGGTAGCTTGATGGGGATGGCATTGAATCTATAAATTACCTTGGGCAGTATGGCCATTTTCACGATATTGATTCTTCCTACCCATGAGCATGGAATGTTCTTCCATTTGTTTGTATCCTCTTTTATTTCCTTGAGCAGTGGTTTGTAGTTCTCCTTGAAGAGGTCCTTCACATCCCTTGTAAGTTGGATTCCTAGGTATTTTATTCTCTTTGAAGCAATTGTGAATGGGAGTTCACTCATGATTTGGCTCTCTGTTTGTCTGTTGTTGGTGTATAAGAATGCTTGTGATTTTTGTACATTGATTTTGTATCCTGAGACTTAGCTGAAGTTGCTTATCAGCTTAAGGAGATTTTGGGCTGAGACAATGGGGTTTTCTAGATATACGATCATGTAGCCATATGTAGAAAGCTGAAACTGGATCCCTTCCTTACACCTTATACAAAAATCAATTCAAGATGGATTAAAGACTTAAATGTTAGACCTAAAACCATAAAAACCCTAGAAGAAAACCTAGGCATTACCATTCAGGACATAGGCATGGGAAAGGACTTCATGTCTAAAACACCAAAAGCAATGGCAACAAAAGACAAAATTGACAAATGGGATCTAATTAAACTAAAGAGCTTCTGCACAGCAAAAGAAACTACCATCAGAGTGAACAGGCAACCTACAGAATGGGAGAAAATTTTCGCAACCTATTCATCTGACAAAGGGCTAATATCCAGAATCTACAATGAACTCAAACAAATTTACAAGAAAAAAACAAACAACCCCATCAAAAAGTGGGCAAAGGACATGAACAGACACTTCTCAAAAGAAGACATTTATGCAGCCAAAAAACACATGAAAAAATGCTCACCATCACTGGCCATCAGAGAAATGCAAATCAAAACCACAATGAGATACCATCTCACACCAGTTAGAATGGCAATCATTAAAAAGTCAGGAAACAACAGGTGCTGGAGAGGATGTGGAGAAATAGGAACACTTTTACACTGTTGGTGGGACTGTAAACTAGTTCAACCATTGTGGAAGTCGGTGTGGCAATTCCTTAAGGATCTAGAACTAGAAATACCATTTGACCCAGCCATCCCATTACTGGGTATATACCCAAAGGACTATAAATCATGCTGCTATAAAGACACATGCACACGTATGTTTATTGCGGCATTATTCACAATAGCAAAGACTTGGAACCAACCAGCCCAAATGTCCAACAATGATAGACTGGATTAAGAAAATGTGGCACATATACACCATGGAATACTATGCAGCCATAAAAAATGATGAGTTCACATCCTTTGTAGGGACATGGATGAAATTGGAAATCATCATTCTCAGTAAACTATCACAAGAACAAAAAACCAAACACCGCATATTCTCACTCATAGGTGGGAACTGAACAATGAGAACACATGGACACAGGAAGGGGAACATCACACTCTGGGGACTGTTGTGGGGTGGGGGGAGGGGGGAGGGATAGCACTGGGAGATATACCTAATGCTAGATGACGAGTTAGTGGGTGCAGCGCACCAGCATGGCACATGTATACATATGTAACTAACCTGCACATTGTGCACATGTACCCTAAAACTTAAAGTATAATAATAAAAAAAAGAACTTAAAAGAAAAAAAGTACAGTGTGGTTCCTAATCTCTCTTCTATTGAGTATTCTAAACTTTTTATTCCTTAACTGGCTGTTTGATATGATATGGATTTTAAACCAAGCAGGCAGGCACACAGAAGGGTGGATCGGCCAGGAGGCATAAGCCAAGTATAAGGAGAGACATTGGTGCCTAACATTAAAATCCACCTTCCCTCTCTGAGTGGTAGCCCAAGAAGCTATATATGCAGATCAATAGTTAAGTGGGAAGTAAATATCATGATACTGATGGCTGGACAAGGCAATTCCCTCAGTTCTCCCGCTACCCCATCATTCTGAGGCATGTTTCTTCAAAGCAGTATCTATCTGCATTGTCTCCATTTCTTCACTTTACTTTTGTTTACACTTGGATTAAGTGTCTTCCCCATCACTCCACCAGTCTGTATCTGGCTGATTGTGCTGGAAACACATAAGTCCTGATGGATACCTCTCACCTGCATTGCTCAACTAATGCAATTCTTGTAGTGAGGTCTATAATCTCATTTTTTCAGTCTCAAATACATCTCCATTTGTGTCACTTGAAAGCAAGCCACCATTGTCTTATCCTGGATGACCTCACAGACCTCGTTACTGGCCTGCTCCCATCCACACTTGCCCCACATCATCGATCAAACAATTAAATCTAGTTTCACTGGTCCCTTTGTTAAAAGGTGCCCAATGTTCTTAGAATAAAGATTAGAATCCTTTATTGAGGACCCTGCTTCAAATGTGAGTGGGACCAGAGTGAACAGCAAGTATCTCTGAGATGTCAAGACAATCCACATCTCCTCCCCATTCCATAGTGAGGCTTATATTGTTAGAGTGGGAGGACATGCGTATGTTTGAGGGAGGTACATTCTGAAGTTAACATTAAAAAATGAGTGTGTGAGACACAAAGACATAGGTTTGCCAACTTCTCTTTCAATGGCCTCTTCCTGGGCACCCATGAAGACTACATTTCCCAGGCTCCCTTAGTGTAGGTCAGGGTCATGTGACTCAGTCCAGCCAAAGAAGCAAGGACAGAGGTGATACAAGCCAATGGTTCTTCAAGCTAGCTACACATAGGAATCACCTAGGAGAGTTTAAAACACAGTGATGTATCGTCTCAGCCCCAGAAACTCTCATTTAATTGGTATGGAGTACAGCCAGGGCACTAACATTGTTAAAAGCTCCCCTGATGATTCTAAGGTACAGCAGAGCTTGAGAGCTGATGTAAACCATTCCTGGGCCTGGCCCTTGAAAATATTCTGCCTTCTGTGCCTTTCTGTGGTGACATTAGAGTCCAGTCAATCCACATACTGCAAACGAACAGACTGGGAATCTGAGTGCTTTGTGAATCTATATTGGACATGTAACCTAAACAAAAAATGCATCTTTATTAATTTTAAAATTAATTTGTTATGACAGCATAGTTTCTCCTATTCTGTCTAAAGTAGTGAAAATCATATAAAGATAAAATTACCTTTAGCATGCCTTCAGGAATTTTCCTCAGTGGAGTGACCAGCACAGCCCATTTTTCCTCCAGCACTGAAAACAGATCACTGTTTCTTCATAAAGGAAATAAATGGAATTGTCAACTTGCATTTTAAAAGTATGGTGCATGAATATATGATTTATAAATACTAAAATCACAGCAAGATTCTCATAGTAAAAGAAGCAGGCAGGAATTGCAACCTGCTAAAAGAACAATAAATTCATATTGCCCATCTCACATTCATTACAGGGCAGTGGTTCTCAACTGAACTATGTTACTTAGAAGTGGAGCTTTTAAAATATGCCCATGGCCACAGCATTACAGGTCATGTGATGGCAGACTGATGTTACCACTACCTCCACAAGTTCTGATTCATGGAGATGACAATGAAAATCCTCCACACCATTAACCAAGTGTAACCAAGTGTTTCTAAATCTTCATATGGATGTTTACCAAATTTGTTTACGATGGCTTGTCTTTCCAAAGAGCTTAGGATTTTGTTCTTCATTTACCTTTCATATTCCTCCTTGCCATGTTGTTAAATGTTGAACAAACACAAAATTTAGAGAGAATGGATGACTCTCAAAAACATTCCTTTTAATAAAGGAGGCGGATATAAAAATTACCTACCATATAACTCCATTTTCATGAAGGTCAAGAACAGGCCAATTGATCTATAATGATAGCAATCGAACAGTGATAGCCTATTGGGTGGAGTGAAGGTAGAAACTGACTGAAAGGGGCTGACAGAACTTTTGGGGTGATGGAAATGTTCTTTATTTTGATCAGAGTGGTAGTCACATGGGTGTATACATAAATACATATGTATATCATATATTCATTGATACTTAGCGAATTGTACACTTAAAATCTATATATTTCACTGTATATAAATGTTATATTAGTAAATCAAATAAAAGAAAAATTAAAAGTAAAGAATATGGTGAGGGTTATGTGCTCCTCAAGCCCAGTGACCTTCACTGGCTGCTCATCAGTTTTTTTTCTGTTAAATACTGAGGGCTGATGATGCCCTGTGGTCCAAGATCACTGCATGTCACCTTGAATGGCTTTCACAGGCCTGGTAATTTACATGTGACAGTCAATCCTAGGTCATAAGGAAAAGAAACAAATTGAGAACAGGCTCCTTCTTGATGCCATTCCCTGCTGAATCACTAAAAGAAAAATATGAGCAAGTCTGGAAATAAACGAAATGGAGGCAGACCCTGAGAAGATTTGCTAAAAAGGCTCTTAAGGAAGAACCTCCAAAAAGCTGGAGGCTAAGATAGAATAGAGTTACTTTCTTATATGAGAGGAGGAAGAGGAGGCTGGGTCAGCTCTGCTCATTGAAGAACACAAGATAACAAGCAATGATGTTGATGTTTTCTTAACAAAAAGCCTCCTCCACCCCCTAAAAGTTACCCATGCTGGTTAAATATTACCAGTTGAGGGTTTGTTTGAGGAAAATATATAATTCTTAGGGTTGGAAGAGGAGAAGGACACTTAAGCTATTTGCCTGTTCTATTAGCCATTCACACCTTAAAGGAAAATACGTCAATCAATCAATTAACTTTTATCAGCTGCCTTGAATCAGTCTCATTCAGCTCACTCACAAGTCTAACTAAAATAAGGACTGACTTTCCACTTAGTCCTTAATGCAGACCCTTCCTCTAAAAAAAACTACCACAGAGGGACAGGTAAATACGGGTGACCAGTCTGGTGACTCTGTCTTCCTACAAGTTTATTCTAGTTTCTCCCAATGACTATGGGCATGCTATTACTGTGATAAAAAGAGAATATCGCTAAAGTGCCAAATTAACATATTTTGACGGGTATTGTTTGTGGATGTTGATGCTGCTCTTATTATTAGAATGTCTTTTATTGTTATATTAAATAATAGCTAGTTTTTCAAGACATATACGACAGTCATTGGCTTTCTTAAACTAATGTTTTATCTGGTCATTTTTACATTAAATACTAATACTTTTTCAGTTTTTTTTTTATAGAAAATAGTGTTTTCCAAAAACCACCATCATTTACTTCCTTTAATTCAATAGTCTATTTCCTATCTCATCTCCTTGTCCAGAATATGTCAAATAAAATAAATACTTTGAACCTCATTTTTGTATTATTGCCCCAAGTAAATAGGAATGTCACTATTAAACATTCCATTGGCTTTGGCTCAGCAATTTTTAAAAAATTATATTTAAATAATATTCACATATATATAGATATATATATATGTGTGTGTGTTTTATGTTTTGTTACAAGACTATGGCAGGCTGATAATGGTTGCCAGAAATATGTCCATATCCTAATCCTTGGAACCTATATGTTATCCTTTATGCTAAAGTTTTTGCAGGTGTGATTAAATCAAGGCTTTTGAGATAAGAGGATTATCCTGGATTATCTTGGTGGGTGCCAACTGCCATCACAAGTATCTTTATAAGAGACAGGCACAGGGAGATTAGACAGATAAGGAGGAGACAGTGATAAGACGACAGAGGCAGGGATTGAAGTGATGCAGCCGCAAGCCAAAGAAAGCCGACAGCCACAGCAAGCTAGAAGAGGCAAGGATGGATTATTTCCCCAAGCCTCCAGAGGAAGCACGGACCTGCTAAAACCTTGGCTTCAGGCTTCTAGCCTCCAGAACTGTGAGAGGAGAAATGTCTGTTGTTTTATACTGCCAAGATTGTGGCAATTTGTTACAGCAGCTGGGAATCTAATATTGAGATTACAATTGCAACATTTTTCTGATTACAGAAGTAATAGATGTACACTGCAATTGATTTGAGGTATACCACGTGATCCTACCACCAAGAAAGAACAACTGTTAACCCTAAAAATCGTGTTAAATGTTCTTCTTATTTTTAGGGGTATATAGGAGTATTTTTATCCTCTTAATGTTATTAAAAGCTGTGAACTCTAATCTGAAGTAGTTATTAATCCTTTAGGGGAATAATTGTAATGCCTCCCATACATACTCTAGGGGTGAGATGGTGAGATGTTTACAGGTAACCCAAGATTGGCATTGTTAGAAAAAGAATCTGGGAGCTGTAATGTGCTGTATTTATAGCATTTCTAATATTAATGTTGCCCTTGCCTTCCAAACAAACCATATTTGGTAATGGAATATTACACTTTTAATACACAATTCTATTGAGTCATATTAAAGATAGTTGTAGCAATAGTCACAAATGATATTGGCCCACACACTACAGTCTCTATTTGTGATACCTTTGTCATGGCTAGGTTATTTCAAAGATTATTTTAATATCTTGGAGGTAACAATAGTAGCCAATACATATCAAGAAGTCTTTTATTATGTTTCAAGCACTGTGTTAAGTGCTTGCCACTCTGCGTTGACTTCAATGCTTACAATAATCTTATAAATTCAATTGTTATATCCATTTCAAAGATTGAGAAGTACCTCAGCAGACTAAAATTCAACTCTGACAAGATTTTTGGATTGTTTTATTGTGTTTGGAGCATACCATGAGTTCAACTAGTAGTGTGTTTTGAGGCTTGTCTATATAACACCAAGTCTTAACAATCATGAAAAAGTCATTAAAATACCATTATCCCAATGCCCAGTATCTGAGGAAGGGTAGGGAATGAGCTTACACCCCTTCAGATGCTGGGCAACAGAACTCAATTTCTCACCTGTGGGTAGAGGGGAAAAAAGGGAATCACTGGTGTTCAAAATGTCTCAGCAAAAGTAGAGACTGAGGATGGGGCATACATTGATCAGCCAGTCTTCTTTGTTATAAACTCTTGCTCCCTACAGTCCAGTCAACAAATAGGAGTCAAAATGATATTTTAAAAATATGAGTCCAAGAGATCATGCTGGCCTAGGCTGAAAACTTCCCCGTCTCACAATAAAATGCACAACCCTCCTGTGGCTTACAGGCAGCTATGTAATCTGCTTACCTTTCTAATTTCACATGATAATATCTCTCACTCATACCAGAAACTCCAGGCACACAGTCCTCATTCTGCTTCAATGGGCCAAGTGAGTTCCTGCCTCAAGGTCTTTGCTCTTGCTGTCCCCTCCACCAGGAGCATTCTTTCCCAGCTTTTCACAAAGCTGCTTCTCCCCATACAGGGCTTAAATCAAATATTACCTACTCAGAGAGCCTCTTCTGATCATGCCATTAAGTTCCCTCCCAGTCTCCCTGGTATATCTATTCTCTCTTTCTCTTTCTCTCTCTCTCTTTCTCTCTCCCTCCCTCCTGATATGCAGGCACTCACTGATATTCTCATCACATCAACATGCTTTATATTCTCCATAACCCTTTTCACTATCTCCAATTATCTTATTTATCCATTTATGTACTCATCTACTCTGAATTATCCTGTTTACAGATATATCTTCAGTAAATATGTACCTGGCACATAGTATGAGCTTAATAAATATTTGTTGAACAAATAAATGGCTTTCTGAAATGTATAACAGTTTCAGAGATCTGATGTGAAACTTGATAAAAGGGGATAATAAATACAACCCCTAACTATAATAAAATTCCTAAATGTAAGCCATGAAATTAATACCGGGAAGGGGGGAACAGGAGGTACAGGGGAGGTGGTGTGGAAAATTTCTGCAGGAGAGCCAACTAGATAAAGCAAGCAAGGTCAGACTGTGCTCTTACTCTTTCTTCCAAATATTTCTTTGCCTTCAGGGGCTGGTCAAAGTCAAGAATGGTAAACTTAGGAAAAGAGATCTATTATTTTAATCTGAAGAAGCAGAAACGGAAGGTCAAATAATTTGACCAAAAAAGTTGATATGAGACAATCAGATTAAAACATGTGTTTTATGTTTTAAGACGTATTTTGGTCACCAATAAGGTCTGATTCTGTTCTTTCATTGGCAAGAGTAGAGAATAGTAGGAATAGCAGAAATCAAATAAAGAACCCTCCTATGGAGAACTAAGCTTCCATGCTCATCCATATCATGTCTTCCAGATTGGTTTCCTCTGGCTTAGTTTAGACCCCTTGGCGCTGAATTTAAATTGGTATCTGAGTCCAAGAATGACTAGTCCAGAGCTGGTTGCTGCTTGAGGTGTCTTGGCTGTTAGAAGGCCCATCTCTGCCCACTTTTAAATAATGCTTGAAACAGCTCCTTTTTCAGACATAATTTCTTTTTTAATCATTTTCAGATCCTGCAGGGGAACTTTAGAAAGAGACGTCTTTAGTTTGACTTTGAAGTATGTTTTTTGTTTTTGGCTAACTGCAAATTAGCAGACATTTTAACTGTTGATGTTTGTTATTATGGTTGTGTTTGGTGGTCTGTGTGGTTGCTCGGCAGAGTGAGAATAAATGCTCTGTGAATAAAACTCTGGTCCTTCAAAAAGACAGTATGGGTGCTATTCATATCTTCAGCTCAGTTTCAACCATACTTTGTCCTGCAAAACCCAAAACATATTTGGCCCTGGGCACTTTTTCCCTTGATTTTTAATCTTGAGAGCAATTTAAAGGAAATTTAATCCATATGTTTCTGATTCATTTGAATCGCAAAAACATTGGGTTTGAGAGTTATTTGACGTCCAAATGCCTTTTGAGACATTTTAATAAACTTTCCAAGTCTTATTGCTTTAAAAATACATACTCACGTTTTGCCAAGGGTGAATGAATTCAGGCTCCAAAAGATTTGGGTTGAATTTGAAATTCTGAACTTGTACATTATGACCATGTTACAATAAAATCTGTGTCTACTCAATACCCAAGCAGCCCAATAGAAAGGCAAAGTACTAGGTTGTCATCCAGATGTTGCATAACTTCTATTGCATGGCAAAACATCAACGAAACATCCAGATGGTTTACTGACTTTTCCCCTCTTTGTTCAGATGTTTGCTGTTACAGCATTAAGGACGTGGGCAGCAGCTGTCAATCCTGGCACACTATGAAAAATTTATTTTAAAAGAGTCTCTACATACATATGAGGATCACAGTGTTCATGGGATAGGGGTGGGGGTAAGGAATGAACCTGCTTTTCTTTTTAAAAGTGGGCGGAGTAAGTGACAAGACTCCGAGGGCTGAGAAAACAGACTATCCAAATGTGTTTGAGCATTCCTCAAGGAGAGTGGGGGAAACAGATGAGTGGTTTAGTCACATGTTTGCTACATTTTTCTAACTGAAAGGCATAAGTGGGTAAAAGGCAAAACCAATAAGAACAAAGGTCTTTGTGATCCTTTCTCTTAATAGATAAAAGATCTAGAAGTGCCATATTCAAAATAAAGGCAATTTCAGGTCTTTCATGAGATAAAGAAGTAAAATTAACAACAACAATTAACTTCTGCATAGGCATTTCAGGAGATAAGGAGAAATAATAATAATTCAAGTAATAATGATACTAACAACTAATCTTAAATAGATCTTTGATAGTCTATATATTATTTAATTACAATAAGAATTACTAATACCTAATTTATGTGACCATTTTTATAAGACACATACTGTTCTAACAGTTTTTTAGATGTTTACATTTAATCATCTCAACAATCTATGATGTGGGTATTATTATTTCTTTAAGCAGGACATTTGACTTAGTGGTTTTGGAGAACAAACCACAAGCTATACTCTCAACTAATGCAGATAGATCAATGGTCCTCAACCAGGGATGATCTTGTGTTCAAGGGAATATTTAGTAATGCATGGAGACATTTTGATTGTCACAGCTGGAGTTAGGAAGGAACGTTACTAGCATCTAATGAGTAAAGGCCAGGGATGCTGCTAAACACCCTACAACGTCCAAGATCAACACCCCCGCGGCCCCCTAAAACAAGAATTAACCAACCCCAAATGTCATTAGTGCTGAGGCTGACGAGGTACCCTGAGATACACAAAAGAACTGCAAAAGCTTTTGACATTCAAGTTTTAGGCTCTTTGCCACTGACTTCAAGCAGATTGGAATGGCAAAGCTTTTCAACACCTGGAACACCGCATTTTAGAGAAAGTAAAACTGCACTTAAGCAGTGGTTTCAAACTTGAGTGCACGTAAGAACCAACTGAAGCAATGGTTAAAACAAGAATTGCTGGACCCCACCCCCAGAACACCTGATTCAGAAAGTCTGGGATGGGGCCTGATATTTGTATTTCTAATGGGTGCCCAGATGATGTTGATGCTGCTGATTCATGGACCACATTTTAAGAACCACTGCCTTAGATCATAAAGGCTGGTATATAATCCTGAACCCCAGAAAAGAATGTGCCAAACCACTGCAGCTGCCCCCAACAAGCAGTTCTGCCCTGGTAAACCTAAAGCATGAAGAAGCATAGAAGACTACATGTTATTTGCAAACACTTCACTCTGCCCTAAAAAGGAGAGGAAATAGGCTGAGCTATGAATACCTAGGTCCTGTTCCCAAATTCATTAATAAGAAAGGCTGTCTGTCGCCCATGAGGAGGAGAGGAGCTTGTGAAAAGGTAGTGAAAGGGAAGAGAACAGGCCAGTTAGATCCACCACATGGAATGAGACTTCAGTACTGGGTAAAACCTGGTGCCCCCAAACAAGGCGAATCTCTCTTTAGTAATTAAAAAGGTCCTTCCTGAACACATGACTTGAAGTAGGTCCTCTCATCCTCCCTAAGCTAATCTCTAGCAACTCACGCAGTTTAATCTTCTTTAAAGTATTTCCTGTTATCTGAAATTATTTGATGTATTAATGTCTGCTCCCTTCCATCCCACACAGAATGTAATATTCGTGAAGATATGGACTTCATATCTCTTACTCACTGTGGTATCCTCAGCACCTAGAAGAGTATCTGGAACAGAATAGGCACTCTAGAGATATTAATTTATTGAAGGAATGATGGCAAAAACTTGTGGTTTCTTTTTTTTTTTTTGAGACGGAGACTTGCTCTGTCACCCAGGCTGGAGTGCAGTGGTGTGATCTTGGCTCACCGCAACTTCCACCTCCCAGATTCAAGGTATTCTCCTGCCTCAGCCTCCTGAGTAGGTGGAACTACAGGTGTGTGCCACCACGCCCAGCTAATTTTTTGCAGAGATGGGTTTTCACCGTGTTAGCCAGGATGGTCTTGAACTCCTGACCTCGTGATCCGCCCCCTCAGCCTCCCAAAGTGCTGGGATTACAAGCGTGGGGGTTTCTTCTTTTATCACCACAAAGTTTTTCCCTCCCCATGCCCCATCTCTTTCTCTCTCTCTCCTGACGGCCTGTGTCCTCTCTTCACCTCCCTCTTACCCCCATGGTCCTTTCCTTCCCTTTTCTCCCCATGGGATCCTCACGGGCTGAGACCCATGTGTTTCTCTGAGTGGTCGGAAAACTATAAACGCTAAGTATCCAGGAAGCCCAGGGCCACCTTGGAAATTTCTTTGAAGCCCCCATGGCACATTTCCAGGGAACATCATAAAATCCGCCTGGAAAAAAGAAAGCCTATACAGTAGCCCAGAGCACTCAGAAGTTGTAACAATCACGGCAACAACTACCACAACAATAATATCAAAAACAACAATAATAGCAGCTGACAGTTACTGGGTCCTTACATTTCAACTGGTCCCCACAAGAACCCATTGGGTTAACTACAATTATTTTCCTTACTATTCAGAGAAAGAAATTGAGGCTCAGACGGGTTCGGGAGCTCTCCCAAAAATAAGCCACGGGTACATGGAAAACTTGGGTTTTGAATTCAGGCTTCTGCTTCCAAGGTCTGTGTTTTTAGCCAAAACAGCAGATCAATAAATAGTTGCTGATTGATTGATTGATTGATTGATTGATTCAAGAAGAATTCCAGGTTGAGGGTTGTCACCATCTGTCCTCACCTATCATTAGGTTGCCATGTGAAATGAAGATTATTTGTCTTTCTGGAGCCAGTTCTTGTCATTGATCTCTCAGTAAAACTCCTGTCTTACCCGTCATATTAATGTTATTTTCGCTACTAAAAGTTTGCAAGCAACAAATAAGTACTTGACTCCAATTACACCACCAAAAAAGAGGCCGTCTCCATAGAAGACTATGAATTCCACAGCTTTCAGAAGCCTAAATGAAATTTTCAATGTAAGAAGAAAAGACAACTAAATTCAGCCCTACAGACATCTTTGTCCATGTAGCTTCCCAGGGAACCAGAAAGCAACAGGACCATGTGAGTTGGAAAGCTAACTTTTCTCCTTGTCATTTGATTTAGATTTTCCAGGAGATCTATAACCTGATGGCCTAGGTTACTGGATTATGGCACAGAGGGATTGGTAAGATTGACCTTCAGATAAGAGCAAGAGGGAAGCCCAGTGTAGTATGGACCTCAATCTTGTCTTTATTGGATACTTGGTCTGACATGATTTGAATGGAGAAGGTAGTCTGTGTTAAACATATAAAGAGCATAAATTTTGGAAGGACCAACAACCTAACCCCTCCCTGACCTATCCACTTCCTGGTCGTCTCTTCTCCATAGATCTTCCCTGGCCTATGGCTCTTCTCCCTCTTCCATGGGCTTTCACTGTAGTATTTGCCCACTTGCTTCCTTTCTTTCATTCATAGCAATCTTTCCTACACCATTTTCTTCCTAGCCCCACCAGATAAAAAGACCTTGTTAGCTAGAGTTTCTGTAACTGGTTTGGTAAAACTTTGGTTACAGAGCCTAAATATTCTTAAAGATTATGCTGTTGCTATTCTGTTTTGTTTCCTCACCACTGTTCTACCACCTGCTCCTGGATGATCTCATCCATTCCTACTATTTTAACATTCACTGAGTTCCTGAGAATGTCCAGATCCCAATCTCCAGATCTCTGTGGTGAGCTGCAGATTCCTAAAACAAGCAACTGGTGCCTCAAATGCACTGCACGTGCACCATCATGTCACATTCTGCCAACCTCCCCTCTCATGCTGCTCCTCCTTTGTTCTTGAAATCAGCCAATGGAACCAATATTTATCTAGTCAATCTAGTCATTTGAGCCAAAATCTGGGAATCACCCTCATTTTCCCTTTCACTGAATCTCAACTTCAATCAGTCACCTCACCCTGCTGACTTTTCCACATGACCCCTCAACCTCCCTCCTCTCCTCCATCCTCATCTTCTTTACCTCAGAGGAAACCACCATTATCTCATCCCTGGACCACTACATTTCTCTCCTAACTGGACTGCTCTTTCCTCTTCACATCTATCCTCAGAGTGGTTATCAGAGCATTTTACTTAAAATAATCCTTACCTTGATATTTGACTGTCTAAAAACTTCCAATGATTTCTTATTTTTTTCTAAAACAAATTCCAAGCTTCTTAATATGTTGCATAATGCTGTCTATAATCACAAACCTTCTAACTCCATGACCTCTTGCTGAAGGTTCTCCCATTTCTCATGTTCCAGCAATACTGAACTTCCCAGTTTTCTGGATACTGTATAGTATTCATACATCAGTGTCTTTGTTTATGCTCATTTATTAACCAGGAACATACTTCTCTTCTTTTTTCCCTTGATTGTCCTCACAACTCTCAGGATTCAGATTTCGAATCACCTCTTTCTAGAAGCTTCTATAGGTGCTTTCCCACCAGTTGGGTTAAATGACCCTCTTTTGGTTTCTTGTTATAGTCTATGCCTTTCTAAATCCCAGAATTTACCACATGGTATAATAATTTACTGTCTATTTATTATTTCCATAATACAATGAGCTTCTACAAAGAAAGGAATGTGAATTTATTTATAGATTCCCAGGCCTCTCACAATTGCCTCATGGTCAAGAGCATAAATTTTGGAACCAGAAAAACAAGGATTTGAAACCTGGTTTTGCTGCTAACTGCTTTGATGATGGATTTTGCATCTTCATCTTTAGCCTTCTGATTCCCCATCTTCAAAGTAGAGATATGAATAGTCCTTAGCTTAGTGTGTTATTATGAGGATTCAATGAGAAATGCATGTGATATAATTTTCACAATCCCTGGCACGTGGTAACTATCAGCTATTAAATATTTCATAAATGATTCATATGATTGTGATAAACATTTTGAACTGAACTTTGGATTGATCTATTTAAAGTAGTAATGTCTTTCATGAGAGACAAATTTTGCACACCCACTAGAAAGCCCGGTCATGTCCTAATGGGCAACCATGAGTCCATGTGCACTTTGGGCCTCTTATCCTCCTGGGAGAAATGATACAAAGAATTAGGCATCATTCAGGTCTCTGATCCAGTGTGGTTTCTGCAAAGAGGCCTCCCTGACTCCCCCATCTAAAATTGCAACCCTTGGCATTTGCACTCTTTCCTCAGCTTTGTTTTTTCTTCATTTACTTATCACCACCTGAAATTAGATACTATCCTTAATTACTAACTTGTAGTTGTCTACCTCCCCAGCTAGAATGTCCATAAAAGCAAAGGCTCTGTCTCATTCTTTGTGTTTCTTCATAATCCACAAAAAAATAGTGTCTGGTATACAGCAGGGACTCAATAATATTTTTTGAGTAAATGAATACATCAATATTTGTTCAGCTTTTTAGTTTCAGGACTGTTTAAAAGATGTAAACATCTTTTAAAAAGTGTTGAATACTCCAAGGAGCTTGCGTTTACGTGAATTATAGCTATTGATATGTACCATATTAAAAATTAGAACTGATAAATGCTTTAAACCCAAGAATATTCATTTACACATCCCACTCACCACCAGAACAATGATGTCATGATATGTGGGATAACTTTTGGAAACTCCACTACGTGTTTGTGAAAGAAAGAACGGGAAAATTAACACCCTAATCTCCTCAAGAAATTAGTTTTGACTGCACAGACTCCTGAAAGGGTCTGGACCACACTTTGAGAACTGATAGAATAAATAAGCAGCCTAGAAAAGGATAAAACTTGATCAACTTGATCAAAATAGTTCTGGGGATCCTCTGGTCATTGCCTGCAGGAAGAGCTACTTTTGAATCGAGCACCCAGAGGCTGCCAGCTCTGAGCAATGTTCCAGATTGCCAGAGCATAACAAATGAAGATTTGTTTTGAGGCAGGATACAAAGGAATCCATACATCAGTGTGGCAAGAAGAGCCAGGACAGTCAAGGCAGGTTTAACATGTGCATGATGGCTGATTAGCAGACATAGGTAGTGTCTTCAGTGACAGGACGACGCGGGGTTGGGGAGGGGAAGCAGGGATGAGGATGGGAGAATGAAGCTGAAGCTAGAGAAATTCATTGACCACCAAGGGGAGCACCTGAGGTAACCACCATATCCTCAGGAAAACAGAGGGGCCATAGATAGGGAAGAGGGTCCCCGGTGATCACAGTGGGGTAGGCTAAGAACCAAACCACCTACCCACTGCATTTTGTATTGCTACTGGACATTCTGGAAAGGTGGCTGCTCAGTCTTTCTACATTTCCTATTTAGGTGACTCAAAACAATTGAACTGGCCAAAGTATGAAATCCAGAGACAAGCCTGAGCATATCTAGGATGTGAGATTCTGTGGAGGAGACAGTGGACTAGGGAGAGAGGCCAGAATTGGGGTTAAGAAGGACAGAGCACAAACCCACCAGAACAAGAGCCTCAGTGTCCTTACCACATTTATGGATGCGGAGGCATCCACACCCATGAGAAGGCAAAGAAACCTCCATCCATTTTAAAGAGACTCAGTAACTTGAGACAGGGGACCAGGCTGACAAATAGGGACAGATGGCTCCTGTTGAGGCCAAAAAATTGTGATAAACAGAAAAAACAAAACAAAAAACAAAAACAACAAAAAACAACTTTGATAGAAAAGTAACATTCCCTCTCAAAGAGATGTGACTGAGGCAAGAAACAGGCTTTCTGGAAGAAAATTGTTTCCAAAATTTAAAAATTTAATAGAAAATTTGAAAAAGTGAAGAGTCACTCCTGAGAGTTAGTGATGGAAAGACCAATTAGAAGAAACATCTTACAAATCAGTCCAAACATAAATGCATAAATGCATAAGAATTAAAGTTTTAAAAGGAGATTCAAGGGTGAGCCAATAAGGGACTTAAAGGATGAATTCAGGAGATTTAAGTAATTACTAGGAGACCCAGAAGAAGACAGGAAAATGAATGGGAGAAAAGTAATCAAATAATAGAAGAAAACTGTGAATTAGAGGACAGGCTGGTTTGGTCTTCAGATTGAAAGGGTTCACTGAGCCCCAGGCAGAACTAATGAAAAAAGACATACACCCTAGGTATCTTGTGAAATTTCCAAACTTCAAAGGTAAAGAGAGATCCTTACAAGTTTTCAGAAAGAAAACAAGATTTTTAAATGATTTTTACCCATAGCCCTCAGGCTGGACTAGCTTGGGAGAGCAAATGTTAATCATTTAACTAGCTGTAACCAGAGTTGGCATAGAACATGGCTAAAGGATCAGACAAATAAAATTTAGGAAAGCAAAAGAAGCAGAAGGCTGCACAGGAACAGGCCTTTGCAGCAGAGTTCACTTACTCTTACAAAAGAGCAAGCACTAGGATCACTGGGCAGCTTTTCTAAGACAGTGTGTGCCCTTGGGGTCATGACTCCCCATTTGGGGATCATTGCTTGATGAGCCACAGTTACTTATGGGAGCGTTTTCCTGTATGCATATTTTTATTCATTTATTCATTCCACTTGTGTTCATTGAGTAGCTACTATGTTCCAGGCAATGGGGAATAGACTCTAGGGATGGAGCTGTGAACAAGACAGACCAGGTCCCTGCCTTTATTGAGTTTATATTATAGTAGAAGAGACAAATAAGCAAATAAATACATTATCAGACAAGAACATTAAAGACTGAGATCAATATCAATAGTATCTAGGAAATAAACAGTGATGTTGAAGAACAAACACAGGGCTATCGATATAGAACAAGAAAGCCAGAGAAGCGGCAGCATTAGCAGAGTCCTGAAGGACAGGAATAAATCAAGGAAGGGAAGAGCAAGTGTCAAAGGTCTCCAAGCAAGAAAGAACAGCAAGAGAAAACAAGGAAGGTTTTAGTGCATGTAAGAACATAAAGAAGACGCTTGTGGTTAGACAGCAAGGAGTAGGGTGGATGAAGATGAAGACAGTGGACAGTGACAAGATGCCCTAATGAGCAGGAGAGAGTCAAGATCTAGGCTACAGAGGGCCAGCAACTTGTGGGCCTGGGATCTTCATGGCTGGCAGAGGGTGTCTGTCCTTCTCCAGGCTCCATCCTGAATCAGGTCCAGGACTCGGGGTGGGAAACTCAGCAGTGGGAGTGGAGGCTGCCTCTGGTGGCTGTCACACCTGGTGGGCTGGGGAAGCTGTCATTACAGAGCATTAGCATAAGAAAGGGAGGCTCCCTGTGTTTGGGCTTGTCACCCTGCAGTGACAGGGTGCACAAATGTGGGCAGGCATGGGGAACAGAGGCCATCAGCGTCTGCACTGACAATGTTGGGTACCACAGCTGTCACTGCTGGGGCTGGCCCGCCCCCGACTACCCACGCTGCCATTAGAAACTGCAGCTACTCGCCCACTGCTTTTATTTCCACACAATGTGTCAATTGTTACTTGGCAGGTCTTTGCTGAGAGACAGGGGCGGGGCACACCTGCTCACTGGGGCAGAAGAGTATGCAGGCATCCCCCTCTCTCCTTTCCAGGATCTGGAGTTTCTCCATCTGCTTCCCAGGAGGCTCAGCCCTGTGTGCCATGAGCTTAGAACCACAAGAAGAAAGTTCCTTGACCTCAGCTCCCACTTCCTGGTTTGCCTACTGAGACTAAAACACAGAGGCAAATAAATACTAATTAAATGGGACAAAAGATGATTCAAGAAATGAGTTTGTTTATAAAAGAAACTTTCAAATGGCTCAAAAAATCAGGTTGTGTTTTGTTTGTTTATGTCAAGGCTTCCCTTTGCATCTAGCAAAAAAAGAATAATACTGTTGTAAGGAAGAAATTGGACAATGATGTCTCATATCATATGAATCTGGAAAAGGACAGAACATAATAAATATGGATGGAGAGAGCCAATATTTACTGAGAACTGACTGCAACCAACAATAGCAAACAAACTACAAGTTGAGCATCCCAAATCCAATAATCTGAAATCCAAAATGCTCCAAACTCCAACATGATACTCAAAGGAAATGCTCATTGGAGCATAAGTATTAATATCATGCAGATATTCTAAAACCTGACAAAAATATGAAATGTGAAACCCTTCTGGTCCCAAGCATTTCAGATAAGAGTTACTCAACCCCCACTGGAGGTCACAGTAAGTGAGTTGCAGAGCAAAGCCATCAACCTAAGTTGTCTGATTCCAAAGCTTTGCTCCCCATTGAACCCTTAGGATGACCCAGAGAGCTAGGAGTTAAGGATTAAGAAACGGATCAAGTGAGGTTAAGCAGCTAGTGCTAGGATTCAAACCAGACCATTCTCTTTCACTTTTCCTGGCGACCTCTTGATACTTCATTTTGTAACCACTGCTTAAGGGCCCAGCTTCCCTGTGGCCAGCTTCCCATTTTGGATCTTTGATTTTGCTTATGTGTGCGTCTTCCAGTTGTTTGACAATAAGCAGATGTCAGCCTCAGGATGCAAGGTGCAAGTGCAGGCAAGAACTGGAACTCCAGCTTAAACCACCATGCATTCATCAATTCTATAAGCCACCCCACTTTTTCTGAGGCTCACACTCATTTCGTTTGCAAGACAAAAGCATTGAGGCATGGAGAGGGGACACACAATTTTGTGCTTGCAAAATTCACAGAGTAGCGGAACTGGAAGCCTCCCTTTGGGACCACACAATGCAACCCCCTCATTTTACAGCTGAGGAAACAGGACCCCGAGGTTAAGTAACTGCTCCAAGGTCACACAACCCATTAACGGCAGAACCCAGATGGGAATCCCCAGACCCTAGCTCTGGGCCTGAGGAAGCAAGCCAGCCGAGTGAAAAAACAGATGCAAGTGCTTGTGTGTGTGCCTCTGGGATCTGGGTCTGGGTGGCATCCATGGAAACCACCCTTTAAGGCACTGCCTCAAGCTTGTCTCACGCCTTCTGACTGCAATACCCTGCCCAGTGCTGGCTCATAAAGGGCATTCACTGGGAAGCTACCGCTGGTCAGGTATCCACAGAAGCTCAAAGATGTGGGGACTGACTGTAGCCGGCAGAGTCCCGGAAGGTAGCCTTTAGAGTTCCAATTCCTGGAAACTTTAGAGTTCTCCGCAGACCTCCAATTGCCAACAGCCACTCACATTTATTGAAAGTTTGACAATCCAACATATTGTGATTTTCCCTAAAGGAGAGGAGAAATGTATGAGCAAATACATTTGTAAAATGTGGGTTTAATCAAAGTGGGTTTTTCTTTCCTTATGGTGATTGTAAGACTTCTCAGAGCCTCTAATATATGATTACCATTTTTGTTCCTCAGAAGAGAAGAGGGTATGCACCATCTCCCTAAGTTTTCTGTCCATGGGCCTCCTTTTATTTTCTTCCAAAATCTGTTGAAGGCTGTTCTGAGGACCACTTTGAGTGGATCTTGAACTATACCAAGAGGGCAGATGTAAGAGCAGACTGGAATTCAGGGGCCTTGTTAGAGGCCCAGTCTCAACCCAAAGATACTGGCACTCACGTTTATGTAAAACCGAAAAACAACAACAAAACAATGAATGTGAGACCCAATCTGCTATATTCTGAAGCTCATGTGGACCTCTTAGGTTGGGATGAGCCCTTAAATACTTGGGACTTTTTCTACTTGAGTCTTTGGGTTGGTGGACAACTGGCTAGAGAATTCTAGGGAAAACAGAAGTAGCTATGAGTACCTTGCTGCAGCCATTGGGTTCTAAGACAAGAGAATC
This sequence comes from Homo sapiens, assembly GCF_000001405.40. Lineage (NCBI taxonomy): Eukaryota > Metazoa > Chordata > Mammalia > Primates > Hominidae > Homo > Homo sapiens. The sequence goes on along the minus strand of NC_000020.11, from coordinate 39,451,702 downwards.
TACACACAATATCCATAGGACTTGGGGCTACTAATGCTTAGCCTCCTGTAAGAAAGATTGAGACAGAGCAGAGCTCACTGCAAAGGCACCCCTCCCCACCAAAAACCCACTCTTCCCCTTTTCATTTCCTTTCTGATTGGGTGGATTCTGTTGCTATCAAGGTAGGGCTGAAGACAAAATTGCAGACTCTGACTCAGGTCACTGCATGAGTCTGGAATTGCAAGAGTTAAATGCCATGTGCCCTCAAGCTAATGTGTAGAGAATAACACTGATCACACTTTATAAATATGCATAGTTCTCTAGTTGTGCTAATAACACTTATGGCATGAAGCTACTCAATATAGAGACACAAAGAAGTAAGCCCACATTCTGAGTCCCATCCTACCCCCAGCAAAAGCATGATGTGTTTAGGGAAGAGGTCTCCTAGTAAACACCAACATGCTATTATTTAAACATTTTGCTTACAGCCTCCTAAGTCCTACAATCATAGTATTTCTAAGGACAGGTTTGACAAAAAGAATCAAGACATCTGGCCTGGGGTGGTGGCTCACACCTGTAATCCCAGCACCTTGGGAGGCCAAGGCGGGCAGATCACCTGAGGTCAGGAGTTTGAGACCAGCCTGTGGCCAACATGGTGAAACCCCGTCTCTACTAAAAATACAAAAAGTAGCCGGGCATGGTGGCATGTGGCTGTAATCCCAGCTACTCAGGAGGCTGAGGCAGGAGAATTGCTTAAACTTGGGAGGTGGAGGTTGCAGTGCCCCAAGATCTCACTACTCCACTCCAGCCTGGGTGACAGAGTGAGATTCCATCTCAAAAAAAAAAAAAAAAAAAAAAAAAAGAATCGAGACATCAACACAAACAAGATGGAGGACAACCACACTGCCCATAAAGAGAAGCAGTTTGGGGAAAAAAACAGGGGTAGTAGGATAACAAATTCAGCCTTTCATTGTAGGTTTCTATGAATTTAGTTTCTTTTTCTTACCAACCTGGAAGCTCTGGAGGGCAAGGACTCTCTTACTCATTGTGATATTCCCACTGTGCCCGAATAGTGTCTTGCACATGGAAGGCACTCAATAAATATTTGTTTAATGACGGAACTGAGATCCAAATGAAGACAATCCAAGCAGTGAGTTCCATTTCACCGGTGATTGACTCAGCAGTAGGAAGGAGAATGGAATGAGCACAAAGTATATATCCAATTCACTGGCTCCTAATAATTGGAGTTACCTGGGTACATTGGTATATAGTACAAGATCCTTAGTTGTTCAGAGCATAAGCTGGACTGAACAAGGCAAATACTCACATTTGTTTACCAAGGGACTTATTCTCCAGTCAGATCCTGCTTTCCCCAGCATAGTTTAGAAATAGGCACTGAAGACCCTTCTTTAGAAGGCTCTGCTCTGGTCTAGTCCTGATTGGAAAGTGTAAAAATCATCCACTCCTCAACATTGATTCTCATCAGTTAATGGAGTGTGAGTAGACTTGTAACATATAAGCTTGGTGAAGAGCTACTCTTGTGCGCTGAACATTCTCTCTTTTCCCCTCTAAATCCATTATTTGCTCTTCTTTGCCCTGCTCTGTGCTCTGGGATGTCGACCTTTATGGACTACACCAATGGGATTTTTTTTCTCTCTGACTTTCAGTAGGAGTTGGTCAATGGAGGTCACCAACAGATAAATGGAGGGTAGGAGAGGAGCGAGGTTGTGATATTTATTCCACCAAGTCCTCTCTGCTGGGCCATTGTTTAGCAGTGGCTGTGTTCCTCTACAGAAAGTAACAATTGCCATCTCTTGATCCTCCTACAGCTACAACTATGTCTCTGATTTCCATTAACAGCCATTAACCCTGTGCGTCTTCAGCCTAGGGATCACAGTGACTCCGACCTATTGCCAGCCCCTAGCTGCTTTACCATCATTTTAGGTATCCCCCACCCCTGTTGATAGTCCTATAAATAGTTCTTTAAACTCTCCCTTACTACCCCCATCTGAGTATTCTATCCATTTCAAAAAGGACACGGACTATACACAGAAGGGCCACAGAGTAGTAGCCTTTCTCATTTCATCATATATACACAGTCTACATAACGGAGACTATTTTTAGTTATTTAATTTTTCTACTGGAAATAGAATTGTATTATAAACACTAACTTCACCCCCTTCACCACCAAACATGGGCCATCTATCTTCTCATTTTGTCATGCAGTCTTAGCATGTGAAGTCTCAGTTGCTGATTTCCTGATACCATGATGCTGTGCTTGGCTGACCTCAACCATCACCCAATACTTACACTTCTCCTGCAGTGCTTTTCCCACAGGGTTCAAGTTCTTTAAAATTGACATCTTTACACTATTGATCTTACTCTCCATGAACACATGTCTCTCTCTTGAATTTTCTTCTATGACCTTTAGTAAAGCATTATAATTTTTCCCTAAAGTATTGCACATTGTATTCCTAAGCCATGTATAGTTTTGCTAATATTACAGATAATATGTATTTTTATACTACATTTTCTAATTGTTCATGATGTATATAAACTTTTTTAATACTCTGATTTTGTATACAGCAATATTACTAATCTCTCTTATTAGTTGTAATGATTATAAGTAGATTATCTTTCTATATGAACAATCATATTGCTTAAAAATAATGACCTTTTGTCTTTTTCTTTTCAATCCTCATACCTGTGATTACTTTACATACTGTTATTGTGTTGGTTGAAGCTTCCAATATAGTTTTAGACAAAAGTGACAATGATAGGCATCTATACCTTATTCTTAACCTTAAAAAATGCTTCTATGTCTATTCAATTAATTATAATGCTTGCTGTCACTTTTCAGAAGATATTCTTTATCAAGTTAAGAAATTATTTTCCATATTAATCTACAGGGTTTTTATCTTAACACAAAGAAAAGATGAATCATTTTATCAAATTCCATTTCTACATTTATTTTTATTATAAAATTTTTTTCTCCTTTTTAAAGTGTTAATGTAGTAAATTACATCGAGACATTCTCAAACATCTTTCTATATCTGGCATATAATCTTAGTTGGCCATTTTTGTCACCTTAATGTGCTCATCCCATTCACAGGTGATACAAAATTTGAAGCAGCAGTAAACAAGGTGAATAATTAGCATTAATCTCCGAGTATCTTCATCATTGTACTTTTAGTACTTGGCACATAAATGGGTGCTTGATACATAGTTGAATGAATGAATGAATGAATGAATGAACAAATAAATTAAAATTGAGATGAATCATTCGTCTCAATTTTATTGTAGTAGAGATGATCTATTCTTCCAACTCACTAAAAATGGAGAATGGATCATCTCTAATACAATAAAATAATATGATAGAAATGAACATTACTGCACCTAAGTCCATAAAGCCAGCTATGAAGTTTCAGGATGGGAAAACATGGCTAAAGAAAAATATGACTAAAGTAGCCGAGGAACCTAAGTTGATAGTAAGCTCACTGTAGGACAACCACATGATGAGGAAGCTGAACAGTAAATTCAACCTTGCTGCATTTACAGCGTCTACAGCTATGTGGCCATCTATGTCTTTGAGACGAGTATCTTGTGTTGACCAGAAAGCCCTAGAGCATTCTATTCACATTTCACATGAGCTGTTGCTAACATCCAGAATCAGTTTGGGGTAGATGAAGGAAACCATGACAAAGGAAAATAAGAGAAGGAATCATTGCTGTTTTACAGGGAGTTCATAAGACTTAGGATCAGAAGTTTTTTGGTTTTTTTTTTGGTAGCTTTATTGAGATAATTAGCACCATCCAACAGAAGAGGAATTAGATATTGCTATAGAATTCCAAAAGGTCAATAAGACTACTTAACGGGGAAACTGGATTTGTTTAATATAATGAAAACCTCTTAGATAAGTGAAGTGCTTGATAATTAACTAAATTACCTTACAAGGTAAGAGTTCTGCTATATTAGGTGTGCACTATTTACGGATGGACTGCGATCTATCCAAGATGTTATAGAGAAAAGGCAGTTCCAGCATAGACTCTGAGAATAACTGCTCAGGCCCCTACAAATTCCAAAGTTATGTGATCTACAAATAGTAGTTAGTGCCATGAATCTACAGATCACATATGAAGCAAACAAATGAAAAGTTCTTATCAGCATGGACTTGGTGTAATGTCTCAGCCATGGCTTGTTGGATATTTAACATATTTGGTGGCAAAAAATACTGCATCTGATCCAAAAATATCATCTGCCTGCATTGTTGTAACAATGGAAATTTTACTCCAAACCATTTTCTAGTGCAGAGGCAAAAAACTTTCAGCTCGAGGGATATATTCAGCCCACAGAAATTTTGTTTGGCCTTTACCGTGTGTGTGTGTGTGTGTGTGTGTGTGTGTACACTTAAAAATCAGGAAATTACATGTATAAATCCTGAATTCCAGCTTCTCTTGAAAAATTAGGCAGTTTGGCAACACTGGGTTTGTATTATCATACATCAAGAATAAGTTCATGCTAATAACCATAGTACCCTCTAGACAAGGTATCCATGGTCCAGGTGAGCAGTCTCCACCATATTCCGTGTCTTACCCCTGGACAACACCATTCAATGTCCCTTCTCACCAGAAAGAATATGAATTTGGAACCTGAAAGACGTATAGCAAGTAATTAAAACAAAATGATAAGTATTTTAAAGGATGTACAAATTGATATGGGAATACATAGATTTACCATCTAACCTTACCTAGAGGAGTTCAGGAAATCAACCCAAAAGCAGTGACATGAAAGTGAAGAATGAGAAGAATTTGATCAGGCCCAGAATGAATAAATGATATTAAGACTTAACAGGTAGAACACACTCACAGAAGCATAAAAGATATGTTGGGGCATTGGTTCAAAGCTCAGTATGCCTGAAGCACAGGGTTCATGGCAGAAGATGGGGCAAAGGAAGTAAATAGGCAAAAGATTGTGAAGAATCTTGGGCACAAAGTTTAGGAGTTTGTATTTTTATCCTTGGTGTGAAAAGGAGTCATTCAAGGACTTGAAGCATGAGAATGATATTGTCAAATGGTTTTCTAAAATACCACCGTGGGATTTCCCTCTCCAGCCCTAACACAGTAATCAGTACCAGACTTGACCTCTTGTGATAAGTAAGCATGAAACGGAGGCATAGCTGAGGCAGTTGTTTCCAGACATTGGCCTATAGGCAGGGGAAACATAGGAAGAGAAGTCTAAATCCATCTCTGATCCTTGTCTTTGAAAAATTTCCTAACCATGGCACACATAGGTAGCAAGCTTTAGCAGAGCAGGATGGTCCTACTGAATGGGAGAGGCAGCCACCGAAATTCAGAAAGAGGCAGCTACTGAAATTAACTGAACCAGTTAGACTGTGTGCAGCATGGTAATAGAGTGAAGGAACTCCAGAAGTCTGAGTGGGAGTGTCCTGCAGGTCCTTGGCTAGGAGTTCAGGTGAAAAAGTACAGAGCAAGGCTCCATGGGACCTAGCAGAAAGTAGCTGCCAATGGGTTGAGAGTGGAACAGAAATACTAGAGTTCACCCAGTGCTTACAGATGGTATTTCAGTCCAGCCAGAGTACAGAGCCCTCATTAATACCCTAGATATTTAACTGACACACCAGAAAGACTACAAGCCCATGGCCTCCTTTTGCATGGCCCACAAGCTAAGAATGGAGTTTACATTTTTAAAGGATCATAAAATAAAATGAGTAAGAATATGTGGCAGATACCATATGTAGCCCACAGAGCCTAAAATATTTACTATCTGGTCCTTTACCGAAGCTTGCCAACTCTTACCCTAGAGTAAGGGCTATTCTGGACCCACTTAATAAAGCTGAAAACCAAGACTCAGTAAGATCAAGGAGAACCACCAGTCCATTAACTTCCTGCCAGAACAAAAGTCAACCCTCTTTAAAGGAAGACAACACGATCCAACTTCTATTGAGTAATCCACAATATTCAGCATATAATAAAAAATTACCAGACATGTGAAGAAGCAGGAAAGCTGGACAATACTAGACAATAATAAATACAAAAAGACCTCATTTAAGATGCTAACATTAGCAGGAAAAGATCCATAAATATATTCAATAATTTAAAGGAAACCGAGGAAACAAATGGGGAACATCAGAGAAAGAAAAATGAAAACTATGAAACAGAATGAAATAGAGATCCAAAAGCAGAAAATTCATCTGAAATGAAAAAAATAACTTGATGGGCTCATCAGCAAACTGGAGATTACAGAAAAAAGGCTCAGTAAACTTGAAGACAAATTCTTAGAAATTATCCAATTTAAAGAGGAGAAAAAAGATTGAAAAATGTATCAAGGTAGCAACAATAGACACTAGGGACTATAGGAGTGGGGAACAGTGAGGGGTGAGGCTTGAAAAATTACTGGGTATGCTCAGTACCTAAGTGATGACATCATTTGTACCCCAAACCTCAGCATTATGCAATATACCCATGTAACAAACCTACACATGTACCCCTTGGATCTAAAATGAAAGTTGAAATTACTTTTTTAAACAAAAAATGTATCAGAGTTTCAGTGACCTACAGGACAATATGAAATTGTCCAACACATGTGTAACCGGATTTCAAGAGGGACAGGAGAGAGAAAAAGAAGCATAAAATATATTTAAAGAAATAATGGACTTTTTAAATAAAGAATACTCTGATAAATGTAAAAGGGATAGTCTAGGCAGAAAAGATCAAAAGTTACACCTAAAACTGAGCCATGATAATGATAACAAAAAGAAAATGGGTTTAAGAAAGAAACTTGGCACGGTGGCTCACGCCTATAATCCCAGCACTTTGGGAGGCTGAGGCAGGTGGATCACTTGAGATCAGGAGCTCAAGACCAGCCTGGCCAACATGATGAAACCCTGTCTCTACTAAAAATACAAAAATTCAAAAATTAGCTGGACATGGTGGCCTGCACCTGTAGTCCCAGCTACTCGGGAGGCTGAGGTGGGAGAATCACTTGAACCCAGGAGATGGAGGTTGCAGTGAGTGAAGATCCAAGATCGCACCACTGCACTCCAGCCTGGGACAGAGAGTGAGACTCTGTCTCAAAAAAAAAAAAAAAAAAAAAAAAAAGATAAACTTGCTATTAAGTCAATTAGATGTTTTACCTTTATATAAAACATGCTATGAAAAAAATTCAAGAGGAAAGAGAATTAGCCTAACCATAAAAATGCCTTTAAAATCCCTTTAAAAGTGTATATATACCATATATACAATGTGTATTATATATGTGTGAACTATTACATATATACATATACATGTATATGCACACACACACATACACACAGAGCAGGAAACAAGGAATATGCAACACAACAGGAAAAAAAAAACATTAACTATAGTCAGTCCCAATCCCATCAGAAATAGAAGCTTTGCAAGTCTTCAGCAACTAATCAATGTGGTAATATAAATTTGCTTTTGACAGCTAAGAACAGTTCTATTAAAAAGCCTACTATTAGATACTTATTTTGCATTTCTAATAAGCCTAAGCCCTATAGCCAGAAATACTTTGGCTCTGGCTGAAGGAGCTGGAAAGGGAGTAAAGAAGGAACTTCATTTTACCCTCTGATCAGTAGACACCTGAACCTTGAGAACAACCACATAGGCCAGAGAATTTCTAATTGAAGTTGCCTATATTTCCCTAGAGACACTCATGACCACACCCAGAGAGGACTTGAATTCCTGAACTCTTTAAGAGGTGACATGATTTTTCAATGATAATTGTTATTGCACTTCTACTTTTTTAAAAACAATAAATTTGTAAGAGGAATATCTCTTAAAATTCCTTAAATCTAATGAATCGGTTTTATTTCTCTTCCTTTTAAGTGCTGTATAAGCAGTTATAAAGTCAACATAGTTTTAACTATCAAATATGAGTATAGATTTAGGTTATTTTTTTCCATTAAGCATATAACCTAGTTTTTATTTTTTATTTTGCTATTGTTTACAAAACACCTTTTATAGTTGTGAAATCATTACTATGAACTAAATCAGAAGTTGGCAAACTTTCTTAAGGAGCTATTTGATAGATGTTTTAGGCTTTGCAGATCATGCTCTCTCTGTAACAAACACCCAACTCTGTTATTGTAGCATAAAAGCAACCATAGACAATTGGTATCAAATGGGTACGGTTGTGTTTCAATAAAGCTTTATTTATAAAAGAAGCAGCAGGACAAAAGCTGTATTTTTCAAACACCTATTCCAAATGTGTCCTCTCTTCCAGACATTGTACTATCTGCTTTATATGTATATTTCATTAGTTATTTACAATAACTTTGTGAAGAAGGAATAATTAGTTCTATTTTATATAATACAAAAGGAAATATGCTTAACAAATTTATAACTTACCCAGGTACGTACAGGAGTCAGAATTTGAGCCCAGGTCTATCTGATTTTGTGCTCTGCTGTGGTTTGAATGTGTCTCTTCCAAAACTCAGGTGTGCCTAATGTGCTTCTGTTAACAGGTGGGACCTGTAAGAGGTAATTGGCCATGAGGGCTCCTCCCTAGTGAATGGGATTAGATGCCCTCATGAGAGGGCTCGACTGAGGGATTTTATCCTGCTTGCCCTTCTGCATTTTGCCATGTGAGGACACAATGTTTCTCCCCTCTGAAGGATGCAGCAATAAGGTGCCATCTTGGAAGCAGAGAGCAACCCTCACCAGACAACCAAATCTGCTAGTGCCTTGATCATGGACTTCCCAGCCTCCAGAACTGTGGTAAAATAAATTTCTGTTCTTTATACATTCCTCAGTCTGTAGTATTCTGTTATAGAAGCATAAATGGAGTAAGGCATGCTCTTAAGATCATTTGCTAGTACATCATTAAATGAATACAATGCACTCGACATAAGCATTCAACTTCTGTACATGTATGATACAGCTTACCCTCTGCTGTTATTAATAATCTGCAATAAATTTCTTGAGGCATGAAGTTGTGTTTTCTACTTTAAGATTGTTTTCTGGCCTGGCACAGTGGCTCACACCTGTAATGCCAGCACTTTGGGAGGCCAAGGCAGGTGGATCACAAGGTCAGGAGATGGAGACCATCCTGGATAACACGGTGAAACCCCGTCTCTACTAAAAAAATACAAAAAAAAAAAAAAAATTAGCTGGGCGTGGTGGCGGGTGCCTATAGTCCCAGCTACTCGGGAGGCTGAGGCAGGGGAATGGTGTGAACCCAGGAGGCGGAGCTTTCAATGAGCCGAGACCAAGCCACTGCACTCCAGCCTGAGCAACAAAGAGAGCGAGACTCCATCTCAAAAAAAAAAAAAAAAAAAAAAAGATTGTTTTCTTAGGATAAATTCTCAATACTAGGATTGCTGGGATAAAGAGCTCTGACCTAAAGATTAGAATATTCAGATAATAATCTGATATCACAATATCTTTGTGAGTGTTCTGTTTCCATTTTCAGGTATTATTTGTTTGTGACACAGAGCTATGCATTTCTTTGTGTCTATGTCTATAGGAGTTCTGTTTTTTCCCCGCTATATACTTGTGTATTGATATGGTTTGGCTCTGTGTCCCCACCCAAATCTCCTACTGAATTTTAGCTCCCATAATTCCCACGTGTTGTGGGAGGGACCAAGTGGAAGATAATTGAATCATGGCAGGGTGATTTCCCCCATGCTGTTCTCCAGGTAGTAAATAAGTCTCAGGAGAGCTGATGGTTTTATATGGTTTTATAAGGGGAAACCCCCTTTGCTTGGTTGTCTCATTCTCTCTTGCCTGCTGTCATGTAAGATGTGACTTTTGCGTTCTGCCATGATTGCAAGCCCTCCCCAGCCACATGGACCTGTGAGTCCATTAAACCTCTTTTTCTGTATAAATATCCAGTCTCAGGTATGCATTTATCAGCAGCATGTGAACAGACTAATACACCTATAAAGCATAATAATGTATTTCTTTCTATCTGGATAAGTAGTGAAGGTAGCTTTGGGAATTGTAGATCAGATAAGTCTTGAACCATCATGAACTGAAATGCTAATCCATACTGGGATCACATAAAATTAATAGGCTGAAAAAAGATCCACAGAGGGTTATATGACAGTAGATTAGCAACATGGGAACTGTGAGTAGAAGTTTATTTTTTTAATTTCACACACTTCCGTAACGTTTGAAATATCAATATTAGTCTCTATTCTTTTCTCGATTGTTGAAAGTAAGCAAGCTCAAATGTTGTATTTTCCATTTCAACTTAAGAGCTCATGTTCTCACATAATACCTTCAATGACGGCATATGTCTTTCTGGTCAGAGAAGCTTCATGTACAGTATATTTAAAATAAATACATATATGATCTGCCAAGCCCCAAGTGATTGATCAAATCCACCTTCCATTCCCTCTATCAAATATCTTCAGAAACATGCCCAAAACATCCATGTGTTCTATGCCACTCTTAGCCCACTATACTAGTCCATTCTCATACTACTATAAAGACATACCTGAGACTGGGTAATTTACAAAGAAAAGAGTTTTAATTGACTCACAGTTCTGCATGGCTGGAGAGGAGGCCTCAGGAAACTTACAATTATGGCAGAAAGTGAAGGAGAAGCAAGGCAAGTCTTACATGGTGGCAGGTGAGAGAGCACGAAGGGGAAAGTGCTACACTTTTAAACTGTTAGATCTCATAAGAACTCACTCACTATCAAGAGAACAGCAAGGGGGAAATCTCCTGCCATGATACAGCCACCTCCCACCAGGCCTCTCCTCTGACATATGGGGATTACAATTCAAGATGAGATTTGCCTTGGGACCGAGTGCCAAACCATATAACTCACTCATTCAAATATTAGCTCATTTATTGATCTGAGGAACATTCTGGTTTTCCCAGTGGCTGCTGGTTCTTCTTCTATAATCCCAATTATGGAATTTCTTTGCCCTGAAAATAGAACCATGGCAGCAATGGGAAATAATGTGTAAATAGTATTCACCCTAAAAACATGACTGAAGCTCCAAATTATCAAGCAAAGAGAACATAAATAGATGAGTAATGTGTTTGGAAGTATGTTTCCGTATAGAACTTTATCCTTCATTAACAATATTCAGCTTCCAGATCTCACAAGCCACCTTTATCACTTCCTGGATAAGTCTCTCTGACACCAACAGCTTTTAAAATGTCTGTTGACATCCTAAAGGTGTTATGTATCCAGGGAGGTAGGAGAATCTCTTCCTCCATTGATATTTTCTCTGGAATTGAAAAGACAGTGAATTTGGCCACTTCAATTCTTCAGCTCCTTCACTACCAAAGTGCGCCACACCTCACTCTGAATATCTAGAGTCATAAGTATTAAGTGGATATGACAGAGATAGAATCAGTAAACTTGAAGAAATAAATAGAACTTACTCAATTTGAACAAAAAGGAGAAAATAGAGAAAAAATGAACAGATACTCAGAGACCTATGGAGCAGTAACAAAAGATCTAACATTTATATGATCAGGGTTGTAGAAGGAAAGGAGAGAGAATATGGAGCTGAAAAAGTATTTAGAGAAATAAGAGCTAAAAACTTCTCAAACTGGATGAAAGCCATAAACATTCAAGAAGCTGAGCTAACCGCAATTATGATAAGCCCAAAGAAATTCAAGGCAAGGCACATGATGGTTAAACTTCTGAAAAATAAGTTCAAAGAACAAATCTTAAAAGCAATCAGAAAGAAATTATGCATTACATATAAGAGAACACCAACTCAAATAATAGCAGGTTTCGCATGTGAAACCATGGAGGTCAGAGGAAAGTGTCACAACACTTTTTTATGTTGAAGAAAAGAACTATCAACTGTGAATCTGATATCCAGTGAAACTACCTTCAGGAATAAGAGGGGGAAAAAAGACATTCTTAGATGAAAAAACTTTGAAAGAATCTGTTACCAACAGTCTCACCCTTAAAGGATGGTTAAAGAAAGCTCTCAAAACTTAATAAGGGAATACTAAGAACAACTTTATGTTCATAACTTTAACAACCAAGAAGAAACAGACCAATTTCTCCAACTGCCAAAACTTAACCAAGAATAGATACATAATCTGCAAGAGTAGATAACCATTAAAGTAATTGACATTGTAATTAAAATGTTCTAAAAAAAATCCCCAGGCCCTGATGGTGTCACTAGGGAAATTTATCAAAAATTTAAAGAAGAATTGACACCACTTTTACATAATCTCTTCCAGAAAATGAAAGAGGAGGGAATAGTCTCCAATGCATTTTGAGGCCAATATTATCTTGATATCAAAATCAGACAAGGTCAGTACAAAGGGAAAACTAATATCTCTCATGAAGATGCCAACGTCGTCAACAAAATATTAGTAAACCAAATCTAACAATCTATAAAAACAGTTATACACTATAATCAAGTGAAATGTATTCTAGATACACAGGATTGGTTCAGCATTCCAAAAGCAATCGATATAATTTACAATATCGGCAACAGTCTAAAGGAGAAAAGGTAGATGGTCATATCAACTGACATAGAAAAGACATTTGATAACATTTAATACCCATGTAAAAGAAAATCTCTCGGCAAGCTAGGAATTGAACAGAATGACCTCTACTTGATAAAAAGAATCCACAGAAAATTCTACAGATCACATCATACTCAACAGTAAAATATTAAATGCTTTTTTCCCTCAGATCAGGAACAAGGCAAGTATGTCCACTCTCATCATTCTTACTCAACACAGTGCTGGAAGTTCTAGCCATTGCAATAAAGCAAGAGAAAGAAATAAAGGAATACAGATTGGAGAAAGAAGAAATAAAAATGTCTCTATTTACAGATGACTTTTTTTTAATCTAGAAAGTCTCAAAGAATTTACAAAAAAAAATCTACAATTAACAAATGAGTTCAGCAAGATCACAAGATAAGGGATCAACACACAAAAATCAGTCTTATTTCTCAATAAAGTTGACAATGAACATGTGTAAACTGAAATAAAAAACTCCAAAGCAATTAAATATTCAGGTATAAACTTAAGACATGCTGAAGTTAGAAAATGGTGATGAAGGAAATCAAGTAAGACCTAAATAAGCAGGGAAACATACTTATGTCCATGGATTAGAAAACACTACATAGTAAAAACATCAATTGTCCCCAAATTGATCTGTTGGCTTAATGTAATTCTTATCAAATACAGGCATATGTTGGAGATATTACAGATTCAGGCCTAGACCACTGTGATAAAGTGAGTATCACAATGAATCAAGTCAGATAAATTTTTTAGCTTCCTAGTGCGTATAAAAGTTATGTTTACACTACAACCTATTAAGTGCTTAATAGCATTATATCTTAAAAACAATGTACTCACCTTAGTGAAAAAATACTTTCGGCTGGGAAGGGTAGCGAAGAGAGAGGATGAAGAGAGGATGGTTAATAGGTACAGAAATACAGTTAGATAGAAGAAATAAGATTCGGTGTTCAATAGTACAGGACAGTGACTATAGTTCGGAATAATGTATTGTACCATTCAAAATAGCTAGAAGAAAAGAACTGGAATGTTTTCAATATAAAGAAAAGATATATGTTTAAAGAGATGAATATTCCAAATATTATATTCATGTATCAAAATATCACATGTACCCCCAAAATGTGTACACATATTATGCATTAATTTTTAAGGATGCTTTATTGTTAAAAATGCTAATTAAATGAGCATAAACTGTTGGAAAAAATGTCGCTAAGAGACTTACTTGACACAAGGTTGTCACAAACCTTCAATCTGTAGAAAACACAATATCTGTAAAGCACAATAAATCAAAGTACAATAAAACAAGATATGCCTGTACTCATAAGGGGTGCATGTGTGTGTATACAGTAAGGCAAGTTTATCCTAAAATTTATATGGAAAGGCACAAGCCCTATAATAGCTAAAACAATCTTGAACAAAGAAGAATAAATTGTTTCATTTCATTTTATTATTCTACCAATATTAAGGTTTCCTGTATAGCTATAGTAATTTATTCTGACCAATGGGAAAGAACAGAAAACCCAGAAATAGACCTGCATGAATGTACCCAATTAATTTTTGACAAAGGTGTAAAAGCAATTAAATAAAGGATAGCCTTTTAAACAAATTATACTGAAGCAGTTGGATATTAGTAGACAAACGAAAATGATCATCAACCTGAACCTCATACCTTATCTAAAAATTAACTCAAAATTGTTCACAAACATAAATGTAAAACATAAAATTATAATGCTTTTGGGGGGAAAATAGAAAAACTTTTAAGGCATTTGGGGTTAGGGAAAGTGTTCTTAGGTAGAGTTCTTAGGTTTGACACCAAAAGCATGATCCAGAAAAGAAAATAATAAATTGGACCTCATCAAAATTAAAAACTTTTGCTCTGTGAAATATTCTATTGAGAGGAAAACAAGGTACTGACTGAAAGAATGTATTTGCAAATCACGTATCTGACAAAGGATTAGTATCTAGAATATACAAAGAGTTATCAAAAGAGTAAAAAACAACACTCAATTCAAAAATTGGCAAAAGACATGAACAGACATTTCACTGAAGAGGGTATACAAATGATATATAAGCACAATTAAAGATATGCAACTTTATTAGCCATTAGGGAAATGCAAACTAAAACCACAGTGATATATTACGCATACCTATCAGAATGAGTAAAAAAAATTCAAAAACTTGATACAAGACCAAATGCTTGTCTTTGATCTTTGGAAAGGATGCAAAGACACAGGATCATTCATACACTGCTGTTACAGATGTAAAATGACATAGTAACTCTGGAAAATAATTTGACAGTTATTTATATATCCAAACATAAAATTGCCATACATCCCAGCAATTGTGCTCTTAAATATTTATCTCAGAAAAATAGAAATTTATGTTTCTATAAAAACCTGTACATGAATATTCATAACAGCTTTCTTCATAACAGCAAAAAGCTGGAAAGAACCCAGATGGCCTTCAATGGGTGAATGGTTAAACAGTGGTACATCCATACCATGGAATAATACTCAGCTAAAAAGGAATGAACTGTTGATAGAGACAATAATTTGGATGAATTTCCTGAGAATCACGCTGAGTGAAATAACGCCAATCCTAGTGGTTACATACTGTATAATTCTATTCATGTATCATTCTAGAAATGACAAAATTATAGAAATAGTGGTAGTTGCCGGGGGGTTAAGGATGAAAAATGGGGTGCGTTAGGAAAGAAATAGATGTGATAGAAGAACATCAAGATCATTGTGGTGGCTCACACCAGTAATCCCAGGTCTTTGGGAGGCCGAGGCGGGCAGATCACCTGAGGTCAGGAGTTAGAAACCAGTCTGGCCAACATGGCGAAATCCCGTCTTTACTAAAAATACAAAAATTAGCCAGGCCTGGTGGCAGGCACCTATAATCCCAGCTACTCAGGAGGCTGAGGCTGGAAAATCACTTGAACCCAGCAGGCGGAGGTTGCAGTGAGCCCAGAATGGGGCACTGCACTCCAGGTTGGGTGACCAGTGAAACCCCACCCCGCCACCCCACAAAAAAGAAAGATCATTGTGGTACCTGGATTATTTCATTTAACAGAAAGACAAACATCACATGTTCTCACTTATTTGTAGGATCTAAAAATCAAAACAGTTTACTCGTGGGCATGGAGAGTAGAAGGATGGTTACCAGAGGCTGGGAAGGGAAGTGGGGGGTGAGGGGAGAGGGGGAAATGGTTAATGGTTACAAAAATGTTAAAAAGAATGAATAAGACATACATGATTGCACAACAGGGTGACTATAGTCAATAACTTAATTGTACATTTTAAAATAACTAAAAAGAAATCATTGTAGTGATTGAGCTATTCTGTATTTTGACTATGATGATAGACATGCAAACCTACACACGTGATAAAATTGTACAGAACTAAGTATACATATACACAAGTACAAGTAAAACTAAAAAAAATGAATAAGATAAATGGATTGTACCTTTGTCAATATCCCAATGGTGATTTATACTGTAGTTGGACAATATGCTATCATTGAGGAAACTGGGTAAAGAATGCATGGGATCTTCCTATATTATTTCTCACAACTGCATGTAAATATATAATTATCTGAAACTTTAAAAGTTTAAAAAGGGACCAGGCGCGGTGGCTCACGCCTGTAATCCCAGCACTTTGGGAGGCCGAGGTGGGTGGATCACGAGGTCAGGAGATTGAGAACATCCTGGCTAACATGGTGAAACCCCGTCTCTACTAAAAATACAAAAAATTAGCCGGGCATGGTGGCGGGCACCTGTAGTCCCAGCTACTCGGGAGGCTGAGGCAGGAGAATGGCGTGAACCTGGGAGGCAGAGCTTGCAGTGAGCCAAGATCACACCACTGTACTCCAGCCTGGGTGACAGTGTGAGACTCCATCTCAAAAAAAAAAAAAAAAAAAAAAAAAGTTCAAAAAGGAGGGGGAGATCATGCCCAAATAGTCTTTTGTCTCCAGTGACAAAGAGATATGGCCATATGGATGGCCCCAGAGAACTATGATTAAAGGACCCACAGCCATGGATGAGTCAACAGGACAAGTCAGTGCAATGCAGAAAGTATTTCTCAAACACTGTGTCTGTACATTCTTCTCTTAAATCACGTGTCCTTGCAGCCTTCTGCTCCAAGGTAGAAATGTATCACTCCAGGGTAAATATTAAACTTGAGAATTGTTTGGGGGAAACAAAGAAAATGTTCTATATTCTTTTATTTTGTAATTTTTGTAATTTTTAATGTTTGTGGGTTCACATCAGGTGTATATATTTATGGGGTACATGAGATGTTCTGATACAGGCATGCAATATGTAATAATCACATCATTAAGAATGGGACATCCATCCCCTCAAGTATCCTGTGTGTTACAATCCAATCACACTCTGTTATTTTTAAATGTACAATTATCATTGACTATAGTTCTATATTCCTTTAACATATCAAGAAACAAATATGGAGAAATCAAATATAGAGCTCTCTCTATATATATACTGAGAAGTTGAGAAGTATTGAGAAGACTCCTGTCCTGGATAGCTTGCATTAACCTCCCAATTTCAGTGGAGACTGTCCACTGTCTCCAGTTTGCTGGGTATTCCCCAGGGGACTAACACATATGGCGTCCATCAACCAGTGTATGAACCAGAGTGTCCATGGTTTCTGGTTGGGTTCAGCCAATGAGAGGACAGGAAGAGATCAGAAGATAGAAGAGTGAAGTTGAATATTTGTTTCCTCAGCTCCCTCATGGCCAGGGTGCCCCTAAGTTGGTTGTGTTCTTCCACTACTAGTCATAGCTCGAGTCAAACCTCCCTATTCGTACAGTTATCCTATCTACTTCTAGTGGCTGGTCCCTCCCCTTGACCCTTTAGACCCGGGGTGGTAACAGCTCCTCATTGGATACTTCAGAATACTGCACTATCTCTTGTTATTTCCTTAAATCCACACCATACTTTTGGAACTAGTCCCTTTGTTAAGTCTCTTCAAAGTTCTCTTATTCTGTTTGAAAGTACCATCTCCTTTCTCCAGGGATCTGGAGAAAAAAATTAAATATATTTTTCGTAATAACCCAGCTAGACCATAAAGCATGTTGCCCTAAGGTAGTACCATAACAATTTAGGGGAAATTTTTGAAAATCCTTTTGGTTACAATTTGTGAGGAAAAGGGTAATCAGAAAGATATTTCCCATTTCAATTCTCCTGCCTCCAATTCTGGGTGGGGGTGAGGGTCTGGGAGGTGGCCACATCAAAATAAACCTGATAGCACTACTATGCTCAGGCAGACATTCGATAAATGGTATTGGTCAGATTATCAACTATGCTAGTCCCTCATTTATATTTGCATTTTTATCTATTATCTCATTTAATCTTTACACTGAAGGTCTTATTAAAATCTCCATTTTACATATGATGGAATACAATCTCAGAAGCAAGAAAATGCACCTAAAATTCACAGCAAACAAATGGCAGAGACAAGACTTTAACCCCCGTCTCTCTAATTACCAAGCCTGGACACATTTATTGCCCTATAAATAGCAGATTCTCTAACTAAGATTAATGTATTAGTCAGCATGGGGTACTGTAAATACTACAGGCTGGATGGCTTAAGCAACAGAAATGTATTGCTCACATTGCTAGATGCTAGAAGTCCAGTATCAACATGGCAGCAATGTGGGTTGCATTCTGAGACCTATTTTCTTTTCTTTTCTTTTTTTAGATTTTAAAATTCAAATTTATTAAATTCAACAAAAGTGAGGAACCAACCCAAATGTCCAACAATGATAGACTGGATTAAGAAAATGTGGCACGTATACACCATGGAATACTATGCAGCCATAAAAAATGATGAGTTCTGAGACCTCTTTTCTTGACAAGTAGACAGCCACCCTCTCTCTCTGTGCTCCCATGATCTCTTCTGTTGTGCATGCTCTGCATGGGAGCTGGAAGGGGGATGACAGGGTGGAAAGCTCTCTCTTTTATCTCTTCTTAAAAGGACACTAATCCTATTGAATCAGGGCCCCATTCTTATGACCTCATTTAACTTTCGTTATTTCATTAAGTCCCTATCTCCAAATATAGTTACACTGAGTTAGGGCTTCAACATATGAATTTTGAAGAGATACAAACATGTCCATAAGATAACATAATTATGCAGACTTTCAACAACCAGGCATAACCAGGATGACTTGTTTTTAGAAGCCCAAAAGTCACATTTGCTATAAGAAATTTTCAACTCAAATTTAAGTCTTGAGCTGCTTTTAAAACATTGGCAAGAAAACCAGTATTTTCATCTTGGGGCTTCCCCCTATTCTTTTCCTTAATTTTTCAAACCCCAAATGCTCAAGCAGTACAAAGCAGACCACAACTGAATGAAGATTCTCTTGGCATGAGGTTGGTCTGTGATTCTGATTGCTTTTCATTGCCTCTAGGTGATACTGTTGAAAGCTGGATGAGCTTCCACAGTCTAGGGGTGTTAAAGTTCCACTCCATGGCAGTGAATCATAGGTCCAGAGAAAGGCCTGGAAACCATGCACATCACTGAAGAAAAGGAAATTGTCAGCTTTCTTCTGACTTTCTGCTAAAGTCACCAAAACTCAACCTCAGAACGTGTCTGAACTTTGTATTGCTCCTAGAAAGGAAAAAAGATGTGGTTAAAGAAAGGACGGAATTAAAACCAAATCAGCAAAAAAAAAAAAAAAAAAAAATCTGAAACACCTGTGTTTTAGAAAGCAAACCTCAGGGGCACAGTTTTTATCTCGAATAGACCTGTTCTAAAATCCAAAAATGAGAATGACCTGGTCACAGATTCATTAAGAAAAGAATATAAAAGAGCACCTTGTTCTTGAAGCAGAAGCATTGTAAATGTGTGGGTCAAATCTAACTTATAAGCCCAAAGACTCTTGGTCCTCTTCCCATTCAGTAACTGAAGCATGTCTTGATTAATAAATCAAATTCTCTCTCTCTCTCTCCTTCTCAAGCATGCACGCACACACACACACATTTCACTAGAAAGAATAAATAGAACTACAAGGTCTTCACTAAGAGATTAATTTATCCAAAAATGCCAGTCTCTCTTCCAACGCTCTATTACAAAATTACACATAGACAAAGCATACTTGAGAGTCCACAAGTCAGTGAAGATCAAGAGGCTGAGGTAAAATGTCTAAGTGACAATGCACCTTCCCGTGTTTGAGGTTCTGGGGGCTACCCAGAAGGCCTTGTCTTGTCTTTTACAAGCTCCCAGGTGAGTGGGGCTGACAGCCATGGCCACACAAATCCAAGCACATTGCAACTGATGACTTTAAAGAACAGAGTGGTCCCGGGGCCCAGAGGCAGAAGTTTCTACCTCCCTAGCAGCCACTGAGAAAGTCTCAAGGCCATATAGTTAAGATAGGCCTTCAAGGATGAATAATAGTTCCTCTTTCAGGGAAAATCTCTTTCATTTCATTGCTTTGGAAATTTTTTGAAATAAGCACATGCACATGCCCACATACACACACACACAAACTAAACGCTTACGAAAGTTTATGAAGCTCATAAAGGTAAAGGTCCTACTCTTTGCTAATTAGCCAACCTTTTATGGCACTGAAACCAGATAAAAATATCTCCCAGAAGTCTTTATAAAGAATACAAGGTATGCTATAATAAACACCACTTAATAGTATCATTAAAATGGACTTAACTATAACTTAATAGATCTGTTTCTTATCAGAACCTCAATATATTCTATCAAAGGACCATTCCATGGAAGCAGATCTAAAGGGAACCAGCACAATGTCCAAGTACTCAGCTCTCTATTTCCCTTTTTTTTTTTTTTTTAATTTGGAATACTTGGAAGAAGAGGTAGATTACAGGTCCTTGAAGCAAGCAATCCTCCTTGAATGTTATCTCTCTCCAGAGGCATTGTAAAAGAGACTGAGGGGTCATGATCCCTCGATTATAATCATTGGCAAATGCTTGTGATGAAATAATCCAGTGTTGTACTTTAAGAATGGCTCCAAATGCCACAGGACAGTCACACTCAGGATAATGTTAACTTCCTCTTGTGGAAATCAAGGAAGCAAGATGAGAAGTGACCTCCAATGGAGAGGGGGAATAGTCAGGAATCTGTCCTAACAGCCCCGATGAAGGTAATGAGTTCAATATGATAGGGAAAAGCAAATAGAAAAGAAACACACACACACAGAGACCACCCAGGTTCCCCTTCTTGGAATAAAACATCCTCTACTACTTTTGCTCAACTGATAGCAAGGAACTCATCAAGCCCCTGAACAGTCCAAAGTCCATCTATTTAATAAACATTCTGTAGGCACCTGCTAAGCACCATAAGAGATGCCAGTTAGGGTTAGAGGCATGTAAAGTCCAAGTTATGCTCTTGAAAAATGCAAGTACCTTATGATATCACAAACACCTCTAA
The DNA here is from genome assembly GCF_000001405.40 of Homo sapiens. Lineage (NCBI taxonomy): Eukaryota > Metazoa > Chordata > Mammalia > Primates > Hominidae > Homo > Homo sapiens. Next base: position 39,430,806 of record NC_000020.11, on the reverse strand, counting down.
GGCTTTCCTGTTTTTGCAGTTCCATGGTTAAGCATGGGCCAGAGCAAAGAAACCTGCACATCTGGATAGAATTCCTAACATTTTCCATGGAGGTCACAGACTCATCCCCAGATTCCTAGACATTTCCAAGGAGGTGCTATAGATCCTGTGCACTTTAAATAATACAATGTCATCACAAGGAAGACACATAAAGGATTATGAGGTCAAGGGAAAACATTTCCATCTGCTTCCCCAGTCCCAAACCTTATGCTGATAGAGCCTCTCTCAAATTTATCATCTGTGCTGGTCAATGTCCACCGATCCTATTAAACAATAGGGCTGGGTAGAGTGATGTGCCAGCCTCATTAATAAATCTAATGAGGCACCAAGATATTGCAGGGGTGCAGTAGGTTATAGGTGGTGCCTGTCCCTGGGGTATAACTTTATGTTCTTGCTCTGCACGGAAGTAATGTATTTATTCCAAGTTAATTTTTTTTCCTAAAGTAGGTTTGTTGTGCTCCTTGGGTGCTATCTTAAATTGACAAATTTCAGGCTGCTGGGGCTTGTCATCTGAAGGAGGAAAAATTTGAGAAGTCAGTAATCAATCCGTATTGTGTAAAGATTAACATGCCTGCCCCTCAGGTTAACCAGACCTAAATGCAAATTGGATTGAAATGGTCAGAAAGTGTTCCTAATCATGCATGCTATGATTATGAATCCTGTTTATTTATCACCCTTTGAATCACCAAACACCAGGCAACTGGAAGAGACAGAGGTCAACAAACCCAAGATGAACTATTATCCCAGCTAGGTGGCAGGAAACTGATTAACTGAAGCAAGACCAGATAGCTGCAAGTCCAGGAAAAAAAAAAAATACAAGTATTTTCTCCACCAGAGGGCCTCTGAGCTGTAGCCTTGTCCTGGTCCAGGGGATGGATCAGCTGTGCATGGACAAATCCAAGGGGGAATGTCAAGGGCATGGGTGAGTTATGTAAGTAGAACTCAGACTGGCCATTCTCAAATATCAGGCTACAAATTTATTTCAAGGACTTTGGGGAAAAGAGCTCCTGAAAGCAGATACGTGGAGATTGATGGATCTCCATGGGAATGGATGGGAACTGGGAAGCACAGCTTAGCTTAGTCACCTCGCTGGATCACTTGCAGAACTCTGTATCTCTCCAGCTGCCATGTTTGTCTGGGTGTGCAGGCATTTTAACATCAGTGTGGGTGTATGAAGTTAATATGAGTGTGGGAGTGATGACATGTGTGATGTAGGTATGCACACATGTATGTCTGAGTGGCTATATGGTTTGTATTAATTATTTATGAGCTAGCAACGCCTAACTTCAGAGGAGGCAGTGTTTTAAAACTTAACCTAAGTCAATGGTTTGTGCCTTCAGACATATTTCTCAAAGAAATAATGCTCCACCAAGCACCCAATTTTCTCAGACATTCATCACTTACCTGAGGGGCATAGTGTGGAATCACATTGTTGGTGGACCCAATTATCATACAATTAGAACAGAATTTAACTAATATGGCATCAAGGATTTAATGCCATGCTAAGTGGTTTAGACTACACTATGTGGGTCAGTGGTTCCCAGACTTTTATTTCAAGTACAGGATTTTTTTTTTTAATTGAGGGAATAGCATTTAGTGACCAACTTTTTATTTTGCCTAGTAAGGACTTTAACAGAAAAACAGCAGGAGCAGAGACAGGAAACAAGGTAGTCCCATTATTTCATTAAGGAGAGGACATTTTTAGCACCAAAAAAATTAGAAAAAAACGTGAATTTTAGGAAGTAAAAAAGAAGGTTGGGGATGGAAACCATTCTAATAACTTAATAGATTTACCTAAAAGAAAATCTTACCATAAAAATTAAATTCTACTTTTTCAGCCTTTCTCGCTGTAAACCTGTGAAAACTGCTTCATGACTAAGTGTTTTATTGCTCAGACACAGGTTTGGGAAACTAATGGCTTCAGGGAACCCAAAGCAGCTCCATAGGTCTGAATTGGTGTTTTGTGGTTGCGGCCAGATATAGTCAAAGTTCCAAGACTGAGAAAATAGGCAGAGAGCTTCCTTTCACAAACCTTTACCTTGTGGCCAATAGGGATCCACAGAACAGCCTTGATCTGAGCCATGAAAGGGCCACAGTAACATTTTAGAAAGAACGTCTGGGCTACAGGGTGGGAAAAAGATTGGAAGTAGTGCTCCTGTTATTAGGGTTGTGTAATAAATCACCTCAAAATTCAGTGGCATAAAACAGCCATTCATTGTGCTCTCAGATTCTGTAGGTCAGAGTCCAAGTGGGACAGCAAGGATGGCTTGATTCTGCTGCACCATCCCTGGGGTCTCAGGCTTGAAGGCTGGAGGCTGGGACCATTCAAACGCTCACTCACACAGGGGCAGTTGATGCTCGCTGTCGACTGGGGAGATCTCAGCCCCTCTCCTGTCGTCCCTCCAAACAGGCTCATTTAAGCTTCCCGGCAGCACTGTGGCTGGTTTCCAAGGACAAGTGTGTAGGCAGAGAAAAGGAGCTGTATCCTTTTGATGACCCAGCCGTGGAAGCCACAGGATATCATTTTTCTCCATTATCTGCTTGTTGGAGCTTTAATCAACCCTTGTCCAAATTAGGGAAAAAGCAACACAAACCCCACCTCTAAGTAGGAAGACTGCTGATTAGATTGTAAGGGACAGAGAGGGAGATGGGGAGTGCGTGGAGGGGGAGGGAGAAAGGGAGGGGGAGGGGGAGGGGGGGGAGAGAGAGAGAGAGAGAGAGAGAGAGAGAGAGAGAGAGAGAGAGAGCGCGCGCGCAAGCGGCCATCTTTGGAATAATGCAATCTACCACGACCCATATGGGAATAGAAATAGGAAAGTCATTCTCTCCCTCTCTTTTTTTTTTCTCTCTCTCTCTCCACTAGACAGAGAAAGATAGTTAATTTTATGCATTAACTTGACTGGGCCACAGGGTGCCCAGATAATTTGGTTAAACATTATTTCTGGGAATGTCTGTGAGGATATTTCTGGATGAGAATCAGTATTCTGAGTAAAGCAAGTTGCCCTCTCCAATGTGGGTGGGCCTCATCCAATCCATTAGAGGCCCAAATAGCACAAAAACAAACAGAGTAAGGGATAATTCACTCTCTCCACTCAACTGTTTATGAGCCAAATATCAGTCTTCTGCAGCACTTAGACTGGAACTCATACCATCAGCTCACCTGGTTCTAAGGCCTTTGGACGTGGACTGGAGCTTTCACCATCAGTTCTGCTGATTGCCAGGCCTTCAGACTCAGACTAGAACTACACATCAGCTAACCTGGGTTTTCACCTTGCAGATGGCAGACCATGAGATTTCTCAGCCTCCATAATTGCATAAGCCAATTCCTTATTGTCAATCTCATTACAGGCTGGGTGTGGTGGCTTATGACTGTAATTCCAACACTTTGGGAGGCCAAGGCAGGAGGATTGCTTAAGCCCACTGGGCAACATAATGAGATCTATCACTCTGCCACATAGTGAGACCTCATCTCTATGAAAAAATTTAAAAATTAGCCAGGCATGGTGGTGCACTACTCAGGAGGCTGAGACAGGAGGGTCGCTTGAGCCTGGAAGGTCAAGGCTGCAGTAGGCCAAGATCAGGCCACTGAACTCCAGCCTGAGTGACAGAGTGAGACCGTTTCAGAAAACAAAACAAACAAACAAACAAACAAACAAAAAATATATATATAGAACCTCTTGGTTCTATTTCTCTGGAGAGCACTGACTAATACAGATTTATATATGTGTATATACCTGTGTGTGTACATATATACACACAAATACACACATACACATGTGTATATAAGTATAAAATAAACACATACACCACGACATCATAACTTTGCATTCAATTTCGGTGGGTTCATTCAACTCCTGGAATTTTATGAACTCCAAGAAGGGCATATGTTCCCACATGTGTCTCATCATAACCTCATATGGCTGGTTTTCATCTTCAGTTGCTCCAGTTGCGCTATAGTAGAATAAGCACTGGATTAAGAGTCGAAACACCAATGTCAAATCCCAGATCATCTGTTTCCCCGTTACTGGTATCGCATGTGTCATGTAACCTCCCCAGGTTTTAGTTTGTCAGTACAATGGATATCACAGTATTTGTTTCATCGAATAGTGGTCTCTGCTTATTAACTTATTTTCTCTTCTGGCCTCATTTCTCCTTCATCCCTTCTTTCTGTACTCAGGAAGTATTTTGCAGCTGGTCCCACCCTATCCCCCTCTGCCCACTCCTGTTCTCTCTGCTGCAGACCTCATTGGCCACATTCTGCCCAGGAAATCATCTTTGGCTTTACTTCAAGGGAAGATGAAGCAGGATTTGAAGGCATGTCACCACCTCAAGCCTGTGGTTATAGACTGCATAAGATGAAGCTGAGTAAAAATAAATTGCAATTCCATGATATTGTTAGGGATTGGCTGTTAAAGGATTTACTACTCTTCTTTTTTGTAGTTCATAGAATTGGTTAGGATAAGCAGAGTCACAGATATTGACTTCACTGGAAATATATTGTGTTCTCAAACCTGCACATGTATCCCTGAACTTAAAAGTTAAATTAGGCTGGGCGCACGGCTCACGCCTATAATCCCAGCACTTTGGGAAGCCAAGGCAGGCGGATCACTTGAGGTCAGGAGTTCGAGACCAGCTTGGACAACATGGTGAAACCCTGTCTCTACTAATAATACAAAAATTATCCGGGTGTTGTGGCGCACACCTGTAATCACAGCTACTCGGGTGGCTGAGGCCCTACAATTGCTTGAACCCAGGATGCAGAAGTTGCAGTGTGCCAAGATCATGCCACTGTACTCTAGCCTGGGCAACAGAGTGAAACTGTGTCTCAAAAATAAAATAAAATAAATTAAAAGTTAAATTAAAAAGAAGAAAATGTATTATGTGCAACAAAGTAAATGCATTACAGGCTCTAGCTAAGCCTCATGCCACAAGCTGTGGAACCTTGGGCAAGTTACTCAACTTCACTCTGTCTCAGTTTTCTTAAAATGAAGACAACAATGGTACTTATCACTGTGGGTTATTCTGTGGAATAAGTGAGATAAGGTGTTAAAAGCCCTTGGCACAGTCTAGCACAATGGTTCTCCAACTCACAATCACCTGGAGGGCTTGTTAAAGCAAAAATTTCCGGGCCTGACTCCAGAATTTCTGATTTATTAAGTCTAGAATGGGCTCTAAGATTTTGCATTTCTAACAACTTTCCAAGTAATGCTAATGCTTTTGATGTAGGACCACACTTTAAGAACCACTGGTCTAGCAATGTTATCTGTTGTGATGATGATGATGATGATGATGATGATGATGACAGAGATGCTGCTGCTGATGATCCGTGGGGATCACCAGGATGATGATGGGTACAATGGTGATGATAGAGATGATTCCTATAATGGACTCCAACTTTACGTTAAGTAATAAAGGACAAATTTTTTAATAACTTGAAGTGAACATTTTTGTATATTCCATGCTATAGTTTGGCAACTCTTGATGAAATATCACAGTGTAGTTCAAATATGTTACACTTAACATTTTGGTACGAAGCTCTTAGCATATGAGTCATATGCAAATGAATCAGGCAGAATCCTTATGGACTTTTGGTGGACAAAGACCTATGAACTATTAGTAGAGAGAAGAGATTTTTGCTGAGTAAGGAACAGAACTGGGCAGAGAATAAGGATAACTTGGTCTTCTCTAGTTGTAAAGGATTATCTTTGCAAAATGATAGGATTGAACGAAATTATCTCCATGATCCAGCTCACCTCTGCCAAGTATAGATTCTCTAATTATTACAATCTAAAGCAAGCTAGGACCACAGCAGCCTGCCCCCACGAAGCTCCCTGCAGTTCAGAGCCATTGACCCAGGCCCCATGAGACCTCAGCAGAGGATGTTTTTCTTATCCCAAACCAGCCTCAGTCAGTAGCTGAAACTTCTATGAGGCCTGAAGGAGCTGGCTGCTTGTTGCATGAGAAAGGCGAAAATTCCTGCCCTTGGAGTCTGTGAAAGGAGGCCCTATTTCCCACTTCTCTGAGACTGAGATGGGGAACTTGAGTTCAATAGGCTGCTTTTAGGAAATTTCTTCACAAGCCTCACATCTAGATTACAGGAAAGAGAAAGGCCTGGGGTCATTCTGTCCCCTCCCCACCCACAGGCTGCTACTGCTGGTGTGACCATCATGACACCAGACCCCAGAGAAGCTCCGGCCTCCACGGCTTCATCCTCTTTAAAAATGAGAGGTTTCCATGTGCATTTGGGCTGCTGAATACACTGTTCTTTTGCCGTTCTTTCTTTTTGATTGTCTACCCCTTAGGGGTATCCAAGGGAGAGAATACACTTATGGGTTCTTAGTTTCTCTTTCTGGTTGGGCCAGTAAAGCCCTTTCTCATCCCCCATTTCCACTTATCACTAGAGACAGAAACTAAAAACCATGGCTTCAGGCTGTGAAAAGCCTAAAGCAAAACAAAGCAAAACAACAACTACAACAACAAAATAAGGCAAGTTGTACAAGCTTGCTGGAGTATTCCTGGGATAAACAACAAACCAGTCCTTCTTGCTCCTTCAAAGAGAGGCCATTTGTAATTCATTTGTGAGTATTTGGCATGAGACCTGACACACAGTAATATTCAGCAAATATTTGTTGAACGAACGAATGACCATCCACCTTAGGAAGTCATAGATGTTGAATTTCTCAGCTAATCTCATAAAAGCCATAATAACTAGCTTATGTTGAACCCTTACTATGTGCCTGGAACTATTCTAAACACTTTCAAGTAATATCTCATTTCACGCTCAAAATAGCCCTATGAGGTTGACTATTGTTGTCACCATCCCATTATACATATGGGAAAACTAAGAGTTGAGATTACATGGCTAATAAGAGGCATAACAGAGATCTGATCCCAGGCAATCTGGCTCTCTTGGGAAGCACTTTTAATAGTTCTCTGGATTCTATCCAAATACGCACAGGCCATCAAATGACTAGTAGATGCCCTTCTAGACACCCTCTGGTCCTCCCTTTCATGACTTCTTTTCTGCTCCCTGGATCTGCCTTCAGTCACTTCATCCACTCACACAAAGAGACACAGCACAAGGAGGGCAGCAGCACGGAGGCCTGATTGTAAAGAAGAGGTCTCAGGAGCAATGGGAGGGAGAATGGACAGTGATTGCCCTTTCGTCTCTCTCTCTCTCTCTGTTCATACTGCAGAGAGCCATCATCGTGTGACCTCATAGAGGTTCTGCTTCACAGCAAGATTCTTCCTTCACTTATCCTCCCTGCAAAGAATCCTCTAGGGAAAAGGAATGAAGTTGGGCGCAGTGGCTCACAGCTGTAATCCCAGCACTTTGGGAGGCCAAAGCAAGAAAATCACTTGAGGCCAAAAGTTTGAGACCAGCCTGGGCAACATGGTGAGACTCTGCTTCTATCAAAAATACTTTTTAAAAATTAGCTGTGTATGGCAATGCACACCTGTGGTCCAGCTACTCAGGAGGCTGAGGCGGGAGGATTGCTTGAACCCAGAAGGTGGAGGCTGCAGTGAGCCATGATTGCACCACTGTACTCCAGCATGAATTACAGTGTGAGACCCTGTCTGAAAAAAGAAAGAAAGAGAAAGAAAGAAAGAAAGAAAGAAAGAAAGAAAGAAAGAAAGAAAGAAAGAAAGAAAGAAAATGAATCAGCTCAATTTCCACATTATTTAATAGCTCTCTGGATACTCCCATCAAGTCTCAGTAGACTCATTAGTCAAACGAGAAGAATGAACTGACCCATTCTGAGAGTCTTGAAAGACGCATAACCCCAGACACATACACAAGATCATGGATATACAGACTCATGTTTTTAATAGAAACAATCCTTTCCTTTATTGAATAATACTTACTTGGTAATATCTCTTTATTATAGGCCAGTTGATTACTTAAAATAATGAAACAAGTTTAGTTCCCATCATACCCATTAATAATAATATTAAGTAAAACCAGTAGCCAAAAAATATATTCTCAGATCCAGCAGGCCTTTAAAAAAAAATGTGGTCTACAAATGACAAGGAAAATTTTAGTTCTCTCTTTAACAAATAAATATCAGCCCTTCTTGGTGCTACTTTGATCAGCCGTTACACGTGGCTCCCTTTTAAGAGCCAGTTACAGGGTGGTGAGCCATCCTCATCCCACAGCAAAGCCCTGTAGGAACCTATCTGTGATGGCTGGCTGTCCACAGCATCAAGTCATAGCTACTAACATCCCATGGGGGTTTTCACTAACAATTATCCATATAAAAAGTTAACCACGGAGTCACATGCAACAAGAGCTCCTCTTTCTCTTAACCTATGTATGCCAACCAGCACAGGGCCATTTCCTCCCACCAACCATTTCTCTTTTTGATTCAGAAAAACGAGAGGCTTTGAAAGCTACCCCTCCAATTACCATCTGAAGTGTTAACTCCTAAGTCCAACTTCTTGTTCCCACACCCAAGGACAGCCTTCCCCTGTGTCTTGCTGGGGTAGAATTCCTTGAGAAGCTACATACTTCGAAGCATTCTCAATAGATCTATAGTATGCCAGTTAATCACCATACGCTCGTCAGCCTTCCTCAAAGTTTGAAAATCCTAGGCAATGATTGCAACCAGTGTCTGGACAAGGGACAAATTAATTTTTATATTGTTCCCTTCCTAGGGCATAGACAACAATGAAATCAGCTACCCCAAAGTCCAGCTACCTATTATTTAGTTAACAATATCTAATTCTAAAGATTTTCCAATCCCATTTAAAGGAATTCACTGCCTAGTTAGTCATCAAATAAAACAGTTTTTCTCCATCAAAAAAGTGTTTGCGCAACATGGATGAACCTGGAGGACATTAGGCCAAGTGAAATAAGCCAGACACAGAAAGACAAACGCTGCATCATCTCACTTATATGTGGTTCCTAAAAAAGTCAAACTCGTAGAAGCAGAGGGTAGAATAGTAGTTGGCCAGGGACTGGGGTTGAAGGAAATGGAGAGATATTGGTCAGAGGTTACAAAGTTTCAGTTACACACAATGACTAAGCTCTAGGTATCTGATGTACAGCGTGATGACTGTAGTTAATTTATACTGCATTGTATACTTGAAATTTGCTAAGAGAGAAGATCTCACTATGCATGCACACACACATACACACGGTAGCTATGTGAGGTGATTGATATGTTAATTAACTTGACTACAGTAATTATTTCATATATATGTATATCAAAACATCACATGAAACACTGTAAATAGATACAATTCTTATTTGTCAATGATACCTCAATAGAGTCAGAAAATAACAGTGTCTGCTGAATTTCACTATTTCTCTATTGGGCCAATTGATGGTTTTCAACCCTGGCTGTGCATTACAATCACCTGAGAAGCTTTAAAAAAAAAAAAAATCTGATACCCAGTCCCACCCACAGAGCTCTTATTCTAGAATGGGACTCCCACATTTGTACTTTCCAAGATTCCCAGCTGATTCTACTGTGCAGCCAGGACTGAGAACCACTGTCTAAATGATCGTAACTGTGTTGTTAGGATTATTAACAGCACATGATTACTAAACCTGCGAAGACCAGCGAAGACCAGACCTCTCATATCTATAAATGGGCCATTGTTTACTTGCTCCCCAATCATTACTGTCTGCAAAAAATCTTGAGGCACTGAGAAATTAAACATTTGTACATCAGATGATACTGCGTGCCCTCCTAGAATAGCAGTCCTCACATTCTCTGTTCATCACATAGCAGCATCCTTGGATAAATCTTCAATTCTGATCCTCCTAAAATCAGACTAGACCAGACAGCACTGGGCATTTCTGTAACAAATACAAAAAAAGAAGCTATCTTCATCATTCAGTTAGTAGAAAATGCCACTTCCATCCATTTTCTTCCTGGACAGGAGGAGGACATAGTGACAACTAATCCCTGGGCTCCAATACTCACCAATATGTTCCCCTTAACCAACTCAATAAGTCTCTCTTAAACCAACTCTTCCGAGATGATTATCTCAGGCACATTTGTTGAGCCCCAACTATGTGCCAGGTTCTATTGGAAGGACTCAAACATAATCTATCCTATTTTATTAAAGAGGAGCTATCCTCTGTTTACCCAAAACCATAGGCTGACATACCAACAAAACTTGATGCTGCCCTCCTTCATATCAATATATTCTATCTGACACAAGAGGCCTTCAGAAATGGTTGTTCCACTATTGATCATTGTTACACTCTGTCATCTTACAGAGAAATCCATCAGGAATAACGGAAAGCTGTTTGCAGCTTTTATTGACCATTCATTGGCCTTTGACTGTGAACAGGAACCAGCTATGGGTTAAGCCTCATAAACTTCATATAGACTTTCAGTAATTGAAGCTCATACAAAATTTGCATTTTAATACCATGGTAGATTGGCAGGTCTACACTAGACCAGAGGACAGTTCTGAGCTATGTGAAACAAGGTTTGCACCTTATCCTTTTCACAAGTGACTGGAAGTTGCTTTTAGGTAACATGTGCCCCTGTCATAATAAATGGAAATACAGTGTCATTATATACTTATTAAGTGGTTCATCATCATCAATGGCTATTTGGTACCAACACACGTGTGGTACTCAGTATTTATTACTGACCTGCTATGTCCCAGCACTGAACTAGGTTCTGGGAATGCAATTCTATACAAGATAGGCACAGTGCCTCCCTCAATGTACTACCTGGCTTGAAAGGAAGAGAAATACTCAGCCAATAAAAATAGAGTATGAGAAGTTCTTATGACAAGGCCAACACAGGTGCTTTGGAAGAGCATCTCAATGAATGCCACTACCAGCCACTCATTGCTCCAGTCATAAATCTGGGAGACTTCTTGCCCTCTTCCCTTTCTCCTAGCATTATCTTTTTTTACCACCAAATCCTATTGGTTCTACATCCTAAATATAAAAACTGAATGTATCCTTTCTAGATCCTTCTACTTCAGCTCAAATAGTATTCCATAAATATCAATTCTGAATCAGTTTTGACTTCTGATATGAGCTAGAGAGTTTGTACATTAATTTGCTGATTTATTTATTCCCTCATTCAACACATTATTGAGCACTTACTGTGTACCAGGCATAGGAGATGCAATAGCAAAAAAAACGCATGCATGGTCTCTGGTCACAAATGATCATACAAAATCCCCAGTGGACCATGATTACACAAAAGTAATCAATTGAACATTGAATTGGAAAGCTAATGTAAGTGAATTTGCTGCATGGACTGCCCTGGGCCTACAATCTTGGGCCTCCCAGCCTATGCTGCACACTCCTTGAATTTGTCAGAATGTAGCGTCATTTATTCTTCTGACTGACTTCAGCCTTCGAGGACCCAAAGAATTAATGTTAAAGTCTGAAGGGCAAAAGTCTGGTTGACCTGGTTCATGAGGTGGCCACTGTGGCTTTCCTGGTGACAAATTTGACAAGTGATAGAAATAGGTTGTTGCCCAAATCCAGGACTCATACCAATCACTGAGAAGAAATAGGATATGTCACTAGATAAAGGATGGCAAACACCTGGTTTGTTTACAACCACTCCTGTGCCCATGTAAGACATAACTAATAGATCACAATCTCTTCCTGCTGACCCTACATATTACCTTGACCCTAGGCATGACCCGGTCTCTTTCTTAACACATTACTCCAGCAGCAGTCTCTGCCAATCAATCAGGCTTGGGTCTTGAGAAAAAAAAAAATATCATCTCTATATTAGAACCAGTGAGAAGATAGGAAATTTTACAAAACAGGACCAAAGGACTAAGGCAGAGCCATACAAAAACAGGAGGGATGCCAGGATGAAAACTGTAGCTTTTTGGTCTTTGCTATTTGCAATCTCAAGAGTGTCTCCTCCTCCAAACTCAACAGGATAATCAAAAGAGGATTCTGATCAGCTCATCCCGGACCAACCTCTGTGTCCAAGAACATGGGTTTTTTACTGGCCAGTCTGGGCCAGAAGAGCGGGGTCTTTGGCTAAAACCTCCACCAGAATCCCCATGGACCAGGAGAGTGGCATTGCTCAATAGAAAGAAAGATGGGGTAGACCACGTAATTAGCACCCACTCTGGAGCCACAAAATGAGAGTGAAATTCCGAAGAGGAAGAGCTCTCACCTGATTGGGGGCCTCTTCAGAAAAGGCTTCATGGAGGCTGTGGCATTTGAGATTAGGGTGGACAGAAAGGTGATAAAAGGGAATGTACAAGATTGACACAGACTAACTCATAAACCTGGAGAGACTGGACCATCATTGATCCTGCATATTCATGGTCTCCATCCTGGCTGGCTGTCATCTACTCATTTGCCTAGGATGGAGCCAGCTTGGTTGGCTGCAGTAATCACATGTGAGCAATTTTACTAAAAATCATACTCAGTTAATTTGTATGATTAGGGAATTAGCAATTGCCTTCTCTGATCTCAAAAATTATTCAGAACACAATTCTCAGAATACAATTGGAATAAAAGTAACATGCTTTCAGGTACAAATTAAAGTTCAGCTGAATATGGCATATGATATGTTGTAGAGATTAGGTCATTCCCTCCAGGGTTTCACTACCTTCTTTGCTTAACGTACCCTCTGCTCTTCAATCTCTCTCTTCTCTCTCTCTCTCCCCCATACACCCCCCCTCCACACACACACAATTTTTGCCCTTTGAACTGGAACAGTGATCCGTTCCCTGTGATTAAATTAGTGTAAGTAATAAGATATCATAGATTTGATTGATTTCCCCAGCAATGATTATTAACCAGCCCAATTCAGAGCCAAGCAGGACCATTATTCTAAACACTGTTTTCTGAGCAGGCATGCAGTGGAAGGAAATTCTCAGCTACAGAGATATTCCATAAGGAATTATCAGATAGGATGATATATAGTTAGGATTCTCAGACATGGCAACGAACCCCATGGAATCCTCAAATACCATGATACACAGATGTTAGAGTCCACCAGGAGTTGAACCAATGCTGTAAATACACTTCACTGATGTTCTCAGGGAATTCTTAGACACACCACAAAATGTAAGAGCTGAGAACTGTATTATATCCCAATCATCGTACTTAATCCAACAAATATATACTTAGTAACTTATCCGAACCACATTTTCCAGAGGCTCAGGAGACAAGAAGAAACATGGTTTTTAAGGAGCTCACAGTCAACATGCGTTTCTTGAGGAAGCTTGAAAATGCCCTCCACTCAGAATGGATGGATACTCGGGATGTGGATGCTGGATCAGAGGGTTCTCCTTTGCAGATAGGTTGCCATCTTTCAACAAAGAGTCAAAGACGGCTCACACATCAGATTGGACATTCACAGAAATGTGGGGTCATCTCTTTGAGGACATACAAGGTGCACAGAGCAGTAATCATGGCATTAATCTGATCTCCAGAGAAAAATAAATCTGTAAAATAAATGGAAGTTTTTCTTCCCATTCTCCAAACTCCTGTGGCTTCTTCTGTCCAACAAGCAGAAGGGAAGGGAAATGGAACATGTTTCAGTGTGGTTCCCTTCAAGGCTGTTCACATCCAACAGCCAGAGGAAATCCTGATACTTCAATGTAAATGCAGATACTGAAAAGTATTTGAGTTCTGTACATATTTTTACTTTCTGTGCTAAGGTGTAAGAGTGAATGAGATGATGCATGTATGAAAAGTTCTTACTCCAGTGCCTAGAATACAGTGATGTTCAAAAACTGATATAATAGTTGGCCTTGACCATTTTTCTTAAAGAAAAAAATACAGGAAATGGCCTATAATCTCACAAGGCAATAAATCAATCACAGTTTTCTTTTTTCCTCTTTTGTTTTTTTTGACTCTGGAGGACAACCAGGACCAATAAGAGAATGTTCAGGGAACAGTTTTCCATATAATATAAGGGAACACATTCTAGCCATCAGAGCTGTGCCACATTACAATGGATTGCCTTGGGAGGTAATGAGTTCCCTGTCATTAGAAATACGCAAGTGAATGCTTGAGGACAAACTCTAGTTTCAGGGATTTCTGTCCCATTCTTAGGAGTGATTTGAATCGTGATTGCTGGGGTCTCTCTTAATTTCATTGCCTATGATTCAATGGCATAGTATGTAAATGCTTTGCTTTGGCCACCAATGAAATAATGTTGAAAGAAGAAAAGAAATAAAAGTGAGACTATGGGAGAACTAGAGTTCTATCTGCTTTACCTCTTAGCCACAGCACCCAGGCGAGAGGTGATAAAGATAAGGGATTCAGTGACTCTTAATTAAACTAAAAATGAAGAGAGTACAAAAGGAATTAATGGATATTGATGTTCCAGGTTTTTCAGCATACAAAGATCTTAAGTGTCCTGAAAACAGAATCTGCAAACGGTTTCTTGGTACCTATTTGTTTCTAGTTCATGGGAACCATATATACTCCCATCCCCACCTAGAGCTTTGGAATTGTAAATAAGATGCCTTACAGTTTTTAAAGTGTGTGTGTGTATGTGTGTGTGTGTGTGTGTCAGAGAGAGAGACAGAGAGAGAGACAGAGAGAGAAAATTGTCCCATATTTGTCTGAATCCCATTGATTTTTTGCCTAATTGTTATTCACTATGCTAATTTCACCCACAAATCTCACATTCTATTGATCAAAAAGTAATAAACTCTCCAACAAACAAAACAAGCATTATTGCAATGTTGGGAAAACATCAGTTGATATCAATACCGTATTTACAATTATCTTTAACCCAAATTTTACCCATGATGCAGTGCATAGGCAACTTCTGAGACCTATCGGCTAAAATAGCCTGCAAAAGGCTTCTTTGTGTTTTCTGGATTGAGCAAAGGGGAGCAAGTGCAACCAAGAAACACCTGAAGATGTCCAATAAGGGGTTAATGGCTAGAATAAATGTCATTGTCCCCAAAGAGAAATCCATCATTTGTCCTGTTTTTTCTCTTCCTATTTTTTTCTTCTGTTTAAGGCACTATGTTAATCATTGTGAAAAGTACAAAGGTGAGCAAGACATCATTGACAATATTAACCATGCTCCAAAATTAATGTTTCCTTGAGAAGAAAAAAATAATAATTATTTTAGCAGGTGATCCTGGCATTATTGATTCAGCTTACCTATGGCAGGTCACCATCATAGGTGTCATGGTTTTGTCTGTTCAGTATCCTTTCTTCTGGAATGGCAATACCATCCTCCTTATTTTGGAGAGTTCCTACTCCTCACACTCCCACTATCGCATTGCAGGGAGAGCATAATCAAAGTCCTCCACCCATCAGACCACATTTCATTGGTCCTAGGATGGACACTTAGCCAAAGCTACTCAATCAGAACCTGTCCTTGAGATCTTTCAAATGAAAATCGGAGAAAAAAATGAAGATAAAAGTTGTAAGGCATAAGAACTATCAAGAAATGTAATTCCAACTAAATGTAGGAAGCCAGTCTTAAAAGAATAAAGCTGACAGGCTGAAAGAAGCAGAGAAGAGAGATGAAGAAATGAATTCCTGGTGGCATTCAAGACTCTCATTCCTACTGGCTCTGAATCTAGTTGAATATTTACTTATATAGGCTGGTAAATTCTATGACAGTTTAAGCTGGGCTTCTGTCACCATAAAAAGAGTGCCCTCTAATACAAGCCTAACACAAGATGAACTCAAGGCAGATGACCCAAAAGGACCCAGCACAGAAGGCTGTTTCTAAGACATAAGCATCAGAGGTTAGAAAGAAAAGACAAGAAGTGAGATTTGTTGATACACACACACACACACACACACACACACACACACCTGACTCTGTTTAAATTGTAACTTCATTTCTCAGATAAGGATTGGGCCTGAAAGAGGTGATTAGAAGCTTGGGAGCTGGACCAAGCCTGGCGCTGGTACAGATTTTTCCACCTAATCACCCATCTCTGGCCTAAAACTTAAAGACAAACCCCCATGAAGCAGTTGAAGAAAAAGTCACCAACATCACAATTGAATTCAATTGAAATTCAAATTCATGATGTAGTGAAAGTGGATGTTCCTTTATTTTCATGTTTTGCTTTGAACTAAACATCTATGGAGGCTTTTCCCAAGATACCCCTGTGTCTCAGAAGGAGGATTTATGAGGGTCTTCAGGTTCAGGTTTACTTACACAGTGGCCAAATCAAGTACCCTGGACCTGAGTCAATGTACCTTCTGCAGAAAACTATACTGGCCCTGCTAGGGTAGAGCAAGAATGGGCTTTGGAGACCCAAGATCTGAGTTGAAATTGCAGTTCTCAGCCTTTATGGATGTGCAACCTTGAACAAGTTATGAAACCTTTGTAGGTCTCAGTTTCATGGAGAAAATAACACCATGACCATGGATGAGACATTCCCTAATCTCCAAGATAATGGTGCTGACCGAGGCTCTGTACACTAAAAAGTCAAAACCATACGCAAAATAAATATCTGTCCCTTGAGGATGAACTGTAGTCTCTGGAGGATGTAAGAAGTGAAATACGATCACTGATTCTGGATACTGTGGTATGTGATATGACCAGTGGGTCTCCTGGTCATGGGGACACTTGCACAAAGAAGCCTGTTAGGTTCCATGATAGATAATGATATAATATGTCCTCAGTGTTCATCTTGGTTGCCGGTAGGTTGGGCATTCAGAGGTGGCAGTAGCCAGATCAGCCTTAATAACTGAAAGTCCACACCGTTAAGCCAATGTGTAGCCTCCATCTGTGCCACCATGATCCCTTATTCACATCTATGCCAGTTCTGGGATGGCCAGTGATGAAGGCTGGCTGATGCGAACTGGTCAAGTTGTTTTGTCTACTTGGCTGCTTAGAGCTTATCTCATGGTGAATGCATTAACAAATGTGAACACTGGCATGTGATGCAAAAATATTCAACTTTGTGCCCACTGCCTTGTATTCACCTACATGCCTCTATCCCAGACGTCTTCATCTCTGATTTTTTTTTATACTTTAAGTTCTAGGGTACATGTGCACAACGTGCAGGTTTGTTACATATATATATACATGTGCCATGGTGGTGTGCTGCACCCATTAACTCGTCATTTACATTAGGTATATCTCCTAATGCTATCCCTCCCATCTCCCCCCACCCCACAACAGGCCCCGGTGTGTGATGTTCCCCTTCTTGTATCCAAGTGTTCTCATTGTTCAATTCCCACCTATGAGTCAGCTCCCTGACCATTTCCGGAAATCTGTATATACTCTCAGGCCACTTCTCTTCCCATTCAAAGCCCCACCCTTTGAGATGCTTTTTCCC
Source organism: Homo sapiens (assembly GCF_000001405.40). Classification (NCBI taxonomy): domain Eukaryota; kingdom Metazoa; phylum Chordata; class Mammalia; order Primates; family Hominidae; genus Homo; species Homo sapiens. The sequence goes on along the minus strand of NC_000020.11, from coordinate 39,413,538 downwards.
CTCCACATTTTTGTAGACACTGTTCCTCCCACAACTTTTAAATGCCTGATTTATTACACCAGCAAGAATGATCCACCATACAGAGTATGTTCCCAGGTTACCACCAGTGAGACTGTGAGTGACTAGAGCATCGTCTTGTTCCAGGGACTACACCCCTTCCCCACCCCTTTTTCCATTTGACATGTGCACCTCCTTGACAGCTTGGTGATGAGTAACCCAGGCTCAAAACTTCTTACCTCTTACTGTTTCACACAGTATTGGTACCAATTGCGGCATTTCAGGTCCTCTTAAGAACGAACACAGACAGACATGCAAAACAGTTGTTAGGGGCAATGTTTATGAAAGACAAAAGAGAGAGGGAGGAAGAGTAGGTTGAAAAGTCTTAGATTTGAAAACTGTATCCACTACTTATTAGCTATATGGTCCTAACTGACCAAGTTTCTTACTTTTACTAAACCTCTATCTCCTCACCTATAAAATGTGGATAATAACAATGACCACTTCATAGAACTGTTGGGAGAATTAAAAATCATATAAAATACACTTTACACAGCATATAGCATTTAGTAGGTTCTCAATAAACAGACATTGAATAGGTGTATAAATATTTTCTCCTTTTGTTTTTATTAGGTGTAATAAAACAATTAAGCATATAGAATATCCCTTTCAAACTACATACCACACTGGAGATGTTGATACTAACCCTTCTTTTAATGGAGGGGTAGTGATTAAGGAGAAAGTCCTGGAGGAGAGGGAACTTAAATGTTTAATGCCAACACTTAAATGAAAAATAGAAATTAGCCAGGTAAAGAAGCAAAGCAGTGCATCCCAGCATCAAGATAAGAAACAACATGGTGTACAGGATGACCTATAGATAGTTTATTGTTGCAGGAGAATAAATAGTGAACTGGGGAGATAAGGGAAAACCATCAGTGGTTCACAGGAGGCTTTGGAGACATGATTAGGCTGTTTGGATTGAAATTTATGAAAAACCATTGAATAATTTCAGGAAGACAAGTGGAAGAAGTAGTTTTGCTTTTTAACTGTATCTGTCTGATAACTGTATAGAGGATAGGTTTGAAGAAGGGTGAACTGGAGAAAGGGAATCCCATTAAAAGGCTTGTTTTTTAAACCAATCTAGGTGACAGATGATGAAGTTGTAACCTATCTTAGAGGCAATTCAATCTTTACTTACATACACCCAGTGACAAAGGACTGACAACACCCAACCCAGCCTAGTGGGACCTCTGCTGTTAGAAAAGTCTACCTTAGATTGCATAGAAGCCTATCTCTCTATATCTTAGACACATTGATTTTATCCCTGGAGGAAATTTAGAATCAATCTGATCTGTGTTTCACATAAAAATTTTTCAAAAAAAATTTAAAAGTGATTATCATGTTTCCAAAGAGTAATTTATTTTCTGGAAAAGTCCTCTGTTTCTTTCAATCAAGTCTCACATAACCTAATTTTTGAAGTTCTCCACCATATCTAAATATAGACGGTGTCCCAAATCACCAGAATAAAATTGAACTCTTACCCTCACCCTCCAGCCTCTGCACCTCATTAATGCATCCTAAGGTTGAGAGTACTTTCTCTGACACTCGTACTTGCTCTGGCAATCACATAGGTAACTGATACTATCACCCCAAACCTTGAAATATTAAAATATCTTCCCAGCTGCTGAACTCAAGATGCTTCTCCTTCACACATTACTTATGAATGTAAACTTTATATTTTCCCTATATGTGTAATATCAAATTTGTGTATATTTAATTTTACCATTATGGAGTGAAGATGGCCATTATTAGCTTGTCATCAAGGCCAAAAATCTTAAAGGAAATAATTAACAAATTTATTCATAAAAAATAAAACTTCATATGGACAAAAACACTGTAATCAAAGATACATACAGTGTTAAATAAAACTTGGAGTAATCTTTACACAATATATGACATAAAAATGGTTAATATTCTCAATCAATGCAGATCATACAAATTAATCTTAAAATGAAAATTCCAATGGAAAACATGGGAAAGAACATGAACAAGCAATTCTCAAAAGGTATATACAATGGGATATAATATACAGAGGAAAAAGATGCTCAACCTCAGATATTCAAAGAAATACATATTTAAACATCAATATGTCTTTTTGTGCCCATCAAATTGTCAAAGAGTATAAAGATCAATGTTATCCCCTGTTGTTGGGGACATGGAGAACTATGCACTCGTAAACTATTGTGAGAATTTGGCCTTGAACAATCTTTCTGGAGAAAAATTTATCAATATGCATCAAAACTAAATGTTCATATACCTAACTTCAGCCATTAACCTTCTAGGACTTCATTCTAAGGCAATGACCAGGCAATTGTGTAAAGATATTACATACATGAATCAGGGTTGTTAAGCAAAGTTGATAAAAACCTGGGGTCCTACCTATAGAACTGGTAAATGAATTACTACATTTAAAAAATATTATGCAGCTTTTAAAAACAAATGCAATAGAGCTGTATTTAAAGACAAATAGACACAGAGCTATATTAATGTTGTACCATGAATAATATAGTCCGGTTACAAAACACTTCATGTATGTGAGCATGTATATGCAGGCACAGAAAAAATCTGGAAGGCTGAATCCCAAAATATTAATAGGGCATTTTGCTCTTAGATGTGATTATTTTTACATACCCGTATTACTTGAATTTTTACAATTATGCCCTTTTAAATAATTTCAACTTTTTATTTTAGATCCAGAGGTTACATATGCAGGTTTGCTACATGGGTATATTGCATGGTGCTGAGGTTTGAGGTACAAATGATCCTGTCACCCGGGTAGTGAGCATAGTACCCAATAGATCATTTGAAGCCCTTGTCCCCCGCTCTCTCTACCTGCTCCGTAGTCCCCAGTGTCTCTTGTTTTCATCTTTATGTCCATGTGTACCCAGTGCTAATTTCCCACTTACAAGTGAGAACATGCAGTATTTGGTTTTCTGATCTTGCATTAATTAGTTTAGGATAATGGCCTCTAGCTGCATTTATGTTGCTGCAAAGGACATGATTTCATTCTTTTTATGGCTACATAGTATTCCATGGTGTATATGTGCAACTTTTTTTTTGTTTGTTTGTTTGTTTGTTTTTTGAGAACAGAAAAGGTTTTTATTTTAGGTTGACCAACAAGGAGATAGTCCAATACACCATTTATGGTCACCTAGATAGACTGCGTGTCTTTGCTATTATGGGTAATACTATGATGAACGTACGAGTGCATGTGTCTTTTTGGCAAAATGTTTTATTTCTCTTTGGGAATATACCCAGTAATGGGATTGCTGAGTCAAATGGTACTTCCATTTTAAGTTCTCTGAGAAATCTCCAAATTGCTTTCCACAGTGGTTAAACTCATTTACTCTCCCACCAACAATGTGTAAGTGCTACCATTTCTCCACAGCCTCCCCAGCATCTGTTGTTGTTGTTGCTATTGTTGTTTTGACTTTTAATAGTAGCCATTCTAACTGGTGTGAGATGGTATTTCATTGTGGTTTTGATTTGCATTTCTCTGATGATTAATGATGTGGAGCATTTTTTTCATGTTTGTTGGCTGCTTGTATACCTTCTTTTGAGAAGTGTCTGTTCATATCTTTTGCTCAGTTTTTAATGGGGTTATTTGCTTTTCGTTTATTGAATTGTTTGTTTCTCTTATACATTCTGGATATTAGACCTTTTCCAGCTGCATCGTTTGTGAATCTTTTCTCCTATTCTGTAGCATATCTGTTTACCCTGTTGATAGTTTCTTTTACTGTATAGAAGCTCTTTGGTTTAGTTTCCACTTGTCAAGTCTGTTTTTTGTTGCAATTGCTTTTGAGGACTTACTCATAAATTCTTTCCCAAGGTTGATGTCCAGAATACCATTTCCTAGGTTTTCTTCTAGGATTCTTACTGTTTGAGGTCTTACATTAAAATATTTAATTGTGAGTTAATTTTTGTATATGGTGAAAGTTGGGCATCCAGTTTCATCCTACATATGGCTAGGCAGGTTATCACACACCATTAATTGAATAGGGAGCCCTTTCCCATTGCTTTTTTTTTTTTTCAGCCTTGTCAAGGATCAGATAGCTATAGGTGTGCAGCTTTATTTTTGCGTTTCCTATTCTGTTCCATTGTCCTGTGCTTTATAACCAGAAAAAAATCAACAAAGATATTTTCATCAAATAGAGGACAAAATTAAGAAGGATAATTTTTTAGGGTAATGAAGTAAAAGAAAACCCAAGAATGCAATGACAAAGAAGAGGTCACTGAGAAAGAGGATGGAAGGAATGCAGGGAGAGTCCTTGACAATAATTTTTCAAAAAAAAAAAAAAAAAGAAAACAAACAAAAAAAACCTTCAACATTCTTACAAGAGACTTTCACCTACTGAAGGTGAACCTCCAAGTCCCTGTCCTTGTCAAGTTCCCCAAAATATGCCAGGTATGGTGGCTCACACCTATAATCCCAGTACTTTGGGAGGCCAAGGCAGTTGGATCACCTGAGGTCAGGAGTTCAAGACTAGCCTGGCCAGCATGGCGAAACTCCATCTCTAATAAAAATACAAAAATTAGCCAGGCATGGTAGCCCATGCCTGTAGTCCCAGCTACTTGGCAGGCTGAGGTGGGAGAATCGCTTGAATCCGGGAAGCAGAGGTTGCAGTGAGCCAAAATCGCGCCACTGCACTCCAGCTTGGGTGACAGAGCGAGACTCCATCTGAAAAAAAAAAGTTTCTCCAAATAAATCTGATACAGAAAAATACCAGGTGGTCATATGCCTTTAAACAAACACTGCTAGAACTGGCACACACATATCGCACACACCAATATCTTCATCTGTTCCTCAGAAACAAGAACCGATCTCTTATTGACACAGCAATTTCATGTGCACATATCATTTCCTTTAAGGCAGCGAGTTTGCCAAAGCAGTCCAAACTCAGGACAGAGATGTATGAAAACTTTGAAAGCATTAAATGCAGGGAAAAAAAAATATGTTTAATGCATAATCTTTTGAATATATATAGAGATAGAGAGAGATACAGATACACTCTAATCACATCTCTTCCTTTATGTCTCTTCAGGCACAGTTCTTCTGTGGCAGAGGCATTTTTCAAAAACACAGACCCTCTTGTTTAATTAATAATCCCCCCAGACATAAATCACCCCAGTGGCACCCTCTCTAAGCAGCCCGCGGCAATGACCTAGTTTAAGAGCCTTTCATGTATAGCTTGGGTTTACTATGTATTTTGAAAATTACTGCTCAATAGCTATTTTGGGAGATCAGCATTTTCCTTAGTAAGTTTTAGCAATGAGAACCCATTTTTCCTACATAGGAAGGGAGAATCACAGAATAATAGAACTGTATTAAGAGATAATGAAGAAGGACTACTCATTTCCCTAGGAAACGAATAATAATAATATGGCAAACATCCATAGAACACTTTACACACACTGCCTTATTTAATTCTCAAAATAACCCTCTATTTTAGATAATATTATTGCCCCTATTTAACTGATGGGGAAACTGAGTCAAAGAGCAAGAGATTAAAAGACTTCCTCAAAACCACACAAGTAACAAAGGCAGAATTCAGCTCTAGAGCCTTTGCTTACACTAAGCCTTGCACACCTCTCTAATGGGCATAAAACTGGCATCCATTTTCTGTCACTGACGTGCCAGACATCCAATAAACATTATCACATTTAGTTCTCATAATGACACTAGGTTGGTATTATCACTACTTCCAGAGAAGTAAACTGAAGCTCAGAGAAGAACGTGGTAGAAATGGAAACCTAAATATGTCTTCTTAATTATTCTTATTTTTTATTGTGTAAGAACACTTAACATGAGATCTGCTTAAAATTTTAAGTGTACAATGCAATGTTAATTATAAACATAGTGTTGTACAGGAAAATCTCTAGAAGTATCTTTCAAAACTATAACTTAAAGCTGATTGAATAGCAACTCCCCGATTTCCCCCTCCCTCCAGGTTTTGGCAACCACTATTTACTCTCTGTGTGTCTGACTATTTTGTATACCTCATGTAAGTGGAATCACGTAATACTTGTCATTCTGTGACTAGCTTATTCACTTAGATTAATGTCCTCCAGGTTTATCCATGTTCATCCTACATACAGTAGGACTCCCTTCACTTTTAAGGTGGAATAATATTTCATCACGTGTTTATTTGTTCATCTTGGACGAACCGTGGCTGAAAGATATGGCAGGTCCAGAATGAGGAAGAAAAGTTGGAAAGCGTGTGGGTCCAGAACATGAATAACTAACTCTAGATGGTCTCTATGGAAGAATGGGGATAAGTGAGGGATAAAACAGTTCTTGAGAGGAAGAAGGTGTTAACACCACATTTGCATTCTTATTGATCCTGATCTTGGCGCCAATCCAGGTTATAAATGGGGGAGTCTGTGGTTTCAGCCATGCTATTAATTAAATAAAACTTTTATCTTCTTTTGGAATAACACAGTTTCCTGGATGATGCACTAAATTTCAGTGAGTGTCCTCTTTGGAGAAGAAAGAACCTCAGGCTTATAGAGGAAACTTACAGCTCATCCTATACATCCCCACTGCACACAGCTACCTCATCTCAGCCCAGGAATTACAGGCACCTACAGAATGGAATATTCTGGGAAAAAAAAAAAACACACTCAAACCTAACCTCCTCTTTTCTGCAGAACTGACTTGAAATAATGGCTTCAGTTTGAGAAGACTAAAATAAATGTGATGAATGTTGTTTGAAAAATCTAGGATGTCATTAGGCATTGCATTTGTTTGCCCTAAATCCATTTTCTATTAGGTTATTATTAATTAGCATTTGTTTAACATCAACTAGGTACTCAAAGCCAGACTAAATATGTAAGAGAATATCACTGCCCAGGATGGGTCATAAGTAATATTTCTCTACACAGCTCACCACCCACATTTAACCCCCTAGAGGAATTACACATATTCCAAAACAATGTTCTGACAATAAATTTTCAGGAAAACAAATATAAAGAATCACTTTCCACCAAGGGACTTCACATGCACTCACCATATGGGACAGGCCAAGTCTTCTGCCAAATAAAATTTAAAAGAAAAAAAAGTGAGATTTTACATAAAGTGACTAAAAATCTATTGGACTCAAAGTCTCTTGAAAGTTATAAATAATTACAAATGGGAATTTAGCATAGAAATTATTTTCAATTATTTTATTTCAATAGCACTGAATAGAGATGTAGATAAATCTAATAACATTAATATAAATAAGAAGGATATATCTAGATAAAGAAATAGAAGTATCTCTTTGAACTGCATCATTTTTTTAAAATACCTGAATAAATTTTTGACAAACTTGAAAGGTGTGTCTATGGTGTACTGCCTTAGTCTGAATTCTCCCAAAAGCAGCCCCTGAGGATTTAGGTGAGAAATGATTATTCTGGATCCAGAGCAGCAGAGTGAAAAAGTGTGGAAGTGAAGAAAGCCAGCAAAAGGGTGGTATAATATACCTGCTATCCCTGTGAGCACTTGGAGCTGGATCCCACTGGGGCCCACTAAAAAATGCTGAACATACCCTAGAGTTCTCCCATGGAGAGATGGGAAGCTGGATATTTTTCCAGAAACTCTTGTCCATCACTGGTTATAGAGCTCCTGGAGAGTGAACTTCAGTAACCTCACACTGCTGAAGGGGCCAGGTAAAGTCCTTGGGCAGGGAGACACAGACAGGTGCATAGGAAGCCTTGTGTGTGTTTTAGTAGACCTTAGTGTGTGTACATGTGTATGTGTGTATATTGTATTTGTGTGTATACATATAGTCTATATATGTATATATGTGTAATATATTAGTCTATAGAAATATATACATATACTATACATATACATATACATATATATATACTATACATATACATATATATATACAGAGAATATATATAACTTTTGCTCTTATTTTTTCCTTGAGACTAATATTTACAGCTCTTTTTTGTAGGCATTTCTGTTTTGCTTTGTTTGATTTTGTTCCTGCAATTCCTTTAAGCATTGTTCTTAATGGTTTTATACTTGAAGTTACTTTTATTTTTTCTTAATTTACTTTTAATCTCCTTTTGAGTAAGACAGTAGCTATCTGAGAAAAAGAACCCATTTTCGTTTTTTATTTCCATCATCTCACCCAATAATCCCTATCTAGAGGGGTGCACTGGCCTCTCGAGCAGGTTTTCAGGGGTGGGGTACATTCAAAAAAGCACATGGAAGTTTCAAATGAAATTTTATATTTGGGAATTGAAAAATGTTGATTCTTTTCAGAGGTAAAGCTCAACTAAATCTTCTTGAAGATGGTTCATAAGGAAAAAAAATACAGTGACTTCTACTTTTAGATGTGATCCACAAGATAGGAGTGCATATTAGAATTCCTGGGTAAGGCAAGGCATAATATTTGTCCCATGAAACAAAGCAGGTATAGCTTCAGTGACCTTCCTCCCATTGGATTCTTTTTTTCATTGAAAAATCCTGTAACAACACTGCCTTAGTGGATCAGCAAAAAGGAGCCAGCAACCCATTAGACCACTTATTGCCTGCCAGACCCCAGTGACCTAAAATGAACATACTATTCAACTCTATCGATTACTCAACCAATAACAAAGGAAGTATCATACCTGTGTCACAAGGATAATTTTTTTTTTTGAGACAGGGTCTCACTCTGTCACTCAGGCTGGAGTGCAGTGGTGTGATCTCAGCTCACTGCAACCTCCACCTCCCAGGGTTCAAGCGATTCTTCTACCTCAGCCTCCAGAGTAACTGGGATTACAGGTGTGTGCCACCACACCTGGCTAATTTTCTTATTTTTAGTGGAGATGGGGTTTCATCATGTTGGCCAGCCTGGTCTTGAACTCCTGGCCTCAAGTGATCCACCCACCTCGCCCTCCCAAATTGCTGGGATTACAGGTGTGAGCCACTGCAGCATCCGGCCAGATCATGTTTCTTAAATGAGACTAATCCTGACTCTCAGACTGGAAACTGGGACATTTAATAACACCATGCAACTCTGTGTTAGCCTTCCTCCACCAGTTGCAGCATCCAGCTGTCCCATTTACCCCTGTGCATGGCCAACTCAGAGATGGGGAAAGAGTCCTAGGTAATAACATCTGTCCTTCGTGATACTTTCCCTGGTCTAATTTCCACACATAGGTTTCATCCATCCTTCTCTTGTGCTTCATTAGGAGTCAGGGTATATCTATGTCATCATGTATCATATCATTTCAAAAGTATTTGTTCATATCTGTCTCTCCAATTAGTCCATGACACCCACTCTGTCAAGGACTAGTCACCCACTAGTCAGTCACCCACTCATGCACCCACCAAGGAACGATCCTAGGTGCTAGGGATGTAGCCGAGAGCAGGTCAGACAAGTTGCTGCCCTCCAGGGGCTAACTTCCAGCTAAGCAGATTCTGCGGATTCTGCGAGAGGGACACATTTCATCTCTAATTCTCACTCCATACTCTAGTAAGTCCCACCAAAGGAGGCGGTGGAGGTAGAAAAAAGGAGAAGGAAAGAGATATGAAATATCAGAAAAATATCTTAATAATTACTCTGTGCATACATCATGAATTTCCTTGACCTGATGACTTTTCCTGTAGCTGGGCTCCTGTCCTCTTTCACCTGTATCTGGGATCATCACTAACCATAGACTGGATGGAGAGATTTTTTCAATCACTATCAGAGTGCATAATCCCAATTAACCATATGCATTTTGGGGGAAGCATTGTCTGAAGGAAGCACAATAACGCTAATTTGTTGAAAGTGCCTCTCTACCAGGCCACAGACCTCACAACCCTCTCAACCCAGGTTCTAGGGAAGCCCTACAGCCCTAACCCATTTTCTATGTACTATCCTAAGGATAGCCTGGAAAATATTTACTCAAATTGTGATCCATGGGGTTTATTTATTTATTTATTTATTTGCAGAGCCTGGTTGAAAACTGCTGGACCAGACCCATCTCCTCTAGGTCTAAGCAGCTAATGTTTTATATATTGGGGTTTTGCTTTAGATTCACTTTGAGAAAAGAGTTCTATTGCTTTAAAAATAATATTTATAGACTAATCCCTCACATAAGTGACAGATGAAAATGGGTAAATATAAATCCATCTTTTTAGCAACCCAAAATGTTTATGCTGCAAACAACATAGCAGCATGTTACATAAGGCAAATAGTTCTAAATGTACAAAGGATTTGATGAAAACACAATTATAAGGAAAAATTTAACATACCACTTTCTGCAGAAGACCAAAAATCAGCCTGTATAAAGAAATTCTGATAATATAATCAACAAGTTTGTCTCAAGTAGACTTTTTTTTAAAGTAACAACACTTCCAATCTCAGTGGCATTATAGGGAAAATTATAGGTTAATGGAGCTACTAAAGACACACTTGCCCTTGCTTTTCTGTCACAAAAAGTTAAATTATTTAAAAAAGAAACATTATCTTGAGTGGTTGCAGGTCACTTTGGATCAGTGAGGTTTCCCTTTGGAGTTTAGATGTGAAATATTAATAACTTTGGGAGATACAAGATTTATCAACTTGGGAGTGTTATCTGCCTTGCCAGCTCCACCCTTCACTTCTGCCTCTGGGAGAATTTTTTCTTTAACAACTTAGATTCTAGAATTTTGAGAATCAGAGTCAGAGGACTCAAGAGGCAGAAAAAGAGGAAAGTCCAGAGCTTAATGAGGAAGAGTTCAGGATTTGAATTAAAAAAATCTGTTCTGCCATAGGGGTGAAAGAATTGGGAAAGCACAGAAAAGTTTTTGAGAGCTATTGCTCTAGCTTATAAATTCAATCCTTTTTAATGTTTCTTAAGAAGCAAGAGTCCAAATAAGAATTACTTTTAAATACTTTGAACTGCTCTTTTTGTACCATTTTTCACTATGATACATACAAAGACTGACCCACATGGCTTTTTGTACAATCCGCCTAGATCAGTGTTGCTCAGATAGTGGTTCTCCTAATCAGTGGCAAAAGCATCACCTAAAACTTTGTTAGAAATGCAAAATCTTGGGCCCAGCTCAGACCTACTAAAGGAGAATCTCTGCAGGTAAAGTCCAGGATTCTGTATTTTAACAAATATTCCAGGTTATTCTTTCATACATTAAAGTCAGAGAAGCACTGATCTAGGTAATTTGGTGTCCTGACTAGAGGCTGCAAGAGTTTCATCCCTGAGTCCAGAAGGAAGGTCTGCTTCAGAAAGACTTGAATTCTATCCCCCAAGCACATCTACAGGCCCCAGGTGTGCTCACCTGCAACACAAAGCTCTTCCTAGCACCTAGAAGAACCTATAGATCCTCTTCCCATAAAGCTTTCCACTTAGATACTGAAGTGATCCTCTATAGATATCCCCCAAGAGTGGGGGAAGGCAATTGGCAGAAGGATGCAAAACTAAGTTCTGCCAAAGATAGAGCTTATCAGCTTCAGTATTTTAAAATCTTACTGTATCTGTAGGGAATGGAGTATATGTCTCTGCACTTCAAATGCTGGGTGGCTTTATGGTCTAGCAGAAATAGCAATGTGCTTCTTTTCAAAGGACCAAGGTACAACTGGCCATCATACCACTGTACTGGGTTGAAGGACGTCCCCCCCAAAAATATGTGTCCTGTATACAAACCCTGGTACCAGTGAATGCGACCTTATTTGGAAATAGAGTCTCTGCAAATGTAACTAAGTTATAAATCTGGAGATGAGGTCATTTTAAAAGAGAGAGAAGAGAGAGATTTGAGACACAGAGAGCCAAGGAAGAAGGTCATGTGGAGATGGAAGCAGGGATTCCAGTCAGTGCTTCCAGGGTCAGACATACATAAATATCACCATAAATATGGCACTTTACCTTTAAATAGATCTGAGGATTACTTGCGAAATAAGTTTCCTGGGCATTGGGTTGCAGCTTGTCAGTTGTTATGAAGGAGAGTCGTCTGAAATCAGATGGAAGGTTGTAACACTAAGAGTGGATGAATGTGACTCTTAACACATGTGGCTGAGGAGATGGTAGATGTTTGAGATGTGTACATGTGCATATTAGTCCATTTTCGCATTGCTATAAAGAACTACCTGAGACTGGGTAATTTATAAACAAAATAAGTTTAATTGGCTCACAGTTCCATAGGCTCTCCAGGAAGCATGGCTGGGGAGGCCTCAGGAAACTTACAATCATGGTAGAAGGAGAAGGAGAAGTAGGTACCTCTTTACATGGTGGAGGAGAGAGAGCACAAAGGGCATTGTTAACCAGATCTCGTGAGAACTCACTCACTATTATGAGAACAGCAAGGAGGAAGTCTGCCTCCATGATCCACACCTCTCACCCGACCCCTCCCCTCCAACACTGAGGATTACAATTCTACATGAGATTTGGGTGGGGACACGGAGCCAAACCATATCAACGTGTGTTTTCTGTATTCCTACACAGCTCAGTTCATTGGGTTATAATTTTCTGTATTCACCTAGTGTTTCTTGTGGATGAAATTCAATATAAGCAGACACAGAATTCACATTATGCTCAGATTATTCTCTAATATATCAATTACTTTGGAACAAATCCCATTTTCAAAATAAACACGAGAGAAGGACTGATTGTGTTTGCATTATCTATTCAAAGCTCACAACCACTCAATAAGCCAGCACCATTTTTATCCTCATAGATAAATTCTGTCACAGTTTACTTACACCCACCTAAGATTCCCAGGATCACAGACATTAAGTGGCAAAATTTGGATCCCACACAGTCTTTGAACCTTAGATATAGTTCCTAGCATGGTATTGTCACTGGTTCAGGCAAAGACAATAATTGTTTAATTAATCTCCTTTATCTCCAGTTCCCATTCTATGAGCAATAATTCCAATGTGTTTCTTGTGGAACCTTTACAACAACCCTTAGTATTTTTCCAATTTTCTGATACAGGGAATCCAAGCTGAGGGAGGATAAGTTTAAGGTCATACTTATATTAGGTGGTTGTACTACTTTTCTAGGCCTGCCACAAAAAACTACTATAAAATTGGTGGCTTAAAACAACAAAAATTTATTTCCTCACTAGTCTGGAAGTCAGAAGTTTGAAATCAAGGGGTCTGCAGAACCATGCTCCTTCTAACGGCTTTTGGGAGAAAACTCATCACCTCTTCCAGCTTCTGGTGGCTCCAGGCATTTTTTGGCTTGTAGTTGTCCATCCAATGATCAGTGGATTGTCAATCCAGTAATTTATCAATTACTGTCAATCCAATAATCAGTGGATTGACAGCTACAATCCACTGAGTGTTTGAGTGTGACCAGCATTACACTACAATATTTATTAGATGAGAAAGTGTTGGGCACATAGTAAACACTCAATAAATGTCCATTTCCTTTTTTTTGTAATCAGCTATATAAACATCCTAATCAAGTTCAACCACTTTGTTATACACTTGTGATATAACAATAAAGAGGCAACAGGAAGTATTATCTTTCAGAGCAAACTCCAAACTCAAAGCTAGCATTGAGACTCTGTTGTTATTTCCCTTAACTGAGCATAAGTTCTTGCCAAAGATGTTGTTTAGTAAGTTATTAAACAAGCAAATGAATCCTCTTCTTCTTTTATGACCTTTAACCAATTTTTTGAACTTCAGAAAATTAACCATTTATACTAGAATATAGTGCCAAAATTTCTCCCATTTTCCTAAGGAGTTTTTACTTCCCTTGTCCCCAGTTAGGTGAAAGAGTGGAAATTAGGGGAGGGAGATATTTTCATAGATAGATCAGGGCCTACTTAGGATTTTTATTGATTTGCTGTAAGTTTAGGACCTCATTGCATTCTAGTTTCTGTAGAACTCACCTGGGTACTGCCACCTATGGGCAGACACATTCTCCACTGCCTGACTCTCTAGGCTGAGCAGAGCACATCCCACCAAAAACCCAGCAGATGTGTGTTTCCACATAGGGTGTGCTTCTTCTTAAACAAACCACACACATTCTTTTCTGCACTGATGGATTACACTGGAACTCACATTCTGGGTTTTTGAGGGTTCTGGGAGAGGCCAAGGAAACTTGTAGGGAGACCAGAGTCCTCTCATCTCTTGTCTACCTGATTTCTCCAGAGAAGATGGGTTTAGGACATCCTGAGCTTAGAGAAGCACAGAGTCCGAAGTTAGCTGAGAAAGCCAAGAGATAATTACACTTCCCAAATCATCTTTGGCCAGATCTAGAGCCATGGCTCCTTTGGTCATGGTACTTACAGCCTAGTAGGGACCTAGCTCTGTCTACATTTCTGATATGGGGGGGCAGCCCCAATGGGGGTCAAGTTAAAGAGAGAACTGAGCATCCTAGAACGAAAAGAGCTTGCAGTGATAGATGCACGGGCTCTCAAGACTCCTAAAAACATCCTCTTCTTTGGGGCAAAATCAAAGAAATATATCCCAACCTCTCAAGAATGATTAGCTCACTGTGGAACCCCTGGGTTATCCTCCAAATGGAAAACATACCAGTCCAGTCCATTAATAGAAAAACATTCCTGTGTTGATAGTCATGGAACATCCATGATGCTCTCAGTTGGTACAAATTATTACTTTTTCAAAGACACCTTTCAGATACATGCCTAGGAATTCCCTCCGTCACATAGCTCCTTCTGTCTTCTCTACTACCCCTAGAGGGACCCTGGAGCTTCTAAAAGATCACCCTGAGACTCCTGTGTCTGAGCTCAGGGTCTGAGTCCAGCCTGGCCTTGCACCATCCTTAGCAGCATCCCTGACACTCTTGCCAATGTGCTATCTCAAATGGCCAAGTAGTGTTACTTTGCTGTGTTCATTTCCTAATAAAGTCTTCATCTCGTTACTCTCCCTTTCTACCAGAAGTGAAAGATGAAAGGAAAGAAAGGTCACAATCACTGTGCAGAAACTCAGGAAACCTGAAATGGAACCTCTTAGCCTCTGAAAGAAGCAGCAGAGGAAAAAGATAATTTTCATAAGAACCAGATATGATCTATTTCTTGCTGCTTCCAGGGCCCCCATGAACTGGAACTTTCACTCAAATCTTCCTAGATGGTTCCCCTTCCTAGTTACAGCCTCTGCACAACCTCAGCTTAGAAGGAGTATATTAGTCAGCGTTCTTCAGAAAAACAGAATTAATAGGATAAATAGAAATATATAGGAAGATATTTCTCACGAGGGATTAGGGATTGGCTCACATGATTATGGAAGCTGAGAAGTCCCACTATCTGCTATCTATAAGCTGAAGGCCCAAGGAATCCAGCGATAGAGTTTCATTCCAAATGTGATGGCCTGAGAACCAGGGAAGCCAATAATCTAAGTCCAAGTCCAAAGCCCCAAGAACTAGAAACACTAATGTCTAGTAATAAGAAAAGATGACGTCCCAGTTCAAGCAGAGAACTATTTTGCCTTTCCTCTGCCTTCTTGTCCTATTCAGGCCCTCAATGGATTGAATGGGGCGCACCAGCATGATGCGAGTAAACTTTGTTACTCAGTCTACTAATTCAAATGCCGATCTCTTCTAGAAACACCCTTATAGAAACACACAGAAATAATGTCTTACTGGCTATCTAGCCATCACTTTACCCAGTCAAATTGACATACAAAATTAATCATAAAGTAGGAAGCCAAAAGCAGAGTATTTAGTCCAATAAAATGATGATGAGGAGGAGGAAGATAATTGATGATGATGATGATGATGATGATGATGATGATAAAATAATATACAATAGCGCCAGGTATTGTTTTAGATTTTTTACTTGAACAGTATTGACCTATTTAGTCCCCCTACAACCTTATAAGATAGGCACCAGTATTATCCTAATTTTTTAGATGAGGAAACTAAGGCACAAAATGGTAAGAAATTTTCCTAAAATCACACACCCCAGTAATTGACAGACCAGGAATATGAACCCAGGCAGTCTGTCTCAAGTTCTTGCACTCATATCACTAATGAAAAGAGTTATGAAGTTTGACACAACTGCATTAGAATCTCATCTTCACCATCTGTCTGAATGTTGAACAGATGGTGGCTGATTTACCCTTTTTGAGCCTCTATTTTATCACCTGTAAAATGGAAAAGCTTGCAAAAAGCATTAGAGCATTACATTACAGCATCATTGTGAGGGAAAAATTAGATCAAGTCTGTAAAGCCGATAGCCATCACAGCTGCTAATACACAACAAATATTCACCTCCGCATCTAATTCTGTTTTTCAACACTACAACAGGTACCGGTTCATTTCTCTTACAACTGCATCACCCATCTCCAGTTATACTCTTCCATATTGAAATACAGAAAATAAATGGAAAAGTGAGACATTTTCTTCTTTACTTTCACAAGTTGAGCTGTCATTTTCTACCCTGCTGCCTTTCAAACTAGCCTACCAAAGGGACACTATCCACCTCGGGCTCCCAAGGAAACCCAGCCTCCTGGCCAGGCCCCATTCCTGGGGAGCTGAAATGGTCATTCATTCAACAGAATATGCATCATTCATACTGTGCACCAAGCACTTTAGTTGGTACCAGGATTTAAGAGTGAGCAATACAGACGCAGCCCTGGACTACACAAAGCTTATATTCTACTGAAGAAAACAAGCAAAATAAATGAGGGGGCATGGTAATAAATAAATACAATTATATCCAGTACCTTGAAAAAACCGTACAGGATGCTGAGATATCCTTTGGCTTGAGTGATCAGAGAAGGCCACCCTGGGGAGGACACATGACAGTTGAGAAGGAGATAGCCAGGAGGACAGATGAAGAGCATTCTGGTCCACAGTCAACAGAGACGTTCCCTGGAAGATGCTCCTCCAATTCCTCAATCCTCCAGTGATATACAAGATCAGAGTCTCTTCTGTTTTGTTGCTCAGCTTGAATCTGGTTTTCCCACTGACTCTGACTTGCACAACTATTCTAGCCTCCTCTTGGTATCAGTTTCTCCATCCGTACAATAAGGCTAATATTAGTTTTAACTTAAGAGAGCTGTTGCTGGAAGGATTAAGTGAGATAATGTTATATACTACTGGTTAACAAGAATGTTATTGCTTCTCACAGTGTAGAGAAGGGTAAGTGGACTCAAACTCCCCAAGTCATCTTCTGTACAAGCCCCTGTTTAGCACTCCCTCTATATCAGGCAACTGACCCCAAACACGGTCACCTAAGCAACCCCAAAAACAGTGGCCCCTGATACTGGCTTAAAATGCAGCTCTGGCTTCGTGTAGATTCTGACAGAATTGCCCTGTATATCCATGTGTCAACATGAAAGGGGTAAATATTTTTCCCATGTCTGTCTCCCAAAACAGAGGTTTGAATTTGATCAGGGAGCCAGAACAGCCCCCTGAACTCTCAGGATAAAGGCCTCATTCAAACCTCAGCTCATTCTCAGGTGAAGGCTTAGAGGAGAGATGCACAGCTGGGGAGGCCTCTCGCTAATTCCTGGCCAAGTGAAAGGGATCACTGGAACTCAACTGAAGTAGCTGTGGTGATCTTTTGTTTGAGCTCAAATAGCATTAAAGATTCCATTTCCTATTTACTTTGGTTCTTGGGTTTGGAAAATATCCCACCTCAGCCTCCACCTTCCTTTCCCCTCTGGCAGCAGCTGGCCTCTGTTTCTACCACACAAAGCTTGCTTTTCACCACTTACAGCCCGACCTTATGAAAGTGAGCTGGACACTAGCCCCCTCCCTCATCTGGCCATCTCAGAGGAAGCTGCCTTTGACCTTCCACTGTTATTATTGCTATTATCATCATTACTGTTATCATCGTCATCATCCTGTGCCCACCCTGCCGCCAGCTCCTCACTTCCCAGTGCCCCATTGTCCATGATGTCCAGAGTCCCTCCTCTGCTCAAGTCACTTCCGCTGCTGTAACCCCAAAGCCCTTCAGCTGTCCCCCAAGCTGCGTCCTACATCGCTTCTGCTGCTGCCTGTCCAGCTGCCTGTCCACCCACAGAACCCCCGCCTCTGATTCACTCTTTCCTTTCCTAACCTTTTCCCGCCCCATGTCCTGGCTTCATCCCACCAGTCTGTCAAAATGAACTTCCTACACTCTGGGTTCTTGAGCTCACATAGGAACTGGAATCCCCACCGCTGCTACTCCACGTCAAGCTCTTGGTGTCTTCATTGTTGAAATACTCCCTGCGTTGGTCTCGCCTCCTCCAAAGCTTCCTCCGTAAGGGCCACCAGAATGATCTCCTTGAAACCCCAAACTGGCCAAACTACTCCTCTGCTTAAAACACTTCAATGACTCCTCACTGTTTAAGAAATGAAGAATAAATTCCTTAGCATGAAAATCCAGTTTTTCATACTTGCTTCCTACCTCACTCCAAACAAAATGTCCCAAATGCACCAACATTTTTTTTTTTTTTTTGTAAGAGATAGGGTTTCCCTCTGCTGCCCAAGCTGGAATGTAGTGGTGCATTCACAGCTTACTACAACCTTGAACTCCTGGGCTCAAGTGATCCTCTAACTTCAGCCTCCCAAACAGCTAATTTATTTATTTATTTATTTTATCGATGGGGTCTCACTTTGTTGCCCAGTCTGGTCTCTAACTCCTAGCTTCAAGTGACCTTCCTATCTTGGCCTCCCAAATCTCTGAGATTACCGGTGTAAGCCACCTCTCCCAGCCTGAAATACTTATTATTTATGCATACTATTCCTTTCTTGCCTCCTGCCTCTTGCCTGTATGCCTCCGCACATGCTGTTTCTTCTACCAGAGTTACCTTCATCTGGTCCTTTTCTGCCTGGAAAATTCCCTTTCATGCTTTAAAACCCAGTTCAGAGGCAACTCTTTACAGATAGACCTCCTTGATTGCACTAACCCAAGAGTCGGCAAACTTCCTGTAGAGGGCCAGAGAGTAAATATCTTACTTTCTGCCTTACAGGTGGTATACACTTTCTGCTGCAACTACTCAACCCTGGTGGTGGTGTGTGAAAGCAGCCATAGATGATATGTAAACTAATGAGCATGGCTGTGGTCCAATAAGATTTTCTGTATAGACACTGAAATTTGAATTTCATGTGATTTCCATGTATCATGAAATATGATTCTACTTTTGAGTATTTTTCAACAATATAAAATTTGGAAAACATTTTTAACTCATGACCCATACAAAACTAGTCTGAGAGTCACAGTTTCCTGATCCCCACAGAAGAGTCCCTCCTCCTCCTGCATATCTTCAGTGTACCCTGGTACCTTAAATGTGGCACTTTTGGCACTGGATTATCTAATGCCTCCTGAACATCTCCTTCTGCACCCACACAATGAGCCACTGAGAACAAGAACCATACTGCATTTGTCATCTCTGTGCACCTAGAACCCTAATGTTGGTCTAGAATATAGGAGGTGCATGCACAGTCAGTGTTTGTTGAATTAAGAAAATGACCTTGTGGGGGGAAGAGAAAGTGACAGTGACAAAATTTAGAATACAGTGTCATTCATAGTGTTTCCTTCTACTGACTCCTTGGACAGAGAACTTCTTGCAGAAATGTATCCTTTATTCAGATGACTTTATTTCCTTTTCCCGGTGTGATATGGGCCCAGGCTGATGTAAAATGCAAGTTATGAAAAAATTAACAATGCATTTGCTTTCTTGTTTTAACAGTTTATATCTGAGATGTGCAGAATTGGGTGGGAGGCCAGGGACAGTGTCATAAATCAGGCTCCCAAGAAGCCAACTCTGAGACAGACATTCACATGCAGCCAGTTACTGGGGCATGCTCTTGGGGTCAACATCTGTGAGGGGTGCAGGAAGAACACAAGGCAGGGGAGAAACAGAACTGGGATACAGTTGCAATAGAAGCCTTGCCAGTCCCATAAGGAGTTCTGAAGTTAGAATATCCCTTCAGAGCTGTTCCAAATTGGGATGAGGGGGCCAGACCATTATATCCTGCCCAGACCAGTCACTGAATGTGGGCTGTCCCAGAAAGAAGTGTGACCCTGGGCCAAGGGGCTTTCTTTGGCTGACAGAAATTTCCAGAGGACTCTCTTGAGGGCTGTCAACTGCCAGTGCCACCCAGCAGCTGTGAGAATGAG
This sequence comes from Homo sapiens, assembly GCF_000001405.40. Classification (NCBI taxonomy): domain Eukaryota; kingdom Metazoa; phylum Chordata; class Mammalia; order Primates; family Hominidae; genus Homo; species Homo sapiens. The sequence continues at coordinate 39,393,503 of NC_000020.11, read as the reverse complement.
ACATGGGAATCACAGCATTCCTAGAGCTGCACTGTCCATGTAGTCGATACCAGCCACACATGGCTATATATATTTAAATTAATTAAAATTCCCAATAAATTAACAAATCAGTTCTTTAGTTGCACCAGCCACATTTCAATCACTCAATAGCTGTGCATGTCTAGTGGCTACTATAGGAGACAGTGCAGATACAGAATATATCCATCATTCTATAAAGTTCTATTGGGCAGCTCTGCTCTAAAGAATGGGCAATGGTAGAAGTTTTCTAAAATAAACAATAATGGGCATGGGCCACTGAAAGGTCAATTTAGTTGGGAAAATTAAGCTATAATGCATAATGACAAGGACCCTTACTTGAGCAAACTGCAGATAATTGATTTATAATGATCACGACTTTCAACCCACCCATTCCTACTTGATCAGGCCTGCAGAGTCCAGTCTGCTATTACAGGAGAGAACACAGAAGTTAGCAGTGTACTGACAATCTAGCCATACTCAGTCGGTAGCTGGGCTGCATGAAGACAATATAGTTTGGGAGCTGCTTTGAACCTCCTACATAGGTGTCAAGCTCTTTTTACACACCATGCAAAATAATTAACATGGGAAGTGCCATTATTGGAAGGCTGTTTTTCTACACACAACATATAACTAATTTGACCCAACTGTCTTCCTCTATTGTGCTATTATTCACAAGTCAGTCTAGGACAGAAAGAACCTATGAGTTTGTTGATCCTTTGAACTCACATTCCATCTTTGCTGCCACTATATACTAGTGTGACTGGGAAAACCATGCCATTTCCCTATTTTCTCATTTGTAGTATGAAGGTGACAATTCCATACTACCTCCTCCACAAGAGTTTTGTGAGGATAAAATCTGATGATGAAAGGTAGAGTACTTTGTAAACCAAGTACCCAATGTCAAAGCAAAATAATTTATTTAATGCAAGAGTCAAACCTGACTAATCAGTGTATCTAAATTTCATAATTAGCCAAAAGTGATCCACCCAACAGTAACACAGCACGTACAGTCTCTAAGTTCTAAAATATTCATTCTCAACCTTCTTTTTTACTTGTATATCTTTGCCACACGTTTTTGAATATTTGAAGTTCATGCTTAGCAGAATTAAAATATCCGAATAACAGATTGTAACAGGTCAACCATAATGAAAGCACAAGCACTACTATATAATAACAATGTCTTGCAGTGTCTATAAAAGCATCCACAGTTACTGAATAATACATTTTCTCTCCCTTTATTGCTGGGATGCTGATGGAGTTGTCAGTTCACCATTCTGATCTTCCTCACTTCCATCCTCACTAGGTGACCTTCTTATGCATTTCAGGAGAATTAGGTCTTTACTTGATATTGGCTTGGCATTAAGCTACAACTCAGCTTTTATAATCTTAAGACATTGCACCCCATAATAACCCCAGTCAACTTAAAAATCCATGCACAGCCATAGTAGCCACAAATTCAATTTCAGAAAAGAACGTATGTTATGTGTTTATCAAGAATTTAATGCCTGCAATGGGATAGATTACACCTACAAATCATGGCATCCCATTTGAGAACAATGACTTTCCAAGAGCCAGAATTTCAGAACTGAGAGTGAGACACTAAAACCTACTATGCAGACTGAGTCTAGAACCCAAATCCCAAAACAGATATGTATACATTATTGCATATATATTTAGACAGCCCTTTGACCATCAAAAATGTTTTTATATACATCATCTCTTATAAAGGCCTACAGATTGCTGTGTGTGACAACCTTCCCCCTCCCATGCACCACAACATTACCTCTATGGCATCCTGTTCTACTTTCCCTCTGCTATGGTCTGAATATTTGTGTCTCCAAAAATACCTAAGTTGAAATCTTTACCCCCAACGTGATGCTGTTAGAAGATGGGACTGTTGGGAGATGATTAGGTCATAAAGGAAGAGTCCTAATAACTGAAATAAGTGCCCTTATAAAAAAGGGACCACATAGAGCTGCTTTGCCCCTTCTGCTACATAAGGATATTATAGCAAGGAGGTGCTGTCTCTGAACCAGAAAGCGGATACTGGATCTGCTGGCACCTTACAGTATTTTGTTAAAACAGCGCGAAAGGACCAAGACACCCTCTCCTTCGATCCACTCCAGCCACAGTGACTTCTTGTTTTTCCTTGCATGTGCCACATTCACTCCTGCATCAGAGACTTGGCACATACTCACTCGTCCTGTAATATTGTCCCCTAATTATCCATGTAGCTCAGTCTCCCATCTCCTTACTCAAATGTCACTTTATCCATGAGGCTTCCCCTGAAGTCCCCAGCTAAAAATCTTATACCTCCCACCAGCGTTCTTTACCCCTCCATCCCTACCCGCCTCCCATGTAGCACCTGACACTCTCTGAAATACTGCATATGACATTATCTTTGTTTACTGTCTGTGTTCCCTTACCAAATGGGAAGTTCCGTGAAGGCAGGGATGTTTGTTGCTACATCTGTAGCACCTGGAAGAGTTTCTGGCACAGAGTTAGCACACAATGTTTGTTGAATGAATGAATGCCATCTGACCTTAACAATCACCCATGTCAGAGAGAAAAGTAAGAACCAGAGACAGTGAGTGGATTGCCCAACATCATGCTATTTAGCATCAGGCAGGCCTAAATTTTAATCCAGACTCGGGTATATAAGCTTTGTGCCCTAGGGCACTCTATTGAACCTAATTTTCTTCCATTCTAAAATGGGCATGGTAATTCCCTTCTCAAGCACTGACAAACATCCTGACCAGGAGCACAGAGGCAGCATGGAAGAGCAAGGATGGGGCAGTGAGCCTGGTGAATGTTGGGTGGCCTCAGGGAACCACCTCCGTCGAGGAAGTGAACCCAAATCCCTCCACCAGAGAGAGCAGCATCTTGCCACACTGAAGGGACCTCAGCCAACGCTGCTCCGTGGGATCCTCTCCTGCAGAAACCTGGCTCTTTCGCTGTTTCTCTAGGAGGCTGTTCTCTTGTTAAGAAAACACCAAAGACCAACAAAAGCCTCCAGTTTCCACCCACTTTCTCTTTCATAGGAGCACATGGCACGGAGCAGGCCTTCCTTTGATCCAGGCCCATGACATCTGCCTAAGCAGAAGCAGATTGGCTGCTTTGACATGCACTCACAGGGCTGTTTTCTATGGCTGGCCCTCCAAAGGTTGTTATCATTTTCCTTTTTTAGAAATGGCTGAGTTATCACCCCTCCTTTCCTAGTTTCCCTATTCAAACGAGGCAGTATGGCTCAGAGATCAGACCTGAGCTGGGTGTTCACCTCAATTTGACATTTCCCTCTTGCAGTGGTGTTAGTTGGGATGCTGTCAAAAGGGATGAAAGAAAAAAACATTTTCACTCTGGCTTGAAGCTGGCCACATTTTCAGGTGCTCAAGTTGCAACCTCAAGGAAGTTAGAGATTGGGGTTTGTGATTTGAGCTGAAAGGCCAAATGGCTTTTAGACAACTAGCAGCAAAAGGCTCAGAAATGTTGATGCCATGAGAAAAGAAGTAAAAATACACACACAAAAAAAGAAATTGGGAAATTAAATAGCTGTAATATTTATTTTTCAACCCACCTATAGATAAATTTTTTCAGTCTTTTGAAATTCTACTATCCTTTTTTTCAGTATAAATGAAACAATGTGAAAATTTTATTTAATCTTAAAATAATATCATTTACTATTTTACCTAGAAAATAACTACAAATTTACTAACCCATTGCTTCTTTAAAATTTTTAAATTATTGAACCCATCAAGTTAAACTTTGCTAAATTATTGGATCACATACTTTAGATTTACTAATACTTGAGAGGCCATAAATATGGGGAAATAAGAGCAACCTTCAGAGTTGTTGTCCGACTCAACTGCAAAATCACTCAACTTCACATTGAAAATTCTTGTAGCTCATCCTCACACCCATGCTGTGAAAATATTCCAAGAAACTCATTAATATACATAAAGGAAACTGATAAAGCCTCTGCCTTCTCAGAGTCCCACTAAAATGCCCAAAAGACCATACACAGGGACCAAAATCTTGACCAGCCCCCCAAAATATTCAGATGGGAGGGGAAAGAAGGATGGCACAAGCCTGACTTCCTCTTTTAAAGGATAGCCTGTCTAGAGAGAGAGAAGAAGGCCCCCAGCAGAAATTGACTCATAGGGTTGAGCTGCTGATAAGTCAATCTGAGGGCAATGGGGCCAGCCTATGTGGGGTCCATCTCACCACTGGAGGTCAATAGCATCTTGTTTCCACCATGGCTCTTGGTGGTCCTCTACATCTTCCAGCTTCATCAGCCACCAAGGGCAGATAAAGGACCTACTAGTATGTAAGGCCTGAGAATGGGACACTCCTGGGCCAGGTACGGTGGCTCACTCATGCCTGTAATCTAGCGTTTTGGGAGGCCAAGGTGGGAGAATCACTTGAAGTCAGAATTTCAAGACCAGACTGGCCAACATAGCAAAACTCCATCATTACTAAAAATACAAAAATTAGCCGAGCATGGTGGTGTACTCCTGTAATCCCAGCTACTCAGGAGGCTGAGGCCCAGCAATCATTTGAACCCGGGAGGCAGAGGTTGCAGTGAGCTGAGATTGTGCCACTCTACTGAAGCCTGGGCAACAGAGCAAGACTCCATCTCAGAAAAAAAAAAAAAAGAATGGGACAATTCTGGACACCATGTCAAATGTGGAGAAGATGTTGGATGTCCCACTGATGAAGGCCTCCTCTGTGCCACCACCAGATCCACCAGGGTTTCTAGCCTTAGCTCCTTCCTGACTCACCAGAGGCTTCTGGATGTCCAAGTTGGGAACTGGAATTCAGAGAAAACCTGGACATTTGTCTTCCTACTTTCGGGCTAGAGGACTGTGTAAAAACATGTAGAAACACAAATAAGAAAACTTAAACCTTATTTAACTATGAACTGATACTGGATAAGATTGATCTTTTCATTTAATAGCAATTCTCCAAGTGTATAGAATCTTTGTTTGAAATATAGATTCTAGGATCCTGCCTCCATGATTTTGATCATCTTGAATGAGAGGAACGCCAGGGAATTTTCAATTCTAAGAAAGAATCAAGATGGTTCTAATGCTGGTAGCCTCTAGACAGCAGGTTGAGAAGCACTGCTCTAAAGGGTTTTATGTTTTGTCAAGAGTCAAAAGACCCTGAATCTAAAAAGAGATACTTCAATTAAAAAAAAAATGGGCATTCAGAAGAATCAGATTAAATAAGTAAAAGGGCAAAAAAGTATTAGGGAAAAGAATCAAACTACTAAAACTACTGCAGTCAGACACAAAGGTAATTTAAGATCAAGAAAAATTGCAGAGATAATATAATTATAAAAGTTAAAAATAAAATGAAGAGATTTTGAATTTCTAGAAAAATGACATACCAGGAGTTCTGAAAAAAGTACTCCCTCCCATAACAAACTGACAGAAATCCTGAGTAAAATCCAAGATATAAATTTTTATGTAAAAATTCATAGAAGCTCTTGAAAGAAAGAAAAATATATCTCAAGATGCTAAGATAAAGGCAGGAAATGTATGAGCTGACACTGCAATGGTTCAGGATGCTTTCAGAGTCAGGAACAGATGGCAGGGGTTTCACTGTCCACAGAAGGATAGGAATATACAACCCAAGGTCTGTATAAAGCAAGGGTCGAATTAGAAATGTATATAAACATGAAATCCTCAAAGAACTGTTTAGGCTTTGAAGGGGAACCAGAAAAATCCCAGGTATTAGCATGAAGATTCACAAAAGAAGATTCTGCTAGACAGAACTACTGGATTCTACCAGAGCAATCAATCACTGCTGAAGATGAGTTCAGAATCAGAAATTACAAACCAAATAAGAAAATGAACCACAACTATGGAGAGTCACCAGGCATAACAAATAGGAAAATTAAGAAGTAATACCTTGATTTATGGAAGAGATTTTAAAAATGATTAAAGAAAATGGTAATGAAAAATAGAGGAGGCAAATTTGAAAAATACTTCTAGAATGTTTTTAATTTTTCTCAGCTTTATTAAGGTATAATTGACAAATTAAAATTGTATATATTTAGGGTGTACAACATGATTTTTGATAGGTGCATACACTGTGAAATGATTGAATAAAGATGATTAACATTTTTACCACTTTACGTATTTATTATTTTTGTGGTAAGAATATTTAAGGTCTACTCTCAGCAATTTTCAAGTATACAATAAATTTTTATTAACTGTAGTCACCATACTGTACAATAGATCTCCTGAAATTATTCATCCTGCAAAATTGTAACTTTGTACTCTTTGACCAATATCTCCCAATTTTCTCCACCCCCAACCCCCAGCCACTAGCAACCATCATTCTACTCCCTGCTTCTATGAGTTCAACTTTGTTGTATTCCACATATAAGTGAGATTGTGCAGTATTTGTCTTCTTCTGCCTGGCTTATTTCACTTAGCATAATTCCCTCCAAGTTTACCTCTAGGTTTTAAAAATATAGACAGCAAATTTTACAATAGCCTCTTAATTAAAATATTAGCAAACTGAATGCAACAATGTATGTATATGTACATGTGTTTATATATGTGTATGTGTGTATATATGTATTATATATGTTATATATAATATATGTATAAAATTTAGGGGGTGAGGGAAATGGGGAGATATTGGTCAAAGGTACAAAGTTTCAATTTTACAGAATGAATAAATTCTGGAGATATAGTATACGGATTCATGTATATATATGTATTTTTAATATATATGTATTATATATAATTTTGTAAAATATATATGTGTATACACACACACACACACACACACACACACAAACACATAATGATCAAGTCGGAAATATGCCAGGGATCCCAGCATAATTAAATGTTAAAAAAAATCTATTAATGAAATTCACCTTATTAACATATTAAAGGAGAGAAATTATACGAGCATATGAGCATCTCAAAAGATGCCAATAAAAGCATTTGATAAAATTTAATAACCTTTCTTGATTTTGAAAAAAAATGGTCTTAGCAAACTGGGGAAAGTAGTGAGAACTTCCTGATACAATATATACAGCATATTTAGCTAAAAGGTCCAGCACACATTATGTGAAATGGTAAGAGTTTAGCAGCATTCTCTTTAAAGTCAGGACAAAGAATAGGGAATGCTGTTATCATTGCACCTATTCTGCATCATATAGGTCCTAGTCAATGCGGGCAAGCAAGAAGAGGTATGAAGGATTAGAAAGAAAAAATCATCACTGTTAGTCCCATAGACAATACTGAAAATAAAAGACAATATAGAAAGTTGCTAGAACTACTAAAAAATATTTACCATTATTTTTGAATATAAGAGCAGTATATTAAATTCAATATTATTCCTATAAAAACTGTAAACTATAATAAAATTTATAAATCTCATTGTTAAGAACAGCACAAAGTGTAAAATATCTAAGAATAAATGCAAAAAGGAAATGCAAACAGGCAGGAATTTATCAAGATAGTTATAAAACTATATGTAAGAACATAATTCTAAATACAGAGATAGATACACCATGCCACTGGTTTAAAAAACTCAGTATCATAAATAAAGCAAGAGCTTCTAAATTCATATATAAATACATGTTTCCATTGAATATCATAACAGGGTATTCCATGGCAATTGATAAGCTGATGTTAAAATTCATGTGGAAGAGTAAAGGGCCAAAATTAGTCAAAACAATTTTGAAGAATAAGGATGGGTGATCTGCCCTACTATTTGTCTGAAATTATTAGGAAGCCACAGTAACTAAAACAGTGTGGCATCAGTATAGGCAAAGATAAATTTACCTGCAGCACTAAGTAAAAAGCTCCAAGACAGGTCTACAAATATATGGTGGCAATAAAAACTTAGAGAAGAAAGAATTTATTTAATAATGTTGTAGCAACTGGCCATATAAAGTGAAAAAATAAATAAATAGACTGCCTACCTCTCACTATATATATGGAGAAATTCCATATGAGTTTAAAACTTGATTGTGAGAAGCAAAATTATAAATCCTTCAAGAGAAACATAGAGGAAAATATCCTCATAATCTAACATAGGGGAAGATTTTCTTAAGCAAAATATTAAAAGCACAAAACACGAAAACAAAAATTGACACAAATTAAATTAAAAGTCTTTTGCATGACAAAGGACAACATAAGCAAAAGAAAAGAGAAGCTACAGACATGTAGAAGTTACTTCTAACTCATATATTAGAAAATATAATAAATCCTTATAAAATAATCAATAAAAGATAAACCAATAAGAAAAAGGCAAAGGCTATAATCAGAAAATCAAGGACAAGAAAGCAAGAATGGCTAAAAAATATGAAAAGATGATCAATTCCTCAAGCCATTAGAGAAATGTGAAATAAACCACAACGAAATATTGTTTTACAACTATCAGATTTACACAAATTAGAAAAGTCTGCCAAAACCAAGTGTTAGTGAAGATGCTTTACTTTAAAAACAAACCAAAAAAAAAACAGTCTTCTTTTCCAGAGCCCTAGAATATTTACAAAAATATGATTACATAATTAGGCCCTGATGAAAACCTCAAAATGTTCCAAAGAGGAAAAGTCTCTTCAGGCCTATTCTCTGACCACAGCAGAGAAAAACCAGGGATTTGTTTCTAGAATATGAACCAAGAAAACAGCCACTTGGAAATGTGACCTAAATATGAAAGGCAAAATGTAAAATCTTTCAGGAGAATATATAATATACAAAACCTCTCCAAAGTAATAATTAGGTTGAGTAAAAAAAATCAAAACTGCAAATTCAGAATATTTTGAAAATCATCATAATGAAAATAACAAAACTTGCAAAAATAACTAAAAATGTTGAGACTTCAACTACCTATGTTTTCTATGCTGTTCCATTGATCCTTCTTTCTATATACATCTAAAAATTCAGTTAAAAAAGAAATAAATTATTTGTACAAATATATATATACATATGCACACATGCTTGTGTGTATACACATGTACATGTATATACCTACATGTATACATATATGTACGCATAAAAGTATATACATGCACACAATACAATCGCTGTTTTGTATAAATAGCAAAGAGAATCACTAAAGAACATAAATAATAGTAATGGCACCTCTTGGTAGTAATATTATCATGTCATGTAATTTTTTATTGTGTATTTCTCTAATTTTTGAAAATAAATATACATTAATTTTATAATTAAAAAGATAAAAACAACATTACTAATTAGGAAAAAAAGGTCCTTGAAATTTTTTTGAAAGAGCAGCATATGTCTAGATTTTAGTTGTTTTCCCTTTTTTTTTTATTTCTAGTATTTGCCAAATGGAACTTCTTCAATATTTCTTCGCCTCCTCAAATTTTCTTCCATTATATCCTTTTAAAATTTATTTTTAGTTGACAGGTAAAAATTACATCTATTTATGGTATACAACATGATGTTTTAATATATGTATGTGTTTTAGAATGGCTAAATCAAGCCATTTGATTATCATTTCCATTATTTCAGCAATATCAGTTATATGAATACTGTATTTCCTCCACAGTCACGATCTTCTCTCTGCAAATGTTTATCTCTTTGTCTTTTGCCCCCATATTATGAAAGAGTTTTGCCAGCCTTTCCTCTATATCACTGACTCATTTCTTCACAATATGGAATCAATTATTCTGTGTCAATTCTTCTATTGCACATTTTTCAATTCTATGCCATTTTCCCTAATCAGACCCATTCTCTTTCAATCCCTCCATCTCCCTCTGTCTGGAATTCTCTTTTTCCCTTTCATGTCACTTTCTCTGTGAGGTCTTCCTTGTCTCCCATGGGCTTAGTGAGTCAGGATCCCTCCTCAGATCCTACTCTACCCTGAGCATGCCTCATCACTACAATGCCTAATCGTAAGGTTTTACAATTACCTCTTCACATGTCTGCTTTCTCCATTAGATGCTAAGTCCCCCAAGAACAAGATTTGTGTCTCAGCCATTCTTAGCACAGACACAGAGTATATTTTCACCAACATAGTCTTCATATTGGCAGAGTTTCTAAATTTTGCAAGTCTGATGTTTGTTAAAGAATGGCTCATTGTTTAATTCATGTTTCTCTAATTACTAGGATAGTCTACCTGGTTTTGGCCATTCTTGTTACCTCTTCTATGAATTTTTGACAATAGCCTTGCCATTTTTCCTATTGCTTTCCTTGTCTTCTTACTGATTTGTAGGAATTCATTACATATTCTGATTTTACTACACAACCATTGTGTGCATATATATCTTCACCTCTGAGGTTTCTTTTCTTTTTGCTTATGAGTCCTTTGTTGTACAAAAATCTTATTTCATTTTACTCAACTTATCAATCTTTTATGTTTTATTCACAAAAATATTTTCTACTGCTGGCTCATACAGATGTTCTGTATTTTCTCTTGAAGATATACAAATTTTGCTTTTAATATTTAGGCAACATTTCCAAGTGGCCACTCTAGTAAGAGTTTCTGAATTTGTGAAACAAAGCTCGGCTCTGTATGTCAAACACCTCCTCCTTGAGAAATCAGGCAATCTACATGAGGATTTGGCTCTAGCTCTGTGTTAGTCAGCTTTTTGCAGCTTCTTCTGTGTGATAAACAACTCCCAAATCTTAGCTTACAAAACACATATTTATTTGTCACGCACATTACACATCAGCTACAGGTCAACTGTGGCTCTAAGACACTACTTCAAGTTGTGGGTGAATTGCAGGTCTGATCACTATATGACCAGGCTGAGGAGCAATGTCTATCGGGTTGGAACATGCTCATCTTATCATGGAGAATCAGAATAAGAGAATGATAGAAACTTGTAATATCTGTAAAAGCTTGTATGGCAAATAGGCCACTAGGCAAAGCAAGTCACAAAATAGCCCCAAACTCCGTAGAATGAAGAGAGTATTTTGTCTACAGGGAAGGATGACAAGGGCAAAAAGGGAATGAAAAATTGTAAGCAAATAGATTCTACCACAGCACCTCTTCTCTCATACCACATGACCATGGGTCTGTTTAGTGCTATCTGTTTAGTGCTACTAAACAGAGGTAGAGTTGGGTATATATTTGTTAAAGATAGTTCTACAATTGAGCTTAATATCCACTGTGAGTCTCCCGGAAGTGTTGGACAGTAGAAAAGGGCAAACTTTCTGTCGGCAACCCCAAGTTAATCTGCCAGCTGTGGTTCTTACATACATTCAGTACTGGTGCAAAGGAAGGCAAGGTGTCCTTGCTCCAGGCTTCGAACCAGCTCTACTCTCCAATATGGCCAAGGCTCAACCACCATATGCCAACACCAAGGCCCATTCTGGCCAGGCAAGAATTGGCCATACAGCTGCAGGTTGAATGAAGGAGTTGATCAGAGATGGAGAAAAAAAGAAAGAAAACACAGGTTCCATTGGCAAGGGAAATGTTGCTGGGCATCCAAAATGTAAAACAGTTCTTCCATAGTTTGGCTTGAAAAAAAAAAAAAGGCCAGCCTTGGCTTAACCTGTATTCATTCATACCTCCACCTGTCAAGGCTGCGCCCCATCCTTACTCTGTTTGTACAACTGATAATATAGATAGACTTGCCCAAGCAGTCGCTTGTCAACATTCCCATTTCAGTTTCTCAAGATCTAACACAAACAGCAACACCTCCCACAAAGCAGCACTGTTGGGTGCCTGCAACCACACTCTGCCTTCGATAATTAGAATGGAATCTGAGCTCATCCTGGAATGCATGGGACGTGCAGAAAGAGCCCAGCTGCATGGTTCCTCCAACCATATGTTCTAGCCCTAGCAGGAAGGCACATGGGGTAAAAATATGCACCAGGAGGAGCATTAGGGCCCTTCATTTTCCTGTGCTTCTCTCTGCACTAAACAGCTCAGAGTATTCAGCCAAAATAGCACTTCTCAACATAGGATGAGCATCATAACCCTTTGACAAAAGCAGTGGTTCTCTAAGTGTGGTCCCTCAGCCTTGACTGGGAGATTGTCAGAAATGCAAATTCTCAGGTTCTACCCCAAACTTGCTACATCAGAAACACTGAAGATGGGTCCCATCAATCTGTATTTTAACAGGCCTTCCAAGTAATTCTACTGCATGCCAAGGTTTGAAAAACACTATATCCAAAGACAAATTATTACTATCCCAGTAGTAATCCTAATTTGGGGGAGCATTTGTGTCATGGAGGAAAGCCACTTCAATTATAATCCTCAATAAAGTTCCAGACCAAAATCCCTCATTAGCAGCCATCACCATTAGATACAATTCAATCAACATAATCTAACACAGAAGGAATAGACACACTTCATGATGAGACGAAGAGGCAGCATAGCAAGGGAGTTATGGGCATGAACTCTGGGGAACAGATTGCCTGTGTTTGAATCCCAGCACCACCCACCTTGTATGTGACCTTCAGAAAGGTACTTAAAACTTCTAAAGCTGTTTCTCCATCTGTGTAATGGGTAAAGGTATACTAATGATAGCCTCTCAGTATTAGGGTAAAGCAGTGGTTTTCAAAGCAGCAGACCAGTATCATCAGCATTATTTAGGCACTTGTTAGAAATGCAGATTCTAAGGCCTCACCCCAGATTTACTGGATTATCTATTGCTGCATTACAAATTATCTCAAATTGCAGCAGCTAAAAATAACAAACATTTGTTATCTCAGTTTCCATGTTAGAAATTTGAACACTACTTAGCTAAGTGGCTTTGGCTCCAGGTCTCTCCTGAGGCTGCTATCAAGTAGTCAGATGGGGCTGTGGGCTCATGTAAAGTCTCAATCGGGGCAAGGTCTGCCTCCAAGCTCATTCCCATGGCTGTGGGCACACCTCCATTCTTTGCTGTATGGGCCTCTCTGCAGGGCTGCCTCATGGCATGGCAGCTACTTATCCCAGGGCAAATGATCCAACAAAGAGCAAGAGAGAGTGTGCCCAAGATGGAAGCCACAGTACTTTTTTCTTTTTCTTTTTTTTTTTTTTTAATCACAGTCTTGCTCTTTTGCCCAGGATGGAGTGCGGTGGCACCATCTCAGCTCATTGTAACCTCTGCCTCCCAGGTTCAAGTGACTCTCCTGCCTCAGCCTCCTGCGTAGCTGGGATTACAGGCGCCCACTACCATGTCCAGCTAATTTTTGTATTTTTAGTAGAGACGGGGTTTCACCATGTTGGCCAGGCTGGTCTCGAACTCCTGACCTCAAAAGATCCACCCGCCTCTGCCTCCCAAAATGCTGGGATTACAGGTGTGAGCCACCATGCCCGGCCCACAGTATTATGCCATTTTCTATAACTTGGTGTCAAAAATGACATTCCCTCTCTTCCACCCTATTCTATTATTTATAATTAAGCCAATAAGACTAGTTCACACTCAAGGGGAGGACATTACACAAGATCATGGCCAGCAGGAGGAAGGACCATCTTAGAGGCGGCTACCACACCCAGTGAATCAGAAGCTGGGGGTGGACACCAGACACCTGTGTTTTAACAGTCCTCCAGGTAATTCAGGTATACATTGTATAAGGATTCAATGAGCTGATGGAGGCAAAACACCTCACACACTGGCCAGCCCATGAGTACCCAAAGATTAGCTATTTAGGTTTTGTTATGATTACAGATGGGAATATCTTGCCGTGGTAATAAAGCCTTCTGCCTGCATACAAATATAAGGTGTCAGATAGGCCAGTGATTCTCAAACGTAGTTGACACTTATAATCACCTATAGAGCTTTTAGATATTATTATGTACATTTTGCAACCTAGACAATTAAATCAGAAACTCTAGGCATGTGACTCCAGTATCAATATTCTTTAAAGTTCCCCAGGTAATTTCTATATGCACCTAAGATTAAGAATCACTTAAAATAGACTCAGGAAACTCGTTTCTAAAAGTTTCTTCTCTATTAGTCTACCTTCTTAGAGCAAGAGCGTTGGCAAAGAAACCATTGATTTGTGGTTAAAAATCAAAACAACAGAATCAAACATACAAACAAGCAAATAAATGACAAGGCTCTGACATGCACATCTTGATCAATTATTTAAATCCTTCCTGCCCTCTTGTCCTGCAGCCCCTTTATCTAACCTCTGGAAAGGAACTTTGATGTCCTGCCAACTGAGTAAGTAGACATGGAAATGTACTTGTGTGTGTGTATTTGCACATGGCACATGGCTCAGATGCTGGGTTAGTGCCCCTTAAAAATCAGAATGCTGGGAAGAAGGAGGACATGATGTGTCCTTTCTACCCTTGGAGGAAACTCAACTCATGCAGTAACTTAGCTCCACCTGGGGCAGCTGGAAATCAAGCTGCCATGGGCCAATGCAGAACCGGGAGATGGAACTGCTGTTGCCACGAAGCCTCTACAGAGCCTCAGCCAATCTGCCCTTCCTCTTCCTGGCAGGCAGAGCCCTCACACCCTGGCCCCACATTTACCCTGACACTGAGCAAGCTTAAGTAAGGGCAGGTCTCTGCCCCATCAGCAGTGCCTGCAAAAGATCAGCTCAAATGTCGGCTCTGTCCCAGACACCTCCCCCAACCTTCCCCAAGGATTAGGTTTTGGGAATCCGAGCTCTGGTGGTTCCGGTTAACGTCATGATCCAGCTGCACTAACTGAGAAATTGTCAGATACTCAGATGCTGCTCCAGAATATTCTTCTTGGAAGTTCCCACCAGAGGGCTATTTGGTCAAAACTGTACCTTTCAAAGACTGTTTATAGAGAAGCAAAGATGATACAAGAGGGGACTTCTTTTTCTAATTTAAAAAAAGAAATAAACCTTCACTCCCACAGTTCTCACTAGCCAATTCAGTCTTTCATGATTAGCCAAGGCACTCAAGCACCAAAAGACGCTACTGACAACTCTGGGACAGGGGAAAGGAGCAGCCGTGGGGGTGAGGAGACGATAGCCGGCAGGACCAAGGCCATCACAGTGGATGGCGGGAGCTACCATTCCAGAGAGTCTTGGGTCCTCGTCCTGCTCTGAGATGTGTCACCTTGATGGGTCTCTCTGTGCTTCTGTTCCCTAATCTCTAAAAGTGGGATTCTATAAAATAATGTTTTTCTGTAGCAACTTGGATGGAACTGGAGGCCATTATCCTAAGTGAAGTAACCCAGGAATGGAACAACCAAATATCACATGTTCTCACTTAAGTGGAAGCTAAGCTATGGGTATGCAAAGGCACACAGAGTGGCATAATGGACACTGGAGGCTCAGAAGCAGGGAGGCTAGGGGTGAGTGAGGAATGAAAAGTTACCTATTGGGTTCAATGTATACTATTCAGGTGACAGGTACACTAAAATCCTAGACTCAACTATACAATTCATCCATGTAACCAAATGGAATTCTAAATATAAGAATTGGTTGAGAATTAAATAAGATGATACATATGTAAAAGGACTTAGCAGGTGTTTGGCACAAGTGAGTTTCCTTTCTAGGACAAGAAAGAGAGGAAAGGAGAAAGAGAAAGAGAGGGTAGAGAAAAAGGAAAAGCAGGTGAAAGAGGAAAAGAAAGGGGGAAATGACAGAAAAGGAGGAGGAAGAGGAAAGAAAAGAGGAGGAGAAGGAGGAGAAGAAGATGTCTAAGAGGCAGCAGTAGAAAGAACATCCTTTGGTTGATGTGGGGACCCCACAAGAACCAAGAAGGATGTAAGCCTGCAATTGAGGACTCTCTTGGGTTAGAAGGTCAAGCACACAATACATGAGCCACTTCTGTCCCTGTCCATCTCCAAATCAGACATCCCTAAAAGATCTCCTTCAGGCAGCCAAGACTAGTCAATCAAAGGGGACATGGGAGAGAACGCAAATATACAATTATTGGGCTATATAAAGGAAACCTTCACAATTCAGGGAATATCTACTTATCATCTATATATAGCTCAAAACTTGCTTTATAACTTTTAAGCCTGAGTCTTAACACAAACAAAACCAGGAATACATAGCCAACATAGCATCCACACTCAGCACTGTGTCACCTGGGGTACTGATTTTTCACCTCCTTGACCCACGATTTAGGCATCCTCTTTCTTAACTGTGCTACCCTCCATCAAGGAAACAATTCTGTGTTCACAGACTGCCAGGTCAGGTCTATGGTTATTTTTATGAAAATAATGTTAACAACAGAGTCACAGCCTAGATCAAATACTTTTCATTTACTCTTTTGTTCTCAAATGTTCTCCTTCTATGAACTCTGTCACAAAAGGGCTGACACTGACAGTTCCAATGCAATCTTCAAATCCCAAGACCCTCAAATAAATTTTCCAACTTTACATCTGTAACAATTTCCTACATCAAAAATGCATCAGCACACATGCACTGTAGAATTAAAAATAAAATTGGGCTGGATATGCAAACATTTGCAAATGATTCCTTATTTATTACAACCTCTTGTTTAGAAATAAAAGGAAAAATTCTTCCATAACCAATGTTTGCCTCCTGGCCAGAGGTGAGCATCCAGGAAACGCTCCCTTCTCGCTGCCTGAGAAAACCAGCATCAAGGCCTTGGCAGCCTGAGGGGGCCCTCCTTGCCCACTCGTAATGAACTGTAAAAAAGGACATGATGGCCTACTTTTTAGGAAACCTGCTGCCAAATCCAAAATAGGGAGGAAAAAAAAAGATGGAGAAAATAGGAGCCTTGATTCTGGAAATTATGACTTGATGACATCCTTCTTCTCTTTCCTTATAATCTGTATAACTGTAGACACGACCTTAATTATAGATGGGCAGGTGGGACCAGGCCAAGAACAGGGCTTCAGCTAGAATTACTGACAGTGAAATTGCTGGGTTCAGAGCACCCAGCTTCTCCTTGTGTTTCAGCTGCTCTCTTGCCCTCACTCTCCAACCTTCAGGTCTAGCAACACCCTCCTTGAGGCTTTTCCCAATGCTCAACAACAGAATTTCATGTCCTGACCCAACTCTCCCCTGCTCGAAATTAAATCAAATAATAACCAAGAATCATAGACCCTGAGAAAACAATGGGTTCTATCTAGTTAGAAGCTTACTTGCAATAAAGCCATTTTGATCTTATGTGAACAACAGTGAGGCTCAATTCTCATTTCTCATCTTAAAGACAAAGTGTTAGAAAAGGAAAGAACTGTGAAATCATTATTGAACACTCCATTCATACTAGGCACCAAAATCACCTTCTTGTTTTCGCACTGAACTCAGGTAATAATTTTGTGAGATGGGGTTTCTTACCCCCCATTTTAAAGATAAGTAAATAAAGTTGTAAGGTTAAGTAACTTCTCCAAGGCTACACACCTGTGTAGGGAAAGAACTAGGATTAGAAACTTGGACTGGTCTCTCTTCCTGCCTCCTGTCTTAGTCCTCTTTCCTTCCCCAGTTAATCTTCAGAAATAACTCCTCTGCTTAAAATCCATAATGGTTCCTCTTTCCCAAAGGATAGAAATTCAAAGTAGGGTTGCACATCTGAAAGGGCTGAGGTGCTGAGCAAGAGGTGATGGCAAGGGATTCGGTCATATGGAAAAAGGCAGCACTCCTGTGGACGCTGTTTTAGATAATCCATGACCCACATGTATGAACGTAAGAGCCCAAGGAGGACAGTAAAGATGCCTGCTGCCAAGTTGTTATCCATTAACCATTAATTAAATAATGAGAGAAGGGAGAAAGGGAGAGACAAAGGAAAGGAGGAAAGAAGGAGGGAAGAAAGGAAGGAAGAGAAGGAATTACTGAGTATGTAGGAATTCCTTCCAATTCTTGAGACTTGGTTTCCAACATGTGCCTGCTATATAGAAGCAACATACCTTCTGGATTAATTGGATAAAGACTTTGAAGAATGAGGAGGTTAAGAAAGTACTGTCCTCCTCCTCTACACACACACACATGCACACACACACACAAACACACTGGTTAAAATGATAGCAGATCTTGTGGGTTTTGATGGTGGAGAAAGAGTTCTCAATACCCTTCATCTGAGTGCCTTTATACTTAGGACTATGAAAAAGTAAATTTACTATACATTGAAGATTTTTTTCTATTCAAAATTATCTCCTACCTGCAGCTGACTAACCTCCAGGTTATATTATATTGTTCCAAACAGACAAGAGCCATGCCAATTGTCACACTTATTCTTGTCAGGCACTTCCCATATGTTATCCCCTTTAATTTTCATAACATCTCTAACATCTTCCCACTTCTTGTTTTCTCATGGTCTATGATTTTTGATTGTTTATTATTTAAGTTAATTTTGAGCAGGGGAGAGTTGGGTCAGGGCATGAAATTCTGTTGTTCATTGAGCATTAGAAAAAGCCTCAAGGGGGGTGTTGCTAGACCCAAAGATTGGAGGGTGGGGGTAACAGAGCATAGATAGAGAAATGAAAAACTGGAGAACGTGAATAACTCGACTTAGGTCACAGGACGGTAAATAGACAAACTGGGATTTGAATCCATCAGTCTACCTCTAGCACTCAACTCTAACCCTGAGTGCCAAGAGCACTGTGGAAGTTGACTATTTTTGATTGGCAATAAATGTTCATCAACCAAATTGAAACCATGGATGAGGTCCAGGGATTAGAAGAGGAGACACTTAATACTTGCTCAGTTCAGTTACCCCTTCTCCATAATTCTAATCACACTTTCTCTGAGCAGTGTTCAATGGAACAATGAGTAAAACATGTGATTCTTCAAGAATTGCCCCTTTTTCTTGCCAAGCTGATGTGAAGAAACTGTGTGAGGGCAGGGCTCAAGTCAGGATGTGCTGAGACCAGGGCATGAAAGCACATAGGGACATGCAGTAAATATGTGTTAAATGAACGGATGGATGAATAAATGAATGCCTCTGGAAGAAAGGCACATTTGTGAATGGGTGTCTCAAAAAAAAAAAAAAAACACTTCTGTATATCTGAATTACCTTTTTAACCAAAAAGTCTTCTCAAACCATTCTTAAAACCTTCAAATATATTCTCAGTTCTTGTTACAGTCCAGGCTTTGTGTTAAATGCTGTGAGATAAACACATGTGCGTGTGCACACACGCACACATACACACACACACACACACACACACAAGACAGCCATAATTCTTACAATAAAAGAGTTGTATTTTAAAATGTATTTAAGAAATTTATTGGCATTGTAAAACTGGGAGACATATATGCAAGGGTGGATAGACAATAATCTGCCACTTCTCCCAAAGGACAACCAGATAGTAAATGCAATCCTGAAGAACCCCAAAGAACAGAGAGAAGGGGATGTGGGGGACAATCAGCCTTATGGGGTCAGGGCTCAGAGGAGGTGCAGGAAAGTGAGCAACATCACATAAGAGTGTCTTCATCCTAGAAGTGTCCCAAAGATAAGAGGACGACTTATCTCTAGGTTCCAAGGAAAGAGAACTCCTAAGAAGGAGGAATTTTAGGAATATCTTAAGACAGGGAATCACAAGGTCAGGAGTTTGAGACCATCCTGGGTAACATGGTGAAACCCCGTCTCTACTAAAAATACAAAAAATTAGCCAGGCGTGGTGGTGTACGCCTGTAATCCTAGCTACTTGAGAGGCTGAGGCAGAAGAATCACTTGAACCCAGGAGGCAGAGGTTGCAGTGAGCTGAGATCGCACCCCTGCACTCCAGCCTGGGTGACAGAGCGAGATTCCATCTTAAAAAAAAGAGATTAAAAACTATAGCCATTACAAAATTTAGACAAATGTCCCATATCTTTGCTACTTCCCTACTTTTTCTTCTGCCTTATTTCCAGAATAGACAAGTTAAAAACTTCATATAACTTTTGCCAAAATGTCTTCTATGAAATGTGAGTTCTACAGAGTGTTTATTAATTCATTCATTTATTTAATTATTCATTCATCGTTCAACAATTTTTTCACTGAGCACCTACTATGAGCCTTCCTTGTACCAGATACTGTGCTAGACTGTGACCGGAACAGTTAAGTCCCTACCCTTCATAGTGCCTCCTCTAATGAGGGAACCAGATAATAAAAGACACATAGATATGTAGAATACCGTTGTTTTTTTTTTTTTTTTTAGGTATTAAAGCAGTAATGATATCTAAATACAACTTTTTTTTTATTATACTTTTAAGTTTTAGGGTACATGTGCACATTGTGCAGGTTAGTTACATATGTATACATGTACCATGCTGGTGCGCTGCACCCACTAACTCGTCATCTAGCATTAGGTATATCTCCCAGTGCTATCCCTCCCCCCTCCCACCACCCCACAACAGTCCCCAGAGTGTGATATTCCCCTTCCTGTGTCCATGTGATCTCATTGTTCAGTTCCCACCTATGAGTGAGAATATGCGGTGTTTGGTTTTTTGTTCTTGCGATAGTTTACTGAGAATGATGATTTCCAATTTCATCCATGTCCCTACAAAGGACATGAACTCATCATTTTTTATGGCTGCATAGTATTCCATGGTGTATATGTGCCACATTTTCTTAATCCAGTCTATCATTGTTGGACATTTGGGTTGGTTCCGAGTCTTTGCTATTGTGAATAATGCCGCAATAAACATATGGGTGCATGTGTCTTTATAGCAGCATGATTTATAGTCCTTTGGGTATATACCCAGTAATGGGATGGCTGGGTCAAATGGTATTTCCAGTTCTAGATCCCTGAGGAGTCGCCACACCGACTTCCACATGGTTGAACTAGTTTACAGTCCCACCAACAGTGTAAAAGTGTTCCTATTTCTCCACATCCTCTCCAGCACCTGTTGTTTCCTGACTTTTTAACGATTGCCATTCTAACTGGTGTGAGATGGTATCTCATTGTGGTTTTGATTTGCATTTCTCTGATGGCCAGTGATGATGAGCATTTTTTCATGTGTTTTTTGGCTGCATAAATGTCTTCTTCTGAAGTGTCTGTTCATGTCCTTCGCCCACTTTTTGATGGGGTTGTTTTTTTCTTGTAAATTTGTTTGAGTTCATTGTAGATTCTGGATATTAGCCCTTTGTCAGATGAGTAGGTTGCGAAAATTTTCTCCCATTTTGTAGGTTGCCTGTTCACTCTGATGGTAGTTTCTTTTGCTGTGCAGAAGCTCTTTAGTTTAATTAGATCCCATTTGTCAATTTTGTCTTTTGTTGCCATTGCTTTTGGTGTTTTAGTCATGAAGTCCTTGCCCATGCCTATGTCCTGAATGGTAATGCCTAGGTTTTCTTCTAGGGTTTTTATGGTTTTAGGTCTAACATTTAAGTCTTTAATCCATCTTGAATTGATTTTTGTATAAGGTGTAAGGAAGGGATCCAGTTTCAGCTTTCTACATATGGCTAGCCAGTTTTCCCAGCACCATTTATTAAATAGGGAATGCTTTCCCCATTGCTTGTTTTTCTCAGGTTTGTCAAAGATCAGATAGTTGTAGATATGCAGCATTATTTCTGAGGGCTCTGTTCTGTTCCATTGATCTATCTCTCTGTTTTGGTACCAGTACCATGCTGTTTTGGTTACTGTAGCCTTGTAGTATAGTTTGAAGTCAGGTAGTGTGATGCCTCCAGCTTTGTTCTTTTGGCTGAGGATTGACTTGGCGATGCGGGCTCTTTTTTGGTTCCATATGAACTTTAAAGTAGTTTTTTCCAATTCTGTGAAGAAAGTCATTGGTAGCTTGATGGGGATGGCATTGAATCTGTAAATTACCTTGGGCAGTATGGCCATTTTCACGATATTGATTCTTCCTACCCATGAGCATGGAATGTTCTTCCATTTGTTTGTATCCTCTTTTATTTCCTTGAGCAGTGGTTTGTAGTTCTCCTTGAAGAGGTCCTTCACATCCCTTGTAAGTTGGATTCCTAGGTATTTTATTCTCTTTGAAGCATTTGTGAATGGGAGTTCACTCATGATTTGGCTCTCTGTTTGTCTGTTGTTGGTGTATAAGAATGCTTATGATTTTTGTACATTGATTTTGTATCCTGAGACTTTGCTGAAGTTGCTTATCAGCTTAAGGAGATTTTGGGCTGAGACAATGGGGTTTTCTAGATATACAATCATGTCATCTGCAAACAGGGACAATTTGACTTCCTCTTTTCCTAATTGAATACCCTTTATTTCCTCCTCCTGCCTAATTGCCCTGGCCAGAACTTCCAACACTATGTTGAATAGGAGTGGTGAGAGAGGGCATCCCTGTCTTGTGCCAGTTTTCAAAGGGAATGCTTCCAGTTTTTGCCCCTTCAGTATGATATTGGCTGTGGGTTTGTCATAGATAGCTCTTATTATTTTGAAATACGTCCCATCAATACCTAATTTATTGAGAGTTTTTAGCATGAAGGGTTGTTGAATTTTGTCAAAGGCTTTTTCTGCATCTATTGAGATAATCATGTGGTTTTTGTCTTTGGCTCTGTTTATATGCTGGATTACATTTATTGATTTGCATATATTGAACCAGCCTTGCATCCCAGGGATGAAGCCCACTTGATCATGGTGGATAAGCTTTTTGATGTGCTGCTGGATTTGGTTTGCCAGTATTTTATTGAGGATTTTTGCATCAATATTCATCAAGGATATTGGTCTAAAATTCTCTTTTTTGGTTGTGTCTCTGCCTGGCTTTGGTATCAGAATGATGCTGGCCTCATAAAATGAGTTAGGGAGGATTCCCTCTTTTTCTATTGATTGGAATAGTTTCAGAAGGAATGGTACCAGTTCCTCCTTGTACCTCTGGTAGAATTCGGCTGTGAATCCATCTGGTCCTGGACTCTTTTTGGTTGGTAAGCTATTGATTATTGCCACAATTTCAGCTCCTGTTATTGGTCTATTCAGAGATTCAACTTCTTCCTGGTTTAGTCTTGGGAGAGTGTATGTGTCCAGGAATTTATCCATTTCTTTTAGATTTTCTAGTTTATTTGCGTAGAGGTGTTTGTAGTATTCCCTGATGGTAGTTTGTATTTCTGTGGGATCGGTGGTGATATCCCCTTTATCATTTTTTATTGCATCTATTTGATTCTTCTCTCTTTTTTTCTTTATTAGTCTTGCTAGCGGTCTATCAATTTTGTTGATCCTTTCAAAAAACCAGCTCCTGGATTCATTAATTTTTTGAAGGGTTTTTTGTGTCTCTATTTCCTTCAGTTCTGCTCTGATTTTAGTTATTTCTTGCCTTCTGCTAGCTTTTGAATGTGTTTGCTCTTGCTTTTCTAGTTCTTTCAATTGTGATGTTAGGGTGTCAATTTTGGATCTTTCCTGCTTTCTCTTGTGGGCATTTAGTGCTATAAATTTCCCTCTACACACTGCTTTGAATGCGTCCCAGAGATTCTGGTATGTTGTGTCTTTGTTCTCGTTGGTTTCAAAGAACATCTTTATTTCTGCCTTCATTTCGTTATGTACCCAGTAGTCATTCAGGAGCAGGTTGTTCAGTTTCCATGTAGTTGAGCGGTTTTGAGTGAGATTCTTAATCCTGAGTTCTAGTTTGATTGCACTGTGGTCTGAGAGATAGTTTGTTATAATTTCTGTTCTTTTACATTTGCTGAGGAGAGCTTTACTTCCCAGTATGTGGTCAATTTTGGAATAGGTGTGGTGTGGTGCTGAAAAAAATGTATATTCCGTTGATTTGGGGTGGAGAGTTCTGTAGATGTCTATTAGGTCTGCTTGGTGCAGAGCTGAGTTCAATTCCTGGGTATCCTTGTTGACTTTCTGTCTCGTTGATCTGTCTAATGTTGACAGTGGGGTGTTAAAGTCTCCCATTATTAATGTGTGGGAGTCTAAGTCTCTTTGTAGGTCACTCAGGACTTGCTTTATGAATCTTGGTGCTCCTGTATTGGGTGCATATATATTTAGGATAGTTAGCTCTTCTTGTTGAATTGATCCCTTTACCATTATGTAATGTCCTTCTTTGTCTCTTTTGATCTTTGTTGGTTTAAAGTCTGTTTTATCAGAGACTAGGATTGCAACCCCTGCCTTTTTTTGTTTCCCATTGGCTTGGTAGATCTTCCTCCATCCTTTTATTTTGAGCCTATGTGTGTCTCTGCACGTGAGATGGGTTTCCTGAATACAGCACACTGATGGGTCTTGACTCTTTATCCAATTTGCCAGTCTGTGTCTTTTAATTGGAGCATTCAGTCCATTTACATTTAAAGTTAATATTGTTATGTGTGAATTTGATCCTGTCATTATGATGTTAGCTGGTTATTTTGCTCGTTAGTTGATGCAGTTTCTTCCTAGTCTCCATGGTCTTTACATTTTGGCATGATTTTGCAGCGGCTGGTACCAGTTGTTCCTTTCCATGTTTAGTGCTTCCTTCAGGAGCTCTTGTAAGGCAGACCTGGTGGTGACAAAATCTCTCAGCATTTGCTTGTCTGTAAAGTATTTTATTTCTCCTTCACTTATGAAGCTTAGTTTGGCTGGATATGAAATTCTGGGTTGAAAATTCTTTTCTTTAAGAGTGTTGAATATTGGCCCCCACTCTCTTCTGGCTTGTAGGGTTTCTGCCGAGAGATCCGCTGTTAGTCTGATGGGCTTCCCTTTGAGGGTAACCCGACCTTTCTCTCTGGCTGCCCTTAACATTTTTTCCTTCATTTCAACTTTGGTGAATCTGACAATTATGTGTCTTGGAGTTGCTCTTCTCGAGGAGTATCTTTGTGGCGTTCTCTGTATTTCCTGAATCTGAACGTTGGCCTGCCTTGCTAGATTGGGGAAGTTCTCCTGGATAATATCCTGCAGAGTGTTTTCCAACTTGGTTCCATTCTCCCCATCACTTTCAGGTACACCAATCAGACGTAGATTTGGTCTTTTCACATAGTCCCATATTTCTTGGAGGCTTTGCTCATTTCTTTTTATTCTTTTTTCTCTAGACTTCCCTTCTCGCTTCATTTCATTCATTTCATCTTCTATCGCTGATACCCTTTCTTCCAGTTGATCGCATCGGCTCCTGAGGCTTCTGCATTCTTCACGTAGTTCTCGAGCCTTGGTTTTCAGCTCCATCAGCTCCTTTAAGCACTTCTCTGTATTGGTTATTCTAGTTATACATTCTTCTAAATTTTTTTCAAAGTTTTCAACTTCTTCGCCTTTGGTTTGAATGTCCTCCCATAGCTCAGAGTAATTTGATCGTCTGAAGCCTTCTTCTCTCAGCTCGTCAAAGTCATTCTCCATCCAGCTTTGTTCCGTTGCTGGTGAGGAACTGCTTCCCTTGGAGGAGGAGAGGCGCTCTGCTTTTGAGAGTTTCCAGTTTTTCTGTTCTGTTTTTTCCCCATCTTTGTGGTTTTTATCTACTTTTGGTCTTTGATGATGGTGATGTACAGATGGGTTTTTGGTGTGGATGTCCTTTCTGTTTGTTAGTTTTCCTTCTAACAGAGAGGACCCTCAGCTGCAGGTCTGTTGGAGTACCCTGCCGTCTAGAATACCGTTTTGTTTAAAAATGAAACAGCATGAAGAAACAGTGATTGAGTCATTTTTTAGATAAAGTATTAGAAATGTCTCTTTTTGAGAAGGTAGCATTGAACAGAGACCTGAATTAAGTGAAGGATCAAGCCAAAGAACTTTCTGGGGAAAATGTGTTTAGGTAGAGGAGACAGTAAGTGAGAAAGCCTTCAGATGAGAACACACTTAGCCTGCTTGAAGATCAGCAACAGAAGCTAATGGATGAAGTAGTAAGAAATGAGGTAGCAGATGGGGGATGGGGAGGAGAGAGACTAAAAGCACCTTGTAGACCATGGAAAGGATTTTGGATATGATTTTTTTTTTTTTTTTTTTTTTTTGAGATGGAGTCTCGCTCTGTCACCCAGGCTGGAGTGCAGTGGCGCGATCTCCACTCACTGCAAGCTCCGCCTCCCGGATTCACACCATTCTCCTGCCTCAGCCTCCCGAGTAGCTGGGACTACAGGTGCCCGCCACCATACCCGGCTAATTTTTTTTGTATTTTTAGTAGAGACGGGGCTTCACCCTGTTAGCCAGGATGGTCTCGATCTCCTGACCTCGTGATCCACCCGCCTCGGCCTCTCAAAGCACTGAGATAACAGGCGTGAGCCACTGCGCCCAGCCTGGATATGATTTTTAAGTGTGATGGGAAACCATTAAATAACTGACACCAGAGAACTGATTTGGACAGATGATAACCCCACCCATATTTGTAATGTTACTAAAACCCAAACACAATACTCTAGCTATGGGATGATTGGTGCCCCAGAGAGGACCAGCACCTCCACAGTGAAGATACCATACTTCTATTAATATAACCTGAAATCTCATTACCACATTTTGGCCAGGGGAATTTCTCATTTTTGACTCAAACTGTGCCATCTTCTGAAATCACAATCCTCTTTATCTGAGTAACTGCTTAACCAATCTCCCATATTCTACTTTGAAATGGAAGGAATTTTTTAGCTAAACATTTATTCCTGGTAGTTTTTTTGAGATGGAGTTTCGCTCTTGTTGCCCAGGCTGGAGTGAAATGGCGCCATCTCAGCTCACCTCAACCTCCGCCTCCCAGGTTCAAGTGATTCTCCTGCCTCAGTCTTCCAAATAGCTGGGATTACCGGCATATGCCACCACACCCGGCTAATTTTGTATTCTTTTTTAGTAGAGACAGGGTTTCTCCATGTTGGTCAGGCTGGTCTCCTGGTACTTTCTATCATACTGGATTCAGCCCACCATTCCTTCCTGTCAAGCTCTTTGTTCATTTCTGACTGTCCCCATTGTGTTTGTTTTCCCTCCCTCCCAGCCATTTGTCATTCATTGTCCTCTGTATTCTCTGCAGGTGATCAACCTCCAGGTTATATTATATTTTTCCAAAAAGGCAAACACCATGCCAGTTGTCACACTTACCCTTGTCAGGCACTTACTTCCCTTTTGTTGTCTCCTTTAATTTTCATAACATCTCTAATATCTTCACACATCATACAGATAGGGAAATGAAAAAATGGAGACAGTGAGTGTATTAGTACATTCTCACACTGCTGTAAGGAAATACGTGAAGCTGGGTAATTTACAAAGGAAAGTGGTTTAATTGACTCACAGTTCTGCATGGCTGGGAAGGCCTCAGGAAACTTATAATCATGGTAGAAGGTGAAGGCAGCAGGGAAAGGAGTGCTGAGCGAAGAGGGAAGAGCCCCTTATAAAACCATCAGATCTCGTGAGAAATCACTCACTATCATGAAAACAGCATGGGGGAACTACCCCCATCATTCAATTACCTCCACCTGTTCTCTTCCTTGATACATGGGGAGTATGGGGGTTACAATTAAAGATAAGATTTGGGTGGGAACACAAAACCTAACCATATCAATGAGTAACTTGACTAAGGTCACATAGACGGTAAATAACCAAACTGGTTATTTGAACCTATCAGCCTACCTCTAGCACTCAACTGTACCCGAGTGCCAAGAGTACCGTGGGAGTTGACTATTTTCGATTGGCAATAAATGTTCATCAACCAAATTGAAACCATGGATAAGGCCAAGGTATTAGAAGAGGGAGGAATCAATGTGCTGACCTGAATAGGATCAAAAACACACAATGCTGGGTTCACCACTGGAGACCTCTCTTCTAGTTGACAGCAGCCTATTTTGTGATTGATAGTTCAAAGAATACCAAAATCCTGACATGGTCTAACATAGTAAAAACTCAGTAAGTGTTTGTTGTTGTTGTTATTATTATTATTATTATTATTACTATAACTATTACTATTTGTCTTCTTACCTATATTTATCCATGTTGTCCAAAAAGGTTTTATGTGATACTTTGTCAAATGTCTAGCTGATCTCCTAGATCCTAGCAACAGTCTCACTTCCTTAATCTGTCTGTCATTACATAATGGGGTAAAAGGAAAAATGAGATTGACCTGATATGACTTCTGGGAAAACACATGCTGAGTCCCTGTGATTATTATTTCCTTCTCCATGTGTTCACAAACAAACTCCTTTAATAATCCATTCCATAACCTCCTTTTGGATCTACAGCAAACTACTCACCTAGTGGTTCATGGAAGCTATGTTCCTCCTCTGTTGAAATTTGGGATGACATTTTTCTCCCATCTTCTACCACTCTCACCTCTTCTCCATCAATTCTGTCAGTTCGTTAGCGATACTCAAGGATCCCAACCCTAAGTCCTCTCAGAACCTGAGGAGACTATGAGAAGTGAGCTCGCAAGAGAAGTAAGATTCTCTCGTCTAGTTCTTCCTCCTATTGAGAGGTTGTACCTCCTCTCCCTCATTAAAGCCCCCTCCACACTTTTCAGGCTTAAATTCTCTTTTTCCAGCTCCCTCCTCAGTACCAGAAAACCTATTTATTCCTTCAGAGATCTAGGATCTAGATCTAGATCTGCTTCTCTGACACATGACTTTCATTTTATTTATTTTTTGAGACACGGTCTCACTCTGTTCCCCAGGCCTGGAGTGCAGTGGTGCAATCTTGGCCCACTGCAGCCTCGACCTCCTTAGCAGCTGGAACTAGAGGCATGTACCACCATGCCCAGCTTTTTTTATATTTTTCATAGAGACAGGGTCTCGTTATACGGCCCAGGCTGGTCTCAAGCTCCTGGGCTCAAGTGATCCTACCACCTTGGCCTCCCAAAGTGCTGGGATTACAGGTGTGAGTCACCACACTGGACCCGGATGATTTTTAGAAGCTTGTTTGTTTTTCTTTCCTTAACATATTTTAACCCTCAGCATAGGGGTGAGCTTTACCCCCTGCCACGACACAGTCTTCTTGGTCCCTTCCACCTCTTCTATTTTGTTCTTAATTCTGAGTCCTTCTTTCCATCTCTCAGGTGCCATTTTTGCATTCACTTTCATCACAGAGTTCCCTGGCTCACTGCATGGATTTCTCTGGTTACCACTCCATGACCTTTGTCACTGGGAAAATATGCACAGGCAGAACGGCACTTTGAGGAGATTTCCAGTCATAGTCACACTACTTTTTGAAGCACCACCCTACAAATTTGAGCTGTGTTTTTTCTTTCACTTGTTTGCAATCCATATTCCTGTCTTCTAACTGTGCCCAGTTCCTAACTTCTCACTCTGTCACCTTTCCCAAAGTCCCTGTCACTTCCACTCAGTCAACTGATACCTTTTTGTTGGTAAGATTCTGGCAGGGCAAGTCAGTGACCTAGATCACCCCCTCCACCTCAGGGAAGACTGCATTTTCAGATGGGGTAGTCATGAAATTGTCAGACGCTCTGCTTTTAATTCAAAGAGACTTTCAGAAGGTATCTGGACAGCCAGAGTCCCCGTCATTGCAGTTATTTTTCTTGCTGGGACAGTTTTTGACCTGCACCTGAAATGCATTTTCCATTTGCTACATTTGCATTTGCTGGGTGGCCTTTAGTGGACAGCATGTAGATTCTGCAAATACATTAAGGTCATCTCTCTATGCAGAAATATAGACAGATCCAGGTCAGGTCTGCACTAACAAAGCCAAATTTGCAGCAATAACATGAAGCAAGGTAATTTAACATGAAAGATACAGGGAATTGAGGCAAAGCATGAATTCATCTCAATTTTCTTCTCTCTTTTCTCAAAGTGTTTAGACCATAGTGAGTTACTTTGCTTCCAAAGGAGATGGTTCCAAAGCTTATTCAGTTTAATCATCTGTAAAATGGGAATAAGTTCAGCCCTACCCACTTCACAGGAATATTTTCTTGCTCAAGTGAGATTAAGTAGTAGGGAGCTTTGTGAGAGAATGGAAAATTGCTCAATAAACGTGATGAATTTTAAAAGAAGCTTTCTCCAAGTGCTAAGATTGGCCTCCTGAAATATATCTGTGGTCAGAGATTTCATGACAGAACTGAATGCCTCATGAGGCAAATAAGGTTAAGGAGTTAAGGAAAGTAAGAATATTATTAAACCCATTGAAGGTCATATACATTTTTGTATTCAAAAAAATGAAACACTCAAAGCTATACATGAAATAGATAATTGATTATATTTTACTTGTTTTAAATTATATTTACTGGAGGTTAAACAATTAACATGCATTTATCTTTGATGCTAAAATGACTTTGGAGATGGTAGTAACTAGTACTTAGCAAACACCATATGCCAGACCTGGAGGTAAGAATATATATTATTTAATACACACAGCAACCCTATGAGCTGGCCCCCATAATAATGTTTATTTATAGGTGGAATCATACTGAGATTAAGGAAGTTGAGGAAATCTCACTGCTGATAAAGGTAGAACTAGAAGCGCATGACTAAGGTTGGAAGAAAAAGAGGTGAATTGCTATTAGAAAGAGAATAAAGTCTTCTAGGCCCATCCTATCCCCACCTGAACTCCAATTCCTGTCTTTCTACAGGTCATCTTCATTTCATTTCAACATCCAAAATGCAAATCTGCGCTCATGCCCTTAGAAAGCTGATTTACTGTCGAGCACATTTTGAATGGCAAAGCTGCATCAATGTTAGCCCTTGCTTCCATTTCCTTGTGTAAGACAAGAGCTAGGATTTAATTTAGGTCAGGTTTCAGGAGCTGAGACTGAAGGAAATCTTGGGGTGAGATAGCTTGGGGAGTTCAGGGGTAAGAGAGATTCCATTTGAAAAAGTTCTGCTACTGAAAGTTTGAAAACTACTGATAAAGTGTTCATATAAGCAAATTCAAATGCAAAGTTGCATATTTACCCAAAGCCACATGCCACATAGAATGAAAGAATCACTGAATCAAAGGGATCTCAGAATTTTCTCAGAGTATCCTAAACTTTGGCCATTCATTTGCCACCTTTGAGTGTTAACCTTATCAGTATACCTGTTTCACTACTTAATTTTCTCTAAATCAACTCACTTTTTTTTTTTAACTTAAATACCCACTTTAAGCCTTTCCTCAGCAATATCTATAAAAACACAGATTCAATATGCTACCTTTTTCTCATGCACATATTTAAAAATAAATATGTAATTATTAAAATCTAATTAAAAAATGTTCTGTATGCCACCTATGATCATCTTGTGAGGCATACTATGGGAAAGGCTGACATAATTTATTAGTTCCCAAATGCCAGCTCACAGATGCCAGGTTAATTGCTGAAGGAGCAAGCAGAGAGCTGTTTTTAAAACACAGATTATCTTGGCCCCCTGCCCCCACCCCACCCCAAGAAAGTGTGATTTAGCAAACAATATTGGGTAGAGTCAGGTAATCTTTTCTTGCTTTGTTTTTATTTTTCCATTTTTCAACAAACTCCTCTGGTGATTCTACTGTGCAGTTGGTTAGGAAACAACTGGTTTAATCTAGTTCTACCTAAAAGGGTTGTTTTAAGAATTTGATTGGTTAAAGCAAATTAAGTGCTTAGAAAGAACCTGTGTCAGAGTACATGCTCCACAATTATGAGTTACTATTACTTGACTTTTACTAGCCTATTGTTAGACTTTGTATTTATCTATGACTTAAAGATAAACTAATTTCAGGATGAGATTGAAGGTGAGAGATTCACATAGAACTGAGGAGCTGAGAAGGGCTTTGGCCTCTGTGCTAATAGACACACAATAGCTTACTCCAACCCACTCTAGATTGAGCTGATCTCTAGGGCAAGGCTCAAGGGAAACCACTGACAAATCCTTGGTGACTATTCCTGTCTGTCCTGTCAATCTGTGTACACATCAACCTCTTATATATTAGGAGGCTACAAGGTCTTTGCCATTGACCTGGTAGAAGCCAGATAGTCTGTTTTCCAAGCATTCGTCATCCTATCCACCTAGCCAATCCATCATAAGTGAATGTGCATGGTTCTTTCTATCCTGGTGGCACGATACCTTGGGTGCATGTAGACTTCTTTCAGAAAGAACAAGATAACTTTCTTGCTGTAGTCATGCCCAAGAAGTATGGTCATTTCTGGGTATCATATTCAAAATGAGGCAACAAGACACTAAAGCATGCAATCAGATTAGTGAGAAGACCTACATTTATATCAATTGAAGAATAATGGCAGACACAGAAGATGTTTGGTTCAGAGAAGAGAAGATTCAGGAATGTCAACACATATTTATTCCTAGGCAGGAGGGAATAGCATGAGAAAAGACCATCAAGTGAGAAAAAGCTTAGCACTGTCAACATAAAGAATGTCGATATGATGAGAGCATCATGAGCAAAGGCAAGAGTGGTTCAGGATGAGGTTGAGACAAACAGATATGGATGATGCAGAACAATGGAAAGAAGTTTGGGTTTTAATCTAAGTGTAATGAGAAACTATGGAAAGGTTTTTAGCAAGGTATAACATAATCCAGTTTGTTTAACAAGGATAACTTCTGTGTGGATAATTTAGTTTGGAAGCTGCTCTAGTCATCTGGCATGATCACTATCATCAAATACTTGAAGGTCATTGTGGGAGAAGATACGAGCTTTTTCCACTGACACTCACAGGGCATAGTCAGAAGTTATAATGCAGAGTCCAGCTCCACCGCATAACAATTAGAATTGATACACAATGAAATGGACTGCCTCCAGTGATAATAAGCACCCTACCATTGAGGTTATATCAGTTAGCTACAGCTGTATATCAAACCATCTCCAAACTGAGTGGCTTAAAGTAACAACCATTTATTAACTCTTTTGAATCTATGGGTTAGTTGAATTGACCTTGGCTGTGCTCACACTACGCATCTATCCTTAGCCTTTAGGCTTGCTAAAGGATAACTAATCCAAGATGGCCTTAGCTGGGGTAACTCAGCTCTTCTCCACGTGGTCTCATATCTTCCACTAGGCTAGTGTGGGCTTATTTTTAGGGTGATCACAGAAAAGAGAGGGAGAGGAAGTAAAAACTCACAGGTGTTTTTTCGCACTTCTGCTTGCATCAAGTTTGCTAACATCGTATTGGCCAAAGCAAGTCACAGAACTAATCCCAGAGGCAAAGTGGGAGGGAACTACAAAGTTAAAATACAATGAGCATGGATACAGAGAGGCCATTAATTGGGCCTATCATCAACACAATCTACCACAGAGGTGTTGAAGGAGCAGCCTAATGTCCACCCATGAAAGAAGAGTTTGTAAAGTAGACTAGAATGGATGATCTTTAAGGGCATCATCACACACCACAATTCTAGTTGGAAGAATAAATAGAGCACCAAACATGAGATATTGCCTGGATAAAAATAGTCATGCCAAAGCCTGTGTCCCATGACTAGGCAACAATCTTTTTTTGTGTGCTGCCAGAATCGGGAATTGAAGGAAAATCTATTCAAAGGACTGGGCCCACTTACTCTATATGGAGATAGTAGCTCAGACTCTAGCTGCTCATTGTCTTTCCCTGGAAGTTGCTGTCTCCATTTCTCTGACAACATCAGTCTATAAGAACATCCATGGGGCTCAAGGATGGCCTCCTTGTATTTGATTCCCCGACAATCAAACTGCTGGATCATCTTACAACTAAGATATTAATGGAGAAAAAAAAAAAA
The DNA here is from genome assembly GCF_000001405.40 of Homo sapiens. NCBI lineage: Eukaryota > Metazoa > Chordata > Mammalia > Primates > Hominidae > Homo > Homo sapiens. The sequence continues at coordinate 39,360,245 of NC_000020.11, read as the reverse complement.
GCTGCCTGAGGCAACCACTCGACTCCAGGTCTAAAGTTCATTTCTAAATAAAGATATTAACGCATAAAGACAAGGGTAAGGATTTTGGCCTAACTGAAGCTGACTTACTGAAACCAAGAGAATTAAACACATGCACACATATTCACTCATTCACATAAAGTATTTAGAATTCAGATTCTTAAAGGCCAGGAATATTGAAAATGTAAAATAAAGCAAGCCATAACTGTAACTGCAAGTAAAGTTTGCATCTTGCTAGCAAATGTGAGCTATAAAAATTCCAAGTTTTTGTGGTCTGGTTGAGGGAAAGACTATTTCCTGAGCTTCATACAGAGACACAGACACTAATTTCAGAATATTGTTCAATCTAGTTCTAGTTTAATCATATACACATAAAACACACATATACAGGCACCTATAAATTCACCTATACAATACCATAATACAAATATATTTACACTCAAATATACATATCAGTGTGCATGCTTTCATGCACAATGACACATTTATCTATATATCTTTATAGACATACTCATAAATAATTAGGCCTACAGACCTAGATATCACCATAGTAAAAATATATTAATACATACTTATAGATACATATCAAAAAAGTCTATTTGAAAACATCAATATACAGGCCTTCATACACACAAAAACCCACACATGCAGTGGCACAGTCGGACAGATACACACATAGTCAAGATGCAAACACATCCCATTCACTAACATACCACTGGGTGAACACAAACACAGAGAAGAAGGCACATATATGTTACAGCATTCACACGCATACAGAAACATATACACATGCCCACACATACCACCCACCTAGGCGCTTCACAAGGCCATGGATGATCTGGTGCCTACCTGCCTATCCAACCTGAGTACCACTGTCCCCTCTTCTGTCAGCTCTCCTTCCATTCCAAGAACATCCTAAATTATTTCCCGTTCCAATATCTGCACATTTTATTCCCCAGCTCTGCATATGGCTGATTTTCATCCTCTAGGCCTCCAGTTCAAATCACCTCCTCAATGCAGCCTTACCCAGTCACTGCATCATGTAGGTAAGACACTCAGTTCCTTCATCATATACTTTGTGTGAGTCCTAATGGCACTTATCACAATTTTAAAATGATACATTTGTGAGTGAGTGATTGTTTATTATCTGTTTCTCCCACGATATCACAAGATCCACATCTGCTTTACTCATCATTTATATCCCAAATCTAGCACAGTGCCTGGCAAACAGTAGGCACTCAGTAAATAGCTGTCAAATATAAAAATTCCTTGGAAGGAAGCCAATACATGTGTTTTTAAGCCAGCTACCATGGGAAAATTCTGGGAAATAATGCTAATCATACCAGAATTACATCAGCCTAGAAGCAAATAATCTGGGATATTCATATATCAGTGCCTGAAAGCCATTGATTAAGGGATCTTCCTGGAACATCTGGCCTGTTGTACAAACAGGCAGAGCAATCTTTCAGGGTTCAGGGTTGAAATGGGGGAATCCTCAGGCACAGAGATGCAGATGCAACTGGAAACCAGTCAGAGCACACTGGAAGGTGAGGATGTAGCCAGGGCACCAGTGGCCTCTGCTGCCAGCCCGTAAGGTGGATTATCTTAGCTGATAAAAACCAACATAGAGCAGGTCTATGGGAAAGCGAACCCTATTGGTGACTGTGGATGGATATGAGAGCAGGGGAAAGCAATTCTTTAGCTGGCAATACTGCCTAAGGTAAACAGACCAGGGAGCACTGGGGTGCCAAAGATGATAGCAGTGTCCAGACTAAACAGATGACGCCACTGTGGCTAGTCTATAGCAAGGGGTAGTTCAGGACAAGTCAAACCCAAGAGATGAGAAAGGAGAGCTGCTAGATATGACACCCCACACTTGGAAAGTCCCAGGCCCTTCTGCATGTAAGACTCTCCAGCTGCAGGATGGGAAGTCCTGTGGTTGGGACAGAGTTCTGCAAACAACTCTAAGCCTTTGAAATACATGTGCAAAGCAAGTGTCATTTAAGGATGGAAAATGTAACACTCAGCTGGTCTTGAGACACATGATGTACTGTAAAGTAAACCTCATGACAGGAAAGCAGGCAGCTGTATCTGCTGCTTCTTTGTTCCCTCCCCATTTCCACCACACTCCCTGCCTCCAACACTGGTGCTAATGCCAAGTATAAAGTAAGGTTTCGTTTGTTTTTTAAACAGAAATTGAAATCAGTTTGCATTCATTTTACTATGGGTGCTAGTTATCATCAGAGACATGGATTAGGTCACCTGCACAGATGGCCCTGGGTTTACAAGCTGAACTATTTAAAATGCCAAAGTCCTAATGAGATCATGAGTGGGGAAGGATGTTCAATGAACATATTGCCCATATTGACTTGCCATGTGCAAGAATAAGGCATTGGTGTATTGTAATTGAACTCTCTTGTAAAAACTCATGCAATAAACTCATGAAATCCAGTTCTGGGAAAAGGAGAGTCTTTACATAGAACCTGCTGTGAACAATAAAATCTGAGCCTAATGGCTGAATCTCTGACCTATGATCCAGTTACCATCACCCCACCACCAGTGCCACCTTGCTGTCTCCGTAAAGTGCTCATCAATAAGTGCTCTAGATCAGTTGATCTCAAAGTATGATACCAGTAGCATTCTCATCAGCATCACCTGGGAATGTAGAGATGCAAAATTCGGGGGCCCATCTCAACCTACTGAATCAGAAACTTTGAAAGTGGTTCCACTCCATTTGTCTTATCAAACCCTCCATGTGACTGCACTGTATACTAAAAAGTTGTGCACAGTGGCTCACGCCTGCAATCCCAGCACTTTGGGAGGCCGAGGCAGGCAGATCTCTTGAGGCCAGGAGTTTGAGACCAGCCTGGCCAACATGGTGAAACCCTATCTCCAGTAAAAATACAAAATTTAGCCAGGCATAGTGGTGTGCACCTGTAATCCCAGCTACTCGGGAGGCTGAGACAGGAGAATCACTTGAACCTGGGAGGTGGAGGTTGCAGTGAGCCAAGATTGCATCACTGCACTGCAGCCTGGGCAAAAAGAGTGAAACTCTATTTCAAAAAAGTTGGAGGAACACTGGTCTAGATTGGCAAACAGAATCTCCCTCCTCCCCACTTCCTCATCCCTCTCTCACATACACAAGTAATGCTGCTGCTTGGGAGAACTAGGCAGTTGGACCTTGTCATATTTCCAAGAACATTGCATTCAGAGTTTTATACATGAGTCATATGGGCTTTGTTATAATGAAAAAATGTTGACAGATCTGGGGACAAGACTGTCCCTCCCCAGACACACTGTTGGATGTCCCCTGGATTACACATACTAGGCAAAAACCTGAGCTTTGGAAGACTAAGGCAGTTTTCTCCCAACAACTGTCTGAAGTTCTTAATAGTGATTTAATTATATATACATATATATTTTTTGTTTTTTTGAGACAGAGTCTCACTCTGTCGCCCAAGCTAGAGTACAGTGGCGTGATCTCCACTCACTGCAACCTCTGCCTCCCGGGTTTAAGCTATTTTCCTGCCTCAGCCTCCCAAGTAGCTGGGACTACAGGTGTGTGCCACCACACCTGGTTAATTTTTGTATTTTTAGTAGAGAAGAGGTTTTGCCATGTTGGCCAGGCTGGTCTCAAACTCCTGACCTCAGGTGATCTGCCCATCTTGGGCTTCCAAAGTGCTAGGATTACAGGCATGAGCCACCATACCGGGCCAGTGATTTTATTTTAAATGAACGCTTAATATAGAATAGCAAGCATGTAAAAATGTGACCATGCAAAAAAAAATTATATAAACCCATGTAATTACTATCCAGATCAAGAAACAAAATATAGCCAGCACCCCTGAAGCTTCTTTGTGTTCTCTCTCAAGCTCTCTATAAAAATTAACAGCCATTTTTACATATTCCACCATTAGTTTTACCTGTTTTAAAACTTCATGTAAAAGATATCTTTGTGTTTGCTTTCATTCAGTATTATGATTGAGGGATTCATTGCATAAGGCAAGAGTATGAAAGTTCTAAATACATTCTTACCAACACTTGGCACCTTATTGTGACTTCAATTTGCATTTTACTAATTACTAATGAGGTTAAAATTGTTTCATATGCTTATCGGCTATTTTTATCCTCTTTTGTGAAGAGCCTATTCAGGTTTTAAGCCCATCTCCAATTGGGTTGTTACAGATTTGTAGAAACACTTCCTAAATATTTTGTGGATAATATCCCCTTGTTGAATAAATGTATCTTAAATACCTCCCACTCTGTTGCTTGCATTTTTATTCTCCTAATGGTGTATTTTGATAAATACAAATTCTTAATTTTAATTAAGATCAACTTAACAATCTTTTTATGGGCAGTATTGTATCTTTCCTGGGAAATATTAAACTACTCTAAAGTAATGAAAATATTCCCAAATTTATCTTTACAACATTTTGTTGTTTTTACTGTTTACATTTAAAACTATAATGTATCTGGAATTTATTTTTGTGTAGGATGTGTGATACAGCTCCAGATTCGTTTTTTTCCATGTGACTATCCAATCGACCCAATATGACTTCCTCTTATTGAAGGAATGACCTCTCTGCACTGCAATGCGGTGTCACCATTGTCACAAGCCAAGTGGATACACACGTTTGGATCTATTTCTGGTTCTCTATTTGTTCCATGCATATTTTGTCTTGTGCCAATATCATACTGTATTAATTATTACAACTTTGAAATAAATATTTTTCCCTTTCTTCCAGTCTCGAGGTATAATTGATAAAAAAAGGTATATATTTATGGCATACAACATGATGCTTTCATGCTATATATTATGTATACATTTTGAAATAATTACCACAATCAAGCTAATTAACATATCCATCACCTGACATAGTTATCGTGTGTGCATGTGTATGTGATAGAATATTTATGATCTATTCTCTCAGCAAATTTAACATACAGTACAGTATTGTTAACTAGAATTATCATGCTGTACAGTAGATCTCCAGAACATATTCACCCTGCCAAACTGAAACTTTGTACCCTTTGACCAAGTCTCCCCATATCCTTCAACATCCAACCCCTCGAAATTACCATTCTACTCTGTTTCTATGAGTTTGACATTTGTAAAGTCCACATGTAAGTGAGATCATGCAATATTTCTTTCTGTGGCTAGCTTCTTTCACTTAGCATAATGCCTTCCAGATCCATATTGTCACAAATATTTTCTTTTTAAAGCTGAATATTTCATCGTGTATATGAGTGTGTGTGTGTGTGTGTGTGTGTGTGTGTGTGTGCGCATACCCTGCACATTTTCATTTTTTATCATCCATTGATGGACACTTAGGTTGATTCCATTTCTTGGCTATTGCAAATAATGCTACAATATTCATGAGGGTAAAGATATCTTTTCAGATATTAATTTCATTGCCTTTAGATATATACCCAGAAGTGAGACTATGGGATGATATGGTAGTTTTATTTTTAATTTTTTGAGAAACATTCATGTTTTCCATAATGACTGTGCTAATTCACATTCCCATCAAACAGTATATGTTCCCTTTTCCTCCACGGTCTTGCCAACTTTTGTCTTTTCTCTTTTTGATTATAGCTATTTTAACAGGTGTGAGGTGATTTCTCGTTGTGTTTTTGATTTGCATATCTCTAAAGATTAGTGATGCTGGACTTTTTTTCATGAACATTTTGGCCATTTGTATTTCTTTTTTTGAAAAATGTCTATTTGGGTCCTTCACCCACACTTAAATTGGGTTCTTTGTTTCCTTTCTGTTAAGTTGTTGTAGTTTCTTACATATCTTGGATATGATCCCCTGATCAGATGTATGGTTTGCAGATATTTTTCCAATTCTGTAGGTTATCTCTTCACTCTGCTGATTGTTTCCTTTGTTGTGCAGAAAAATTTTAGTTTGATGCAATGCCTATTTTTGCTTTCATTGCCTGTGCTTTTGTGATCATATCCAAAAAATCATTGCCCAGTCCAATATCAAAATGCTTTTACCTGTGTTTTCTATGTGTAGTTTTACAGTTTCAGGTCTTTTATTTAAGCCTTTCATCCATTTTGAGTTGATTTTTATATGGTTTAAGATAAGGGTTCAATTCCATTCTCTTGCATGTGGATATCTAGCAATATGGTTTGGATGTTAGTCCCCTCCAAACCTCATGTTTAAATGTGATTTGCAATGTTGGAAGTGGGGCTTAGTGAGAGGTGTTCAGATCATGAGGGGTAAATCCCTCATGAATGACTTGGTGCTCTCCCATGGTAATGAGTTCATGCAAAATCTGGTTGTTAGAAAGACTCTGGAACCTCTCCCCTCTCTCTCTTGCTCTTTCACTGTGACATGCCTGCTCCCCTTATGCCTTCTATCATGAGTTAAAACTTCCTGAGATCTCACAGAAGTCAAGAAGATACTGGCACCATGCCTGTACAGCCTGCAGAATAATGACCTAAGTAAGCCTTTTTCTTTATAAATTACCCAGTCTTAGGTATTCCTTTATAGCAATGCAAAATGAACTAACACATCTAGTTTTGCCAACACTATTTATTGAAGAGGCTGTCATTTCTCCCATTGGTGGTTTTCAGCATCTTTGTAAAAGACCAATTGACTGTAAATGTCTGGATTTATTTCTGGGCTCTCTGTTCTCTTCCGTTGGTCCACATGTTTGTTTTTTTTGTCAGTGCTTTTTATATTGCTATAACTTCATAGTAGATTTTGAAATCAGGTAGTGATGCCTCCACCTTTGTTATTTTTATTCAAGATTGCTTTGGCTACTCAGGGTCTTTTGTAGTTCTATATGAATTTTAGGATTTTTTTCTAATGTTTGTGAAAATGTCATTGTAATTTTGATAGGGATTACATTGAATCTGTAGATAGTTTTGTGTAGTACGAACATTTTAATGATATTACTTTTTTCAAACCATGAATGTGGGACATATTGCCACTTATTCTTCTATACTTTCATCAATGTTTTATAATTTTCAGTGTAAAGATATTTCACTTCCTTGTTTAAGTTTATTCTTAAGTATTTAATTTTTTGATGCTATTGTACAAGAGATAATTTTCTTGATTTCTTGTTCTGATAGTTCACTGTCAGTGTATAGAAATGCTACTGATTTTGCACTTTGATTTTGTGTCCTGCAAATTTACTGACTTTATTAGTTCTAAAAGTTTTTTGATGAAGTGTTTAGGATTTTTGATATATAAAATTATGTCACCTGCAAAAAGGAACAGTGCAGTGATTCTACTACTGATCAGCATGGGAGTTATGACCTGCTCGATTTCCAACCCGGGTCAGTTCACCCCTCCTTAGGCAACCTGGTGGTACTCCACTTCCAGAAGGTCACCATATTGATGCCAAGCTTAGTGTAGACACCATTCCAGGCTGGATGCCTTTTTTTTGTCTTACCTAATTGCTCTGTCTAGGAATTTCAGTATTATATTGAATAGAAGTGATAAGAATGAGCATTCCTGTCTTGTTCCTGATCTTAGAGGAAAAGCTTTCAGGTTTTCACTGCTGAATATGATGTTAGCTATGGGTTTATCAAAATAATTAGGTTGAGGTACATTCTCTCTATACTTATTTTTTGAGAGTTTTTATCATGAATGGATGATTAATTTTGTTAAATGCTTTCTCCGCATCTATTAAGAAGATATTGTGGTTTTTGTCCTTCATTTTGTTAACATGATGTATCACATGTACTGAGTTACATATGTTAAGCCATCCTTGCAACCTACTGATAAATCTCACTTGATCATGGTGTGTGATGTTTTTAATGGGCTGTTGAGTTCAGTTTGCTAATATGTTGTTGAGAATTCTTGCACCTATGTTCATCAGAAATATTGGCTTGTAATTTATTTTCTTAAAGCATTCTTGTCTGGTTTGGATATCAGAGTAATATTGGCCTCATAGAGTAAGTATGGAAGTGTTTCCTCCTCTTCAACATTTTGGAAGAGTTTGAAAACGATTGGCATTAGTTTCTCTTTAAGTGTTTGATGGAATTCATCAGTAAAGTCATTGGGTCCCAAGCTTGCCTTTGTTGGGAGATTTTTTATTACTGATTCAATCTTGTTACTCGTTGTATTTGTCCCTTCTCACACTGCTAATAGACGTACCTCCGACTGAGTAATTTATAAAGGAAAGAGGTTTAATTGATTCACAGTTCCGCATGGCTGGGGAGGCCTTAGGAAACTTAACAATCATGACAGAAGAGGAAGCAAACACATCCTTCACATGGAGGCAGCAAGGAGAAGTGCCGAGCAGAAGGGGGAAAAGCCCTTCTAAAACCATCAGATCTTGCAAGAACTCACTCACTATCATGAGAATAGCATGAAGGTAACTGCCCCCATGATTAAATTACCTCCCACTGGGTCTCTCCCACAACACGTGGGGATTATGGGAATGACAATTCAAGATGAGATTTGGATGGGGACACAGCCAAACCATGTCACTTGTTATTGGTCTATTTAGATTTTCTATTTCTTCATTATCAAATCTCAGAAGGTTGTATGTTTCTAGGAATGTACCCACTACTTTTAGGTTTGCCAGTTTGTTAGCATGTAATTACTGGAAATAGTGTCACAATCATTTGTATTTCTGTGGTATCAGTTATGTCTTCTCTTCCACTTATAATTTTATTTATTTGTTTTATCTCTTTTATTCTTAGTTATGATTAGCTTAAGACTTGTCTATTTTATCGCATTCAAAAAACAAACTTTTATTTTTGTTGGTCTTATTGTTTTTCTAGTCTCCATTTATGTCTACTCTAATTTTTATTGCTTTCTTTTCGTGTTAACCTTCGGCTTAGTTTGCTCTTCTTTATCTAGTTCCTTGAGGTGTAAAATTACATAATTTATTTGAGATTTTTCTTTTATCTTAATGTAAGACTTTACTGCTATAAACTTTTAGGACTGCTTTTGTTGCATCCCATATATTTTAGTATGATATGTTTCTATTTTCATTTGGCTTGAGATACTTTTCTTCTTTGACCTATTAGTTGTTTGGAAATTAATGCATTACTTAATTTCTACATATTTCTAAATTTTCCAATTTTCCTCCGTTAATGATTTCTAGTTCTATTCCACTGTAGTCAGAAAAGACACTTGCTATAATTTCAATCTTCTAAAACTTGTTAAGATTTGTTTTGTGGCCTAATGTATGATCTGTCCTGGAGAATGTTCCATGTGTTCTTGAAAAGATTGTGTATTCTGCTACTGTTGAACAGAATATGCTATATGTCTGTTAGGTCCATTTGGTCTATCATGTTCAAGTCCACTGTTTTCCTATTGATGTTCTGTCTGAATAATCTATCAATTTTTGAAAGTGGAGTATTGAAGCCTCTTATTATTATTGTATTGCTGTATATTTCTAGTTTCAGCTGTTAATATTTGCTTTATATATTTAAGAGCTCTATTGCTTGTGCACATATTTTTACAGTTGTTATATCCTCTTGATATATTAAACCCCTTACTATTACATAATGACCTTTTTGGTCTCTTATGACAATTTTCACTTAAAGTGTATTTCGTCTGATGTAAGTGTAGCCAACCCTGCTCTCATTTGGTTACTATTTGCATGGGATATCTTTTTCCATCCCTTCACTTTTAGCCTATGTGTGTCTTTACAGCTAAAATGAGTCTCTTATCATATAGTTGGATTGTGGGTTTCATCAACTTATCAACTCTATGTCTTTTGTTGGAGAATTTAATCCATTTATATTTAAAGGAATTATTGACAGGTTAAGGACTGGCTACTGCCATTTTTAATTATTTTCTGACTGTTTTGTAGTTTCTTTGTTTCATTCTTCCTCCCTGGTGGTCTTCCTTTATGATGGGATTTTTTTGTAGTGGTATATTTTGATTCCTTTCTCTTCATTTTTTTGTTTATCTACTACATGTTTTTTCTATGTGATTACCATGAGTCTAACAAAAAATATCTTACAGTTATAACAGTCTATTTTAAGCTGTTTAAGTACTTAACTTTGACCACGTACAAAAATTCTACATTTTAACTTCCCTCCTCTGACATTTTGTTATTGGTGCTATAAATTATATCATTTGTATATTGTGTATCCATTAACAAATTATTATAGCTTTAGTTGTTTTAATACTTTCATCTTGTAAGCTTTATATAGAATTCAAAATGACTTTCACACCACCATTACAATATTAGAGTATTCTGAATTTGACTATTTTCTTATATTTACAGTGAGTTTTGTACTATCACATCTTGTTTTTGTTTTGTTATTTATTTTTTTCATTTATTTATTTTTTTTTTTTTGAGACAGAGTCTCGCTCTGTCACCCAGGCTGGAGTATGGTGGTGCAATCTTGGCTCACTGTAACCTCCGCCTCCCAGGTTCAAGTGATTCTCCTGCTTCAGCCTCTCCAGTAGCTGGGACTACAGGCGTGTGCCACCACGCCTGGCTAGGTGTGTAGAGACGGGGTTTCACCATGTTAGCCAGGATGGTCTCGATCTCCTGACCTTGTAATCTACCCACCTCAGCCTCCCAAAGTGCTGGGGGTTACAGGGAGCCACCACGCCCAGCCACTTTCACATATTTTATGTCATTAGTTATGTCCTTTTGTTTCGACTTGAAGAATTCCATTCAGTGTTTCTTGTAAGGAAAATCTAGTGGCTACGAATTCCCACAGCTTTTGTTTTTCTGGAGAAGTCTTTATTTTGCTTCATTTCTGAAGGACAGCCTTTCAGATATAGTATTCTTAGCTGGCAGGTTTTTTCTTTAAGCACTTTGCATATATTATCCCACTGTCTCCTGGCCATCAAAGTTTCTGCTGAGAAATCCACTGATAGTCTTGCAAAAGTTCCCTTGTATGTGCTAGGCATGGTGGTGCATGCCCGTAGTTCCAGCTACTCAAGAGGCTGAGGTAGGAGGATCGCTTGAGCAAAGGAGTTCTGGGGTGTTATATGATATGCCAATTAGGTGTCTGCACTAAGTACGGCATCAATATGGTGACCTCCTGGAAGTGGGGGACCACCAGGTTGCCTAAAGAGGAGTGAACTGGCCCAGGTTGGAAATAGAGCAGGTCAAAATTCCCATGCTGATCAGTAGTGGAATCACACCTGTGAATAGCCACTGCATTCCAGCATGAGCAACCTAACAAGAATCCATCTCTAAAAAACCAAAAAGGTTTCCTTGCACCTAAGGAAACTTTCTTCTTGCTGCTTTTAAAATTCTCTTTGCCTTTTACTTTTGAGAATATGATTATAATGTATCTTAGTGAAACCTCTTTATGTTTAATGTATTTGAGGTTATTTGGGATTCATAAATTTGAGCATTCATTTTCCTCTCCAGATTTGGAAAGTTTCTGTCATCATTTCTTTAGATAAGCTTTCTGCTTCTTTTTCTTTCTCTGCCCCTTCTAGGACACCCATACTGCATATATCAGTTTGCTTGATGGTGTTTGAGAAGTTCCACAGGCTTTCTTCACTCTTTCTCATTATCTTTCCTTTTAGATTCTCTTCAATATTCTGAATTTGAGTAATTGGTAACTGGTTAATTTCAAATGATCTATCTTCAAGCTCACTAATTCTTTATTTTGCTTGAGCAAGTCTACTATCGAAGCTGTCTATGGAATTTTTCGGTTTAGTCATTGTATTCTTCAGCTCCAGAATTTCTGCTTAGTTCTTTTTTATAATTTCTACCTCTGTGTTGAACTTCTCATTTTGTAAATGTATTTCTTAATTTTGTTCAGCTGTCTGTGTTCTCTTGTAGCTCACTGAATTTGCTTAAGATCATTATTTTTAATTTTTTGTCAGGCAGCTCCTCCATCTCCATTCCTTTGAGTCACTTACTCTTGCTTTATTTCGTTCCTTTAGTGGTGCCGTATTTCACTGATTACTAATGATCCCTGTGGCCTTGCATTGGTGTCTGTGCATTTGAAGCAGGCGCCTCTTACATTCTTTACAGACTGGCTTTGGCAAGGAAATCCCTTTACCAGTCAACCTATCCAGAGATTCTGTGCAGGCCATCTGGTGGCAGAGTACAGTCAGCCTTATTGCTTAGAGTTCCTGGGTAGGCTGACCTGGTGTCTTGGTCAGCAGGTGGGCTGGCCTGACATCTGGACCCACAGGGGCTGAACTGGTGCCTGAGTACATGAAAGCAATCCTGGAGCCTGGATCCACTGGGGTTAGAGCAATTGGAGTTAAAACATAAACCTCATGCTTAGGCAAGGATGGACCTGGATCCTGGGTCTGCGGAGATCGGCTTGGTGCCAAGGTCCACAGGGGTGAACTGAGTCTACTGGACAGGCCTGGAGTCTGCGTCCACAAGGCCTAGACTGAAGCTTGGGTATGTGAGAGCCAACATTGGATTGGCCTTGAGCCTGAGTCCATAGGAACTAAATGATGCTGGGGCAGGCTTGTACTTTGTTCATGAGAATGTTCTTGGTCCTGTGTTCATAGGGGTTGGCTTGAGGCCAGTGTTCACTGGAGTAGGTCGAGCACGTGGGCCCTTAGGCCTAGGCCTGGTGCCTGGGTCTGCAGGGCTGAACCTGGAAACTGGAGCCATATAGGCTAGCTTGGCACTGAAGTTCACTGAAATGGGTCTAGTGCTGGTGTCCACTGTGAAATCAGGTGCTGACTGCATTCTCCTTCTCTCATATACAGGAAATCTCTCTCCACATTGCACTGCCTTGGCTTGGGGGAGTGGTGATGCAAGTAATGTAAAACTGTCCTTTCTACCGTTTTCAATGCATCTTTTCTTACTTCTGTGCTCCACTCAGATGCCATAATCTCTCACCTAGATTTCTTAACTCTTCTGAAGATACTTTTGTGCTTGCATAGGTGTTCAGATTGATGTTTCTCTAAGGAGACAAGTGTTGGAAAGTCCTATTCTGAGATATTGCTGATATCACTCATTCAAAATAAATGATATCATAAGCGCAAGTCCTCCAATTTTGCTCTTCTTAAAAATCATCTTGGCAATTATGGGTCCTTTATATTTCCAGGTAAACATGTTATGTCTGCATGGATACACACATACAATACACACACAAGTAGATATACACAAAAAACCTGCTGATATTTGAAAGGGATCACATTGAATCATTCAATGATTTGAAGAGGGTTGGCATCTTTACAATATTGAATCTTTCAAGGTATGAACATGCTATATCCCTCAGGATTTTTATATCTTAATTTTTCTCAACAACGTTTAATGGTTTTTTGTGCATACATCTTGTGCCATTTTCAATTTATTCTTAGGTAATTGAGAAGTTTGATGGCATTTTAAATAATAACATCATTTTTTATATCTTGCTTGTTCATAATAGAAATAAAATTCATTTTCATGTTAACTTACTGAGCCATGCAAATTTCCCCTATTAATTTTATAGTATATATAAATTTTCTACATATACATTCATGTCATTTACAAAAAATGATAGTTTTATTTCTTTCTACTCAATCTTTACGCATTTCATTTTTTTTTCCTTGACTTACTGCATTGGATAAGTCCTCTACTATAATTTTCATTAGAAATGTCAATAGTGGTCATCCTTAGGTCATTACCAACTTCAGAGAAAATTTTTAATATATCACTATTAAATATTATGTGATGCTTGCTCTGTGACTTTTCATAGATATTATCAGATTTAGTAAATTTCCTTTTATTTTTAGATATCTTCACAATTTTACAATGATCAGGTCTTGAATTTTTCCAATGTTTTTACTGTATGTATTGAGATGTTGACATTTTTTCTTTAATGTCATCAATATAATAAATAATGTGACTGTTTTTATAAGTTTCCTTTTGTGTAATGTCCTTGTTTGGGACTCACTGACCAAAGAATAGTATCCTGATTTTTTTATTTGTAATTTTTTTAAAAGTTTGCATAATATTTGTATTATTTCTTACATAAATTTCTTTAAAATTTCACTGGCAAAGTAATTTGCACCTAAAGATTTTTGTGAGGGAGGATTATAAATTTCAGTTTAATATATTTGGTAACATATGACTATTCAGATAGTCTCTTTCTTGTTATAGGTCAAATTTGACAAATCATGTTTTTTATGGAATTTTTATCATTAATCTTCATTTTTTAATGAATCAGTGTAAAATTTTACATTATATCCTTGATATTTATATAATCTATATTAATCTCTTTTCTCATTTTGTAATTTTTGCCATCTCTAATTTTTGTCTGATTAGTCTTGCTATATGTTTATTTAGCCTCTCTAATAATCAACATTTTGGTTTTTTTGTCTTTATCATATATTTGTTTTATCATTTATTAATTTTGTATTATTAATTGATTTTTGTTATTTTATTTCTTTGTGTTTGCATATTCTTTGCATATTCTTTGTGTTTAATATTTTCTAACTTCTTGAGATTAATACTTAGGTGGTCAATTTCTAGCTTCTCTTCTTTATGCATATAAAAATATGGGACTATACATTTCCCTCTAACACAACATTAGCTGCATCCGAATGTTTTCATATTTCATGATTTTATCGTCCAAAATGCTATCTAATTTTTACTGTAATTTATTTTTGACTCACAGGTTATTTAGAAATGAAATGTTTAATATCCAAATATTTAAGCATTTCTAATTTTATTTTTGTTATTTGTTTCTCAGTTCCATGGCTGTCAGAGAATATATGCTGAACAGTTTTAATGCTTTAAATTTGGTGAAACCTGAGTTCTTTTCCAAAATATAATCAATTTTACTTAATAGTCCATGTGTGGTGTTAAAAAATATTTTATCAACACTAAATTAGTATTCAATTAAGTCAGCTAGTTTTGTTCAATTCAGTAAATCAGATCTATTTATGAAAATTACGTCAATTGGAACCAGATCTTCTCTATCTTTACTGACGTTTTATCTGTTTGTTCTGTCAGCTCTGAGAAAATTATAGCTCCACTATGGTTGTCCATATATCTACTTGATAAGTTTTGAAACTATGTTAATTAGGTACACATGAATTTAGAATTATTGCATATTCCTAGTGGATTGACCCTCTCATCATTATAAAATGTCTATTTTTATCTCTGATAATCCTGCTTTTCTTAAAGTAGGCTTTGTTTTATCTAAGGATAATTACCCCGGTTATTATCTTCTGGTTTGTTATTGTATCCTTTTGCTTTTTATTTTTTTGTATATACCCTTAGAATTAAAGCAAATACTTTTTTACAGCTGTACAAAAGTATTTTCTTTCTTTATATTCTTACTCTATAAAATTTTAAT